>NC_000003.12:138857089-139160119 GCF_000001405.40 Homo sapiens
TGTAGCTCACTGCAGCCTGGAACTCCTGGGCTCAAGCAAAATCCTCCCACCTCGTTCTCCTAAAGTGTTGGGATTATGGGTGTGAGCCACCGCACTTGGTCTTAATTTCTTTAAAAAAATGAAGAACAGAAATATGTCTGTGGCAGCAAAAAAAAAAAAAAAAAAAAAGTATATCTATATATATATATATAAAACTGTGGGCTCACAGACCCACCTCACCTCTTCCATGAATGGGAATTTTTGCCTGAAATATGCCAGATTTCAAGGATTCTAGATTTTTGAGGTTAATCAATTTCTCAATTTCTCTCTCTCTCTCTCTCTCTCCCTCTGTCTCTCTTTCTGTCTCTTTCTCTCTCAGATCAATGTATCAGCTTTGTGAAAGTAGGTTAGGGAAGTTTATAGGGAAAGTAGGGAAGCTATAATATGTTCCTAACTAGAAAAATATCTAGCTATGCTGGGCGCGGTGGCTCATGCCTGTAATCCCAGCACTTTGGGAGGCTGAGGCAGGCGGATCATGAGGTCAGCAGTTTGAGACCAGCCTGGCCAACATGGTGAAACCCCTTCTCTACTGAAAATACAAAAATTAGCCAGGCATGGTGGCGAGTGCCTGTAATCCCAGCTACTAGGTAGGCTGAGGCAGTAGAATTGCTTGAACCCAGGAGGTGGAGGTTGCAGTGAGCCAAGATCGTGCCATTGCACTCCAGCCTGGGCGACAGAGCGAGACACCGACTCAAAAAAAAAAAAAAAAGAAAAAGAAAACTGTCGAGCTAGAATGGCTTGGACCAGGATAGTGGTGGTGGCAATAGAGATGAAGGAAGAAAATTTAAGAACAACTTTACTAGAGCTGCTAGAACTTGTCATGGATTAGATGTGAAAGACTGAACTGCCAAGATGAAAGAATTCAAGAACACACAGTTCAATGGTGCTAGAGCAATTTGTTTGTTTTACACCCTGTGGTGGGAGCTAGGACAGCAGAGATGATAAACAGTCCCTGCCTTTAAGGAACTTTCAGCAGAGGACCCCCAATATTCAGGAAAGTAAAACAAAACCCAAAAAGTCCAGAACCCTCTCCAGCTCCCTGCACCTAGGAATAGTGAAAAGTTCACCTGGAGTTGGGAGATGAACTTTGTCTTCCTCTAGAAATGTCTTACAAAATGGCTTTGTAAGATAGGACTTGTGGGCTGGGCGCAGTGGCTCATGCCTGTAATCCCAGCACTTTGGGAGGCCAAGGCAGGCGGATCACCTGAGATCAGGAATTCGAGACCAGCCTGACCAACATGGTGAAACCTCGTCTCTACTAAAAATACAAAAATTAGCCGGGCGTGGTGGTGCATGCCTGTAATCTCAGCTACTCGGGAGGCTGAGGCAGGAGAATCGTTTGAACAGGGGAGGCTGAGGATGCGGTGAGTCGAGATCGCGCCATTGCACTCCAGCCTGGGAAACGTGAGCAAAACTCCGTGTCAAAAAAAAAAAAAAAAAAAAAAGATAGGACTTGTGTTAACTTTGGTTACTTAGCCTCCAGGACCTCTGCCTGTGGTGGGGATCAGGGGAAGGACTCAGGTCAAGAAGGCAGGGGAATAAGGGTAAAGAAAAAAGATAGAGGCAACCGGGCGCAGTGGCTCATGCGTGTAATCCCAGCACTTTGGGAGGCTGAACAGGCAGATTGCTTGAGCCCGGGAGTTCAAGACCTACCTGGGCAACATGGCAAAACCCCGTCTCTACAAAAAATACCAAAAAATTAGCCAGGTGTGATGGCATATGCCTGTAGTCCCAGCTACTCGGGAGGCTGAGATGGGATGGTGGCTTGAGCCCAGGAGGTGGAGGTTGCAGTGAGCCAAGATTGCACCACTGCCCTCTAGCCTGGGTAACACAGTGAGACCCTATCTCTACCAAAAAAAAAAAAAAAAAAGATAGAGGTAAAATGTATACTGGATGAGAACCCATGCTGAGCTAGTTTGTCATAACCAGCCAAATAGGATTTGAAGAAACAAAGGCTATGAAAGTAGGTGCATATGGTGAAGCAGTAGTAGCTTCCAAGTGCGCTATCAGGCCAGCTATCCCAGAAATCAAAGAACAAAAAGGCTTTCAGGCCAGGAGCAGTGGCTCATGCCTGTAATCCCAGCATTTTGGGAGGCCAAAGCTGGAGGATCCCCTGAGCCCAGGAGTTTGGGAAGAGCCCGGGCAACATGGGGAGACCTCATGTCTACAAAAATTTTAAAAGTTAGCTAGGCATGGTGGTGTGCATCTGTAATTCTAGCCACTTGGGTGGCTGAGACAGGAGGATCACTGGAGCCCAAAAGGTCAAGGTTGTGAGCCATGTTTGTGCCACTACACTCCAGCCTGGGTAACAGAGACCCTGTTTAAAAAAAAAAAAAACCAAAAAAGCCAAGTTAAATGCTCAAATCACATGCTTTATTAAGTGAAGCTAAAAACACACAGGAAAAAGCAAGAGGAAAGAGATGCGGTAGGTTAACACACTTGGGATAGGATGCATGCAGCAGGGTGGAAGTGTCACAGTATCTGAATCCTGGGGGTCACAATTGTTCATATGTTCAGTCTCTTGGCTGCATTAGTCTTCCCTGCTGACAGTGCAGCTATAAAGAACAGAATTGAGGTTTGAGGCCTGGTGCGGTGGCTCACATCTGTAATCCCAGCACTTTGTGAGGCTGAAGCGGGTGGATCACTTTTGAGGTCAAGAGTATGAGACCAGCCTGGCCAACATCTTGAAACACCATCTCTACTAAAAATACAAAAATTAGCCTGGCATGGTGGCAGGCACCTGTAATCCCAGCTACTTAGGAGGCTGAGGCAGAAGAATCACTTGAACCCAGAAGGTAAAGGTTGCAGTGAGCCGGGATCATGCCACTGCACGCCAGCCTGGGCAAAATAGTGAGGATCTGTCTCAAAAAAAAAAAAAAAATGAATTGAGGTTTGAGCAAAGGCATGCCCACAGATGGACCCTTCCCTGGATCAGACACACTAATTCCAAAGATACGCACAGCTACGGTACACCTTGTCACCACTGTAGCTTTCCAATTAGCCAGCTGAGCAGTTATGGGTTTATTTGTATGTTTTGGACAGAAGATGGGGCCAGAATGGTTGTCATCCTCCACATTGAGACTTCATGAATGAATATTTAGGGTTTCTTGTATATTTAGATTGTTACAGAATTCTAGTGCCTCATGTATATTTAGTACCTCAAGAATAGTAGGTATCTCTTGGTTCTTCTATCTTTTCTATGTTTGTCACACACATCTTGTACTTATTATCTTAACACATTTTAAAAGATTTTGCCTTTATCTTACAAACTGTAAATTTATTCATTTTCTAAAATAGAATTAAATATTCTAAAAAGCAATTGCATGTTACAGTAGGATTACCAAGTATCCATGTCAGAGATACTTTCTTTTTGAGACAGGTTCTGGCTCGGTCACTCTGTCACCCAGGCTGATGTGCTGGAGTGCAGTGGTGCAATCATGGCTTACTGCAGCCTCAGCCTCCTGGGCTCAAGCGATCCTCTCATCTCAGACTCCCGAGTAGCTGGACCACAGGTGTGCACCACCATGCCTGGCTAGCTTTTAAATTAAAAAAAAAAAAAGTTTTTTAAAACCCTGTGAATAAAATAAGACAAGGTCTCTCTATTTTGCTGAGGCTGGTCTTGAATTCCTGGGCTCAAGCCATCCTCCTGCCTTGGGCTTCCCAAATGTTGGGATTACAGGTATGAGCCAACACTCCTGGCCAGAGAAACTTTTGGGATTGGTGAATGTCAACCAGGACAAGAGGACCTGAAGCCCTGGGTAGCACTCTTCAAAGAACAAAGAGGAAGGGAACTTTTCTCCCTCCCAGAGTGATAGAGCTGAACCCAGGAAGGTAAGAGGAACAGCTGGAGCCATGAAAGGGATACTTAGGGGCCATTGGCAGAAGCCAGTGCTAGGGAAGCAGCTAGGATAAGCAGATGCAGCCTAGCATCCAACATTGGTAGCAGCCAACAGGCAGGATTGCTGATGCCCAAACTTGGAGCTGGATGCTTTCCCCTAAAACCCCTAAGAAGGGAGAAGTCAGGGAAGAAGTGTAAGGAAGCCCAGCCCAGCCCCAGCCTTTGGATGCTGTGAATAAAAGGACCAGCTCTTACCAGGACACTTCAGGTTTCTTGCAAATCTCTAACTTCCTTAAAGCTAGCTATTTTCATTACTCCTTATTTCCCTGCAGCTCAACTATTAAAAGGAATAGGAGCTGTACATGGTGGCTCACACCTGTAATCCCAGTTACTCCAGAGTCTGAGGTGGGAGGATCGCTTGAGCCCAGGAGTTCAAGGCTGCGATAAGCTATGATCACGCCACTGCACTCCGGCCTGGGAGCAGAGTGAGACTGTGTGTCTAAAATAATAATAATAAATAAATAAAATGAATAAGGTTTAAGCACAGAAAGAAGGAAGTGCAAAGGGGGTTGGTAATTTATTCAAAAGCTGGTCTGGGGAGGAGGAGCTGCCCTTGATGGTATAGGGGGTATGTTGGCTGTGAGGCCTTTGGCAGCACCCTGGGGAGCCTGTGAGGAGAGAGAGGGTTCACAGGCTCCATCCCAGTTGAGAGGTGAAAGCTGGATGGGGCCACAGTGTGGGTGAGAGCTCTGACATGGACAGCTCAGAGTAGCACCTCAGGGAATACTTGGATTTTTTTTTTTTTTTTAACTGTTTTGCTTTGTAGTCAGAGAGGTATAGGACCAGATTGCTGTGGGAAGAGGGAACTGTAGGAAGTAGTTCTGCCCCTGCCCCCACCCCCAGGCTCCCACAGTTCTCTCTGCTACCTCTGCCATCACTGTACACTCATTGCCTGTTCTATCTTGGTATCCCCCACCAGACCGTGAGTGTCCCGGGAGCAGGCACTGTGTCTGATTCACCTCCTTCTGCCTCACAATGTGGCCCAGCATGGGGCTTGACACTTGGAAGTTTCTCAAAGAGTTACTTGTTGAATGAATGAACAAATGAATGCTTTCTCTGAACTGCCCTGAACTCTAGATGAGATTTACAAAGAAGGGAAGCCCTGCTTACAGTTCTCTGCTCCTTATACCCGCTTCCTAAAGGCGTTCGTGTGCCTCTAGGACTCAAGGAGGCTCCCGCCTCAGCCTCCCCAGCAGCTGGGACTACAGAGGCACCCCACTGTGCCTGACTTCATTTATATACATTTTCCCGGTGATTTTCTGGAGTCTATATCCTTCATCAGATTTTCCAAGGGGTGTCTGTCCCCTCAAAAGAATGATTGTCATTATTTGAAAGACTAGTTCCAGACAGATATTTTATACAAATTTTCCCAGCATTGACATCCCTGAACCAAACTGTTTTTCTTCCCAACATTACTGTTTTCTTCCTTTCTGTCGAGTTTGTTGTTTTGTAATATCAGAATCTCCAGCTCACCTGAGTAAATGGTAACAAGGTGCCACCACCTTTGAATTCTCCCAGAATCCACCCCACCCTCCGTCAGAGCCACTGCCAAGGCACTCTTACTGATTTCTCCCACACTGCTGGCTCATTGCAAGTGGGAAGACAGCATGTGGAGTGGGTGTGCGGCTTATTAAAGTGAGAACTCAGGGTCAGGGCAGAACCAGGAAGAGAGCAGTGAGATATCCTGCTACCTAATCCAATTCTCCTTTTTGTGCATTTAGCACCCTCCCCTCCGCCTGCATAACAATGGAAGGAAAGAGGAAGTGGGAAAAAAGAAAGTCATGTAATTGAGTTAGAAGAGGTAATGACCAAGACCCTGGAGCAGAGGGAAAGCGGGTTACAAAAGGTGGGTTAAAGAAATCACAAGAGTATGAAGAGCTGGGAAATTACTAACAAATATTTGCTTGTGTGGGAAAGCAAAAAAGTAAAAACTTCAGTGCTGAATTGGGGCGCTGAGCCACCAGGGAAATTTGAGATTGGCATCAAGGACCGTGTTGAAGCAGGGTGGGCGGAGAAGGAGGGAAAACTACCAGCCAGCTGAGATTTTGCAGCTAGGCTGTGGCCTGATACCGAGTATCGATGCCGCAAGGGAGGGATGAGTCAGTCCTAGCACGTCCAAGTTTAGAATAATAGACTGTTTGCCACTGGGAAGGCAAACACCTTTCCTGTGAGAGGGCTTGCTGACAGTTCCAATGTCCAAAGTCCAATGCCGACCCAGAAAACTGAGGAGGCCCTGGCCCCTGCAGGAAGGGCTCATTTACATGGAGACTGAGTAAAGTGCTGTCTTAAACCCTCCTTCCTTCCCCCACTGGGAGGTTTCAGCCAGATATGCCACCCTTTGTAGGATTTCATAGGGTTGTCTAAAGCCAGGGTTGGCACAGAGCAGAAGCCACAGGGCTAAGTACCAGATTATAATTGTCAATGTCACACCTTACTGCAGAAGCCAGGGAAGGGAGCTAGGAAACTGAAGAGCTTTCTTGGTTATGGGCGGGGCTGTAAATGCAGAGTGTGCCCTGGTGACTCATGGGAGACAGTGAGAAACACTGTGGGGATCTGGTCAACCGGGTACTGATTCCTTTGAGGAAGGTATACTCCACATGCCAACCTGATACTCATGGCTAGTGAAGAGATGGCAGGATTGGGTTGCATCAGCCAGCCTAACTCGACTTGGAAACACAGAAAATAACCCAGAGCAGGTCTCAAGCACTGTGTAACTTTATTAGTTCATAGTGGCTGAACAGCCATGTTTAGGGCCTCTCAGAAGAAAGAGTTTCATCTTTGGGAAGAAATTTGTGTTGGGTGATTTTGTTCATATAATTTTGTGTTTTTTGTTTTGTTTTGGTGTTTGAGACAGGGCCTCACTCTCTCACACAGGCTGGAGTGCAGTGGCACCATCTTAGCTCACTGCAACCTCTACCTTCCTGCCTCAAGCGATCCTCCTACTTCAGCCTCCTGCATAGCTGGGACTACAGGCACGTATCACTCAACCCAGCTAATTTTTTTTTTTTCGAGATGCAGTCTTGCTCTGTCACCCAGGCTGGAGAGCAATGGCACTATCTTGGCTCACTGTAACCCCCGCCTCCCAGTCTCTGCCTCCTGAGTAGCTGGGATTACAGGCTCCTGCCACCACCCCCGGCTCAGCTAATTATTTCTTTCTTTCTTTTTTCTGAGATGAAGTTTCACTCTTGTTGCCCAGGCTGGAGTGCAATGGCACGATCTCAGCTCACTGCAATGTCTGCTTCTGGGGTTCAAGCAATTCTCCTGCCTCAGCCTCTCTAGTAGCTGGGATTACAGGCATCCGCCACCATGCCCAGCTAATTTTTTGTATTTTTAGTAGAGATGGGGTTTCTCCATGTTGGTCAGGCTGATCTCCAACTCCCGACCTCAGGCGATCTGCCCGCCTTGGCCTCCCAAAGTGCTGGGATTACAGGCGTGAGCCACTGCGCCCGGCCTGGCTCGGCTAATTTGCATATTTTTAGTAGAGATGGGTTTTCACCATGTTGGTCAGACTGGTCTTGAACTCCTGACCTCAAGTGATCCGCTCTCCTCGGCCTCCCAAAGTACTGGGATTACAAGCGAGAGCCACGGCGCCCCAGCCTGGCTAATTTTTAAAGGTTTTTGTAGAGATGGGATCTCCCTGTGTTCTCCAGGCTGGTCCCCAACTCCTGGGCTCAAGCAATCCTCCCACTTCAGGCTCCCAAAGTGCTGGAATTACAGGAATGAGCCACTGTGCCTGGCTTTATTTTCCTTACTGTTTAAACAACTTTTCTCTGCAATATATTTTTTCCTGTGCTGGTAGTTGGGACCATGGTAAGTCTTGCCTAGCCAAGAGGTCTCTTTGCCTGAATTTCATCACAGGTAAAGAGAAGGCTGTGAGTTCTCTTTTGTATAAACAGCAATGCTACTTTCCTTCTATATGTGCATACCATTTTTTTTTTTTTTTTTTTTGAGACGGAGTCTGGCTCTGTCACCCAGACTGGAGTGCAGTGGCGCGATCTTGGCTCACCGCAACCTCCACCTCCTGGGTTCAAGCGATTCTGCTGCCTCAGCCTCCTGAGTAGCTGGGTTACAGGTGCCCACCACCATGCCTGGCTAATTTTTGTATTTTAGTAGAGACAGGGTTTCACCATGTTGGCCAGGCTGGTCTTGAACTCCTGACATCAGGTGATCTGCCTGCCTTGGCTTCCCAAAGTGCTGGGATTGTGCACACCTATTTTAACAAAATAGAAATAACATCAAACTAGCCCCAAATGTAGTGCTGTAAACTACAACTATTTAACTTGCCATTCTGTGTCGGCATCAATTTGGGCTGGGCTCAACTGGGCATTTCTTTTGCCATTATAAACTAAGGTCATTCTGCTGTCTTCTGGTGCTGGATATGGAGTGGGTGGTGTTCAGCATACTATCTGGGCAGCTGGGTACCAAAAACAGGAAGAGGGCTGGGCACAGTGGCTTAGAACTGTAATCCAAGCACTTTGGGAGACTGAGGCAGGAGGATTGCTTGAGCCCAGGAGTTGGAGACCAGCCTAGGCAACATGGTGAAACCCCATTCCCACAAAAAAAAAAAAAAGAGAAAAGAAATGAAATGAAAATAATTAGCATGGTGGCATGTGCCTGTAGTCCCAGCTACTCAGGAAGCTGAGGCAGGAAGATTGCTTGAGGCCAGGAGTTTGAGGCTGCAGTGAGCTGTGATCCTGCCACTGCATTCCAGCCTGGGCAATAGAACAAGACCCTATCTCGAAAAATTTAAAAAATAGGCCAGGTACAGTAGCTTACACCTATAATCCCAGCACTTTGGGAGGCCGAGATGGGAGGTCACTTGAGGTCAGGAATTTGAGACTAACCTGGCCAACATGGTGAAACTTGTTGAAACATGTCTCTACTAAAAATACAAAATAATTACCTGGGCATGGTGGTGCATGCCTATAATCCCAGCTACCTGGGAGGCTGAGGCACAAGTATTGCTTGAACCTTGGAGGCAGAGGTTGCAGTGAGCCTAGATCATGCCACTGCACTCCAGCCTGGGTGACAGAACAAGACTCTGTCTCAAAAAAACAAACAAACAAACAAAAAAACAAAAAAAAAGAAAAAGAAAAAGAAAAATTAAAAAATAAGATAAAGCGGGCTGGGCGTGGTGGCTCACGCCTGTAATCCCAGCACTTTAGGAGGCCGAGGTAGGCAGATCTCGAGACCATCCTGGCTAACACAGTGAAACCGCATCTCTACTAAAAATACAAAAACTAGCCGGGCGTGGTGGCGGGCGCCTGTAGTCCCAGCTACTTGGGAGGCTGAGGCAGCAGAATGGTGTGAACCCGGGAGGTGGAGCTTGCAGTGAGCTGAGATAGCGCCACTGCACTCCAGCCTGGGCGACAGAGCAAGACTCTGTCTAAAAATTAATAATAATAAAATAAAAATAAAATAAAATAAAGCGGCCAGGCACGGTGGCTCACGCCTGTAATTCCAACACTTTGGGAGGCCAAGGCGGGCAGATCACGAGGTCAGGAGTTTGAGACCAGCCTGGCCAACATAATGAAACTCCATCTCTACTAAAAATACAAAAAATTAGCCTGGCATGGTGGCGGGCGCCTGTAATTTTAGCTACTCAGGAGGCTAAGGCAGGAGAATCACTTGAACCCAGGAGGTGGAGGCTGCAGTGAGCCGAGATCGCACCACTACACATCAGCCCAGGTGACAGTGGAAGATTCTGTCTCAAAAAAATAATAATAATAAAAATAAAAAATAAAAATAAATAAATAAAGCAAACGTCTCTTTGACCAGCTTAATCTCACAGGACCATTTTCGTTTCTTTTTGTTTTTTTTAGACAGGGGTCTCACTTTGTGTGCTAGAGTGCAGTGCCACCATCATAGCTCACTGTAGCCTTGAACTCCTGGGCTCAAGCTATCCTCCCACCTCAGCCCCCAGAGTAGCTGTGACTATTGGTGTGTGCCACCATGCCCAGCTAATCTTTAAAATTTCTTTTTTTTTTTTTTGAGAAGGAGTCTCGCTCTTGTCACCCAGGCTGGAGTGCAGTGGAGCAATCTGGGCTCATTGCAACCTCTGCCTCCCGGATTCAAGCAATTCTCCTGCCTCAGCCTCCTGAGTAGCTGGGATTACAGGTGCCCGCCACCACGTCTGGCTAATTTTTGTAGTTTTCGTAGAGACGGGGTTTCACCATGTTGGCCAGACTGGTCTCAAACTCCTGACCTCAAGTGATCCACCCGCCTCGGCCTCCCAAAGTGCTGGGATTACAGACGTGAGCCACCACGCCCGGGCTAAAATTTCTTTAATAGAGACAGTCTTGCTTTTTTGCCCAGGCTGGTCTCGAACTCCTGGCTTGAAGCAGTCCTCTTCCCTTGGCTTTCCAAAGTGCTGGTATTACAGGCATGAGCCATCGCACCCAACCCACAAGACCATTCTCTATTTCTGTAGTTGTAGCTGTTACTTTTGGCAGAGGGATCAATGATAATTAATTAGAAAGCCAAGTGCATGACCAGGGAAAAATCAACGCTGCAGACCTGTAGCCGTGTTGTTGGTGTGGCATAAATTGGGATCGTGGCAGTGTGCAGGCCAAACTTCTGGGTCTACTGACATTGAACAAAAAAACTCTTATTTTGCCAACCAAAGACAGAATGTGCTGACTGAGCCTTCTTTTTCACTTGAGACGGAGTCTCACTCTTGGTACCCAGGCTGGAGTACAGTGGTGTGATCTCAGCTCGCTGCAACCTCCCCCTCCTGGGTTCAAGTGATTCTCCTGCCTCAGCCTCCCAAGTAGCTGGGATTACAGGCACCTGCCACCATGCCCAGCTGATTTTTGTATTTTTAGTAGAGACAGAGTTTCGCCATGTTGGCCAGTTTGGTCTTGAGCCCCTGACCTCAGGTAATCCACCCGCCTTGGTCTCCCAAAGTATTGGGATTACCAGTGTGAGCCACCGCGCCCGGCCGACTGAGCCTTCTATACCAGGAAAACTGTATTATGTTTCTCTCTGATACAAAGGTTAGAATAACAATATGTGACCTTATAGCTCTGGGCACTAAGACTACACTATATTGGATATGAAAAAACAGATGTCCCTGCATTCAAGTGACACATTTTATTTGTCAAATTTATGTATCTTTGTGTAAAAGATGAAGGGGATTTTTTTAAAAACCAAAACCCAGACTTCCTGTCCTTAAGGAATTTATAATCCAGTTGGAGAAATAATGCCAGTCCAACTAGAGTTATGGATCTTAGAACTAAGGAATGTTTTATTTTGAAGGTTGCCTAGAGACCCACCTGGTCTGAAATTCCCTACCACAGTGGAACTCCCCCTACAAGGTACTCTGAAAATAGTCTTTTCAACTTTATACCAACGTTTCTCTGGGGAAGAAGCCACCATTAATTTAATTTTTCTTTTAATTTAGAAAAGTAATATATACTTAATGTGACACATTTAAACAATGTGGCAGAGTGAGTAAAAAAGTCAAACTTCACCTTGGAACTCTCGCTTCTGCTTCCCCACTGTCTGTGAAGGACTATCACAGATTGATGAGGATGACTATTTTCTATACTGTGCAAACACATACATGAAGATTTACACCCCACACTTTATTTTTGTTATTTATTTATTTATGTTTTGAGACAGAGTCTCGCCTGTCACCCAAGCTGGAGTGAAGTGGCTCGATGGCTCATTGCAACCTCCGCTTCCCGACACCTCATACTTTAAATTTTAATTTTTTTTTTTTTTTTTTTTGAGACGGAGTCTCTCTCTGTTGCCTGGGCTGGAGTGCAATGGCGCGATCTCGGCTCACTACAAGCTCCGCCTCCCGGGTTCACGCCATTCTCCTGCCTCAGCCTCCTGAGTATCTGGGACTACAGGCGCCCGCCACCACACCCGGCTAATTTTTTGTATTTTTAGTAGAGACGGGGTTTCACCGTTGTTAGCCACGATGGTCTTGATCTCCTGACCTCGTGATCTGCCCGCCTCGGCCTCCCAAAGTGCTGGGATTACAGGCGTTAGCCACCGCGCCCGGCCCAATTTTAATCTGTTTTTAAACTTAAATAACATGTGTGTAATATAAAAGTCAAATAGAATAAGAGAATATGGCCGAGACTGCCTCTCACAAAAAAATAAAAATAAAAAGCGAGAGCCCCCTCTCAAAAAAAAAAAAAAAATTAGAGAGAGAATACACAATGAAGAGAAAGTCTCTTTCGTCTCCTTCCTTTCCCTTCTGCGCCTTGGTTCTACTCCCCAACAGCAATCCCTGTTACTACTTCCATGTGTATCCTTCTGGAAATTGTCTATGCATTTACGATGCTTATAAGTTTATATATGTGTGTGTGTGTGTGTATATATATATATAAAATATATATATATATATATATTTTGAGACAGAGTCTCACTCTGTCACTCTGTCACCCTGGCTGCAGTGCAGTGGCACACTCTTGGCTCACTGCAACCTTCACCTCCTGGGTTCAAGCGATTCTCCTGCCTCAGGCTCCCTAGTAGCTGGGATTATAGGCCTCGTGCCACTAGGCCTGGCTAATTTTTGTACTTTTAGTAGAGATTGGGTTTCACCATGTTGGCCAGGCTGGTCTCCAACTTCTGACCTCAGGTGATCCACCCACCTTGGCCTCTCAAAGTGCTGGGATTACATGCGTGAGCCATCACGCTGAGCCCATATATATATATATATTTTTTTTTTTAGACTGAGTCTCACTCTGTCACCAGGCTGGACTGCAGTGTCGATCTTGGCTCACTGCAACCTCTGACTCCCGGGTTCAAGCGATTCTCCTGCCTCAGCCTCCCCAGTAGCTGGGATTACAGGTGCGTGCCACCATGCCTGGCTAATTTTTGTATTTTTAGTAGAGACGGGGTTTCACTGTGTTGGCCAGGATGGTCTCAATCTCCTGACCTCGTGATCTGCCTGCCTTGGCCTCCCAAAGTGTTGGGATTACAGGCGTGAGCCACCCCGCCCGGCCCACACCGAGCCTATTTTTTAAATGCAAGTATTAGCATACAATATATAATATTTTTCCCTTAATAATATATCTTAGGGCCTGGTGCAGTGGCCAACGCGTGTAATCCCAGCACTTTGGGAGGCCAAGGCAGGAAGATCAGTTGAGCCCAGGAATTCGAGACCAGCCTGGGCAATGTGGCGAATCCCCATCTCTACAAAACCGAAAATTAGCTGGGTGTGATGGCTGATGCCTGTAGTCCTAGTTACTCAGGAGGCTGAGGTGGGAGAATCACCTGAGCCCGTGAGGTTGAGACTTCGGTGAGCTGTGATCGGGCCACTGCACTCCAGCCTGGGTGGCAGAGTGAGATTCTGTCTCAAAAATAAACAAATAAAATAAAATAAGAAAAAAAAGGCTGGGCGCAGTGGCTCACGCCTGTAATCCCAGCATTTTGGGAGGCTGAGGAAGGCGGATCACTTGAGGTCATGAGTTTGAGATCAGTCTGGCCAATATGGTAAAACTCCGTCTCTACTAAAAATACAAAAATTAGTCAGGCCTGATGGCCTGAGCCTGTAGTCCCAGCTACCTGGGAGGCTGAGGCAGGAAAATTCCTTGAACCTGGGAGATGAAGTTTCAGTGAGCCGAGATTGTGCCACTGCACTCCAGCGTGGGTGACAGAGCAAGACTCTGTCTCAAAAAAAAAAAAAAAAAAGGAAAGAAAAGAAAGAGAGAAAAAATATATCTTAGACATCAAACCATTACATACAGTTGTTTTATTCATTTTAATAAGTGTATAGCATTTCATTGTATAGATATATCATTTAAGTCAATATCCTGTATATGAATATTTTGATGTTTCCAATTTTTTGCTATTACAAACAAGGCTGCAATGAATAACTGACTATACATCTTTTGTTTTCCATGAGTGTATGCAAACTTGCAGGATAAATACCTAAAGGCAGAATTGCTGGATCAAGGGGCATATTCATTTGTTATTTTGATAGACATTGCCAATTGCACTCAATAGAGGTTGTACCAATTTAAACTCCTTCCCTCAATGATGAGATACTTTTCCCCTATTTCTATCAGATTATTAATTATATTTGTTTTTAGCCTTTGTCAGTTTGGTAGGGCAAAAATTGTTACACCTAGCTGTTTTAATCTGCACTTCTTTTATTTTGAATGAAGCTGAATATTCTTTCGTAAACATAAGGATTGCTCATGTTAATTTTTCTGTACATTATCTGTTTATATCCTTTACCTGTTTTTCTATTTGCTATTTTTCTTTTCAATATATTTGTTGTATTTCACTTAATTTAAATTTAAGGCCGTGTGCAGTGGCTCACACCTGTAATCCCAGCACTTTGGGAGGCTGAGGCTGCCGGATCATTTGAGGTCAGTCACGGCAGTCACTTGAGACCAGCCTGGCCAACATGGTGAAACCCCGTCTCTACTAAAAATATAAAAATTAGCTGGATGTGGTGGTGGGTGCCTGTAATCCCAGCACTTTGGGAGGGCTAGGCAGTTAGATCACCTGAGATCAGGTGTTTGAGACTAGCCTGGCCAACATGGTGAAACCCTGTCTCTACTAAAAATAAAAAAATTAGTGAGGCATGCTGGCGCATGCCTGTAATCCCAGCTACTTGGGAGGCTGAGGCAGGAGAATAGCTTGAACCCAGGATGGGAGACAGAGGTTGCAGTGAGCCAAGATCACGCCACTGCAACTCCAGCCTGGGTGACAGAGAGAGACTGTTTCTCAAATAAATAAATAAATAAATTTAAAAAATTTCACCCAGTTTGTTACTTTTCTTATGACTTTGTTCATAATGTTTTTCTCCATGTGGGAATTAATATTTTTCTTTTATTTTTTGAGACAGAGTCTCGCTCTGTCGCCCAGGCTGGAGTGCAATGGCGCAATCTCAGTTCATTGCAACCTCCACCTCCCACGTTCAAGCAGTTCTCCTGCTTCAGCCTCTGTAGTAGCTGGGATTACAGGTACATGCCACCATTCCAGGCTAATTTTTTGTATTTTTTAGTAGAGGCAGGGTTTTACCATGTTGGCCAGGCTGATCTCAAACTCCTGACCTCAGGTAATCCACCTGCCTCGGCCTCCCAAAGTGTCGGGATTACAGGCATGAACCACCACGCCTGGCCCAAATATATATATATATATATATATATAATTTTTTTTTTTTTGAGATGGAGTTTCACTCTTGTTGCCCAGGCTGGAGTGCAATGGCTCAATCTCGACTCACTGAAACCTCCACCTCCTGGGTTCAAGTGATTCTCCTGCCTCATCCTCCCAAGTAGCTGCGATTACAGGTGCCCACCACCACGCCTGTCTAATTTTTTTTTTTTTTTTTTTTTGAGACGGAGTTTCACTCTCATTGCCCAGGCTGGAGTGCAATGGCTCGATCTCGGCTCACCGCAACCTCTGCCTCCCAGGTTCAAGGGATTCTCCTGCCTCATCCTCCCAAGTAGCTGGGATTACAGGCCTGCGCCACCATACCCAGCTAATTTTGTATTTTTAGTAGAGATGGGGTTTCTCCACGTTGGTCAGGCTGGTCTTGAATTCCCGACCTCGGGTGATCCACCCTTCTCAGCCTCCCAAATTGTTGGGATTATGAGCGTGAGCCACCATGCCCGACCTAATTTTTGTATTTTTAGTACAGAAGGGGTTTCACCATGCTGGTCTCGAACTCCTGACATCAGGTGATCCACCCCTGCTTTGCTAGGATTACAGGCATGAGCCACCACTTGAATCAATCTTCTTTCTTTCTTTCTTTCTCTTTCTTTTCTTTCTCTCGTTCTCTCTCTTCTTTCTTTCTTTTCTTTCTCTCTTTATTTTCTTCTTTCTTTCTCTTTCTCTCTCTCTTTCTTTCTTTTCTCTCTCTCTCTCTTTCTTTTCTTTTCTTTCTTTTTTTTTTTTGACAGAATCTCGATCTGTTGCCCAGGCTGGAGTGCAGTGGCACCATCTCAGCTCACTGCAACCTCCACCTCCTAGGTACAAGCAATCTTGTGCCTCAGCCTCCCGAGTAGCTGCAACTACAGGAGTGCCACCAAGCCTGGCTAATTTTTTGTATTTTTTGTAGAGACAGGGTTTCACCATGTTGGTCAGGCTGGTCTCGAACTCCTGAACTCAGGCAATCTGCCTGCCTCAGGCCTCCCAAAGTGCTAGTATTACAGGTGTGAGGCACTGCGCCTGGCCTATTAACATTTTCTTTGACCGCTTCTTATTTTATTTATTTATTTGTGTGTTTGCTTTACCATCCTGAGGAAAGCTTGTCCATAGCAAGATTGTATATATATAAAAATTTTTGACCGGGCATGGTGGCTCACACCTGTAATCCCAGCACTTTGGGAGGCCGAGGTGAGTGGCTCACCCACCTCGGTCAGGAGTTCAAGACCAGCCTGACCAACATGGAGAAACCTCGTCTCTACTAAAAATACAAAATTAGCCGGGTGTGATGGCACATGCCTGTAATCCCAGCTACTCTGGGAGGCTGAGGCAGGAGAATTGTTTGAATTTGGGAGGCAGAGGTTGCAGTGAGCCGAGATTGCGCCATTGAACTCCAGCATGGGCAACAAGAGCAAAACTCTGTCTCAAAAAAAATAAAATAAAATTCTCCCATGTTCTCATCTAGTACTTTTGTGCTTTCACTTTTCATATTTCAATCTTTCCTCCATGTAGAAAGTAAAAAGTTCCTCTTTAAACTTTCCCTTCTTGTTAAGGAATAAATCATAAGTGTTAGAAATAATAGTTTTTTTTTTAAA
Organism: Homo sapiens; assembly: GCF_000001405.40. Classification (NCBI taxonomy): domain Eukaryota; kingdom Metazoa; phylum Chordata; class Mammalia; order Primates; family Hominidae; genus Homo; species Homo sapiens. The sequence continues at coordinate 138,873,737 of NC_000003.12, forward strand.
GACTAACTTCCTTTAAGCCTCCTTACTGTATGCTAATAACTTTTTGTTAGGCTCTATCCTACGTAGCTGTTAAACATGCTCACAGGCACGTAGTACATTCTATGTCCTTGTACCTTAAGCAAAATATTTGTGCTGGACATGCTCACAGGCACGTTCCAGCTCGCAGCCTATGCCCCTTCCTTATTTGGCATAAGCAATTTCCTCTTTTCCTTTGTCTTTCCATTCCTTTCACCTATTTAGAAAAGTTTTAAACTGTTAGCCAATCAGGTTTTAGTTTAGATTGTGTGGTCTGGCTCCAGCCAATGGAGACAGGACACAGTAGCAGGGACAAACTGCGTAAGGAATAAAAATTGCTTCCCTCCTTTGTTCAGGTATGCTTTCGCCATTATTCCATCGGCAATGAGCACCCTTTCTGCAGAAAGTAAAGATTGCCTTGCTAAGAGGATTAAATTTATGTTGAAGTGCTATTTCTTTGTGGCACCAGGGAACAAGCATTTACATGTAACGCTCCATAAGTAGTTTATTTTGATACAAAGCATGAAGTGTTGATCCAATTTACTTTTTTTCTAGATGGCTCTCCAGATTTCCCAACACCTTTGATTGAATAATCCATCTTTTTCTGCAGAAATAAAATATCACCTTCATAATATATTACATTTATTTATTTATTTATTTATTTATTTATTTATTTATTTTTGAGTTGGAGTCTTGCTCTGTTGCCCAGGCTGGTGTGCAGTGGTGCAATCTCGGCTCACTGCAACCTCCGCTTCCTGGGTTCAAGCAATTCTCCTGCCTCAGCCTCCGGAGTAGCTGGGATTACAGGCGTGAGCGTGAGCCACCATGCTCAGCTATTTTTTATATTTTTAGTAGAGACTGGGTTTTGCCATGTTGGCCATGCTGTTCTTACTTGAACTGCTGACCTCAGGTGATCTGCCCCCCTTGGCCTCCCAAAGTGCTGGGATTATAGGCATAAGCCACTGTGCCCAGCCTATACCCTACTATTTTAAGAGGCAGGAGAATTGCTTGAGGCCAGTAGTTCTAGACAAGCCTGGGCAACACAGTGAGACCCTGTCTCTACAAAAAAATTTTATAAAGTTAGCTGGGCATGGTGGTGTGAGCCTGTAGTTTCAGCTACTTGGGAGGCTGAGGTAGGAGGGTCACTGGAGCCCAGGAATTTGAGGCCACAGAGAGCTATGATTGCACCACTGTACTCAGGGCATCTATAGGATAATGGCTTATAGGAGATTCCAGCCTGGTCTACAGCAAAACTTAAAATTGTTTAAAAAATATTTTAATATTGACTATATTAAATATATAAATTTCTTGTGAATTGACATCTTTATAATATCGAGTCTTCTCAGCCAATATGCATATTTTCCTCCCTCTACCAATTTTTTTTTTTTAATAGGGTTTTGCTCTGTTTTCCAGGCTGGAGTGCAGTGACACTATCACAACTCACTGCCGCCTCGACCTCCTGGGCTCAGGTGATTCTCCTGCCTCAGCCTCCTGTATAGCTGGGACCACAGGCATGTGCCACCACACCCAGCTAATTTTTAAAATTTTTTGTTGAGGCGAGCTCTCACTTTGTTGCCCAGGTTGTTCTTGAACTCCCAGGTTCCAGTGATCCTCCCGCTTTGGCCTCCCAAAAAGTGCTGGGATTCCAGGAATGAGTCACTGCGCCCAGCCCACCTTGTTTTTTAAAAATTTATTTTTATTCTTAAACAACTTTTTTTTTTTTTTTTTTTTTTTTGTGGAGACAAGTTCTCGCTATGTTGCCCAGGCTGGTCTCAAACTCCTGGGCTCAAATGATCTGCCCAACTTGGCCTCCCAAAGTGTTGGGATCACAGGTGTGAGTCACTGTGACCAGCCTGTTTCATTCTCTTCTTTTTTTTTTTTTCATTCTCTTCTATTCCCAGATCCTTTATACAGTTCCCTGCACATTACAGGTAGGCACTCAATAAATATTTGTTAAATGAATAAGTGAATGGGATCCCTACTCTAGATCTTACAGGACATTTTTTTATGACCTCAGTTCTCGCGTTCCAAGATAACGTATCTTCACTTACGCATATCTCATAACCAGACTTCTTCTGAGTCCAATCAAAGGGATTCAGGAGCTGTTGTTTGGCCAGTTATGACTCCTGCTAACTGCCCTGTCTCCCACTTTTCCTCCTGGCCACAGAGACACCACGGGACCTTATCTACCCTCTTGCAGAATTTCAGATACACTGTGTCTCCAATATTCTCGGAAACCATCCAGTTTAGTAACCCTATCAGAAACGGAAATGAGTTTAGCTTGGCAGGAAATGAGGTCAGTTTGGCAACTGATAGTGAAACATTGAACAATGTAGGAGTTAGTGGTAGTTTGAGTTAATGCAAGTCATGTTGCAAGGAGGTGCAATAAGAAGATCAAATGGGCTGTGAGCTGTGCAGGGTAATTTGGGCTGAAAGAGGGAAGACCCCTGTAAACTGATGATTGTTTGCTTTGTGTGTACCTTGGGCAGGTGAGTGCATAGTGGAGGACTTCTGAGTCCTCCCAACCTAGATACAGATCTCTCAGGGCATCTATAGGAGAATAGCTTTGACTAAAATCAATTAGCGCCATATATTGGGCCTTTCATGCCCTGTGCTAAACATTTGTTATCTCTAGTCCTCCCAGTACCCCTGCTAAATGGGTAATAGTATCCATTTCACAAAGAATGGCACTGAAGTTTAAATTACTAAAGGATCTGCCCAAGGTCACAGAGCACAAATCTAGAGCTTTAATGAATTCCTTTCCAAGTAGACGTTGGTTTGAATCTATCTACTGGGGTATACAATGTGTGATCAATTCTGAAATATTACATTTAAGTCTTTGGAATTATTCTTGTTAATGGACCACATAACAGAAATGGAAGGGGGTCGGGCGCAGTGGCTCACGCCTGTAATCCCAGCACTCTGGGAGGCCAAGGCAGGCAGATCACCTGAGGTCAGGAGTTCGAGACCAGCCTGACCAATATGGAGAAACCCTGTCTCTACTAAAAATACAAAATTAGTCGGGCATGGTGGCACATGCCTGTAATTCCAGCTACTCGGGAGGCCAAGGTTGCGGTGAGCCGAGATAGCGCCATTGCACTCCAGCCTGGGCAACAAGAGCGAGACTCCATCTCAAAAAAAAAAAAAAAAAAAAAGAAGTAGAAGGGAAGAGTCAATGTAGAACTACAGAAAAAAATGTAGGATGGTTACCAAAGATGATCAGCATGTTCAAATTTTCATGTGTCATTTTCCATCAAAAGCTAATAAGCATAAAAGCTAATCAACAGAATATACCCATAAATGAAAATAATGATGCTGTTGATGTAGATGAGGGATACAGTTGTGTTCATTAACCTCCTGTTTTATCTACATCTTTCCTGAATTTATGGAAACAATGATGCATTTATAACCAGAAAGAACAGAAGCCAATTAGAATTATGATTCCACGTGGAAGACATTTAATATTTTAATTGCAGCCTCATATCTTCTCATTTCTTCTGGACATTCCCTCCTGTCCCTCCCTAGACCCGCAGTTCTGCACCAGGATGTTTGAATTGATACGAAAGGAAAGAGTGCAGTTCTTCTTGGGTGGGGTAGCTGGGAGATGTGGTCTGAAAACTGCCAACAGTTGTTCTTCCATTCACTTGTAGGAACTTGTCTGAGGGAGATCAGAGTTGATATCTAGAGGCTCTTTCTGTGGTTTGTCTAAGCTAGTTGAGTTGGATTTCTTTCACTTGCAGCCACTGGCCTTCTATGGTCTGTTTGTGGCTTACCCCCTTGATCTGTCTCCTCTGTGTGTGTTGATGTTGGTGTGTGAGTCTCTACTCATTCTTTCTTGGAGTCTCCCTCTTTGCCAGTTTCCTTCCCTATCAGCAATGTGTTCTTGGAAACTATAAGTTTTAATACTTACTTGGCTGAAATAAGGTTAATTCTACATTTTAAGTTGACCTCACTTTTTTTTTTTTTTTTTTGAGACAAGGTCTCACTCTGTTGCTCGGGCTGGAGTGTAGTAGAGTGATCGCTGCTCACTGCAGCCTCATCCTCCTAGCATCAAGTGATCCTCCCACTTCAGCCTCCCCAGTAGTTGGGACTACAGGAGCATGCCACTACACCTGGCTAATTTTTTCTTTTCTTTTTTCTTTTTTTTTTGAGATGGAGTCTCGCTCTGTTGCCCAGGCTGGAGTGCAGTGGCGTGATCTCGGCTCACTGCAAGCTCCGCCTCCTGGGTTCACGCCATTCTCCTGCCTCAGCCTCCTGAGTTGCTGGGACTACAGGCGCCCGCCACTAATTTTTTATATTTTTAGTAGAGACGGGGTTTCACTGTGTTAGCCAGGATGGTCTCGATCTCCTGACCTTGTGATCCACCCATCTCGGCCTCCCAAAGTGCTGGGATTACAGGCATGAGCCACCGCACCTGGCCACACCTGGCTAATTTTTTAATTTCATTTTTTTGTGGAGATGGGGCTGTCATCATGTTGTCCAGGCTTGTCTCAAACTCCTGACCTCAAGTGATCCTCCCACCTCAGCCTCCCAAAGTGCTGGGATTAGAGTCGTGAGCCACTGTGCCCGGCCAGGGAGAGTGTGTTTCTGTTGGAAGGATCCTCCAAGGACATCTGCAGTTTTTTCAATGTGAGGACAGATACCTGTATTAATTAATTAATTCGTTCTCAGGAACTATTTTTTTCACTAAAAGGTGAATATAAAGGTAATTTACCATAAAATTATCACACAATACACTTCAAAATCAAATATATTAATGGAGTCATTATTTAGATTATTTTTGCCTTTTCTCCACTTCCTTGGTGGGAATGATCAGATTTGACTACAGAAACTCAATACCTTTGCCACCAACCACAAACATTGGTGGCACTCCTTAGTATAGTAGGAGAACTGAGGGTGTAAAGAGGTGGCAGGTTTCTGGCCTCATAGAGACCTTGGCCATTCCAAAGATGAATCTTTTTTTATTTTTTGAGACTATGTCTTGCTCTGCCACCAGGCTGGAGTGCAGTGGCATAATCTTGGCTCACTGCAATCTCCGTCTCCTGGGTTCAAGTGATTCTCCTGCCTCAGCCTCCCAAATATCTGGGATTACAGGCACAAGCCACCACACCTGGCTAATTTTTGTATTTTTAGTAGAAACGGGGTTTCACCATGTTGGCTAGGCTGGTCTCGAACTCCTGACCTCAAGTGATCCACCCGCCTTGGCCTCCCAAAGTGCTGGGATTACAGGCATGAGCCACCATGCCTGGCCTCAAAGATGAATCTTATTGCCATAGTTTTTTATTTATAAGTCAGCATCTGTTTGCTAAAGGAGCTTTCTGGGGCTCAAGCAATCCTCCCGCCTCAGCCCCTTGAGTAGCTGGGACTACAGGTACAGGCCACCATGCTTTACTATTATTTTTTAAAAATGTTTTTGTAGAGACAGGGTTTCCTTATATTGCCCAGGCTGGTCTCAAATTCCTGGGGTCAAGCAGTACATTCACCTTGATCTTCCAAAGTGCTAGGATTACAGGTGTGAGCCACCACACCCAGCCTCCTTCTTGACTCTTATACTCCAAATATTTTGTTTGTTTGTTTTATTTTGAGATGTGGTCTTGTTATGCTGCCCAGGCTAATCTCAAACTCCTGGTCTCAAGCAATCCTCCTCCCTTGGCCTCCCAAGTAGCTGGGATTATAGGCATAGGCCATTGTGCCTAGTTTACCCTCAATATTTATAATTTATCAATGGATTCTTTTTTATTTTTATTTTTTGTAGGAAGAGATGGAATCACACTAATTTGTGCAGGCTGGTCTCAAACTCCTGGCCCTAAACTATCCTCCTGCCTTGTCTTCTCAAAGTGCTGAGATTACAGGTGTGAGCCACTGCACCTGGCCTATCAGTGGATTCTTATCCCATTCTATGCAGGATCCCGATTGGATTAAATTCAGATACTAATCCAACTGGTGGCTCTTGAGCCCTGTCGCCTATGCATAGGGCTCTGCTCATCAGTTGTGCTGGTGCTGTTCTGTGCAGGTGTGGCCGGGACCTGGGAGGATGCTGCAAGTAGATTTCAGGTTGAGACCCATGCCCAAGTTTGACCTGCTCCTATTGCTCATTGTTTAAGTTTAAAGGAGCATTGTTTAAACTCCCTTCTAAACCAGCAGTGTGGATTTTGCCTTGGTGTAGACTCAAGATATTCCTGACTGGGTTTCAGTGACAGGAGAACTCCCTCTTTCCAGCTCACACTGCCTTGCCACCCAGACAGAGGGATCAAAGTTCAGTCTATGTGACTGAACTAATTTGTGATTGTGTTTTGAGTAGTTGTTTCGACAATCAAAGTCAGCCTTAGCCCCGCATTGAACTTCTCACATGCTAAAAAGCGTCTGACACTCACAGCACCAGGTGGTAGTGGCTCCTGCTGGGCCATTCCCCTGCCTTACAGGTTAGGATCTGGAGTTTCAAGCTAGCGCTCAGCAAAGGAGAGTCCCAGAGCAATGAGGCATTGACTTTTACCCAGAGGCATAGCCTGAAGGAAGACAGTGACTTCAGGCTGGGCGCGGTGGCTCTCGCCTGTAATCCCAGCAATCTGGGAGGCTGAGGCGGGTGGATCACAACGTCAGGAGATCGAGACCATCCTGGCTAACACGGTGAAACCCCGTCTCTACTAAAAAATACAAAAAATTAGCCGGGCGTGGTGGCGGGCGCCTGTAGTCCCAGCTACTCGGGAGGCTGAGGCAGGAGAATGGCGTGAACCTGGGAGGCGGAGGTTGCAGTGAGCCAAGATCACGCCACTGCACTCTAGCCTGGGTGACAGAGCGAGACTCCATCTCAAAAAAAAAAAAAAAAAAAAAAGATAGTGACTTCAATGGAGGAGGGAGAATTCCAGACTAGATAACTTATTTGGGTAGAAAACCAAAGTGCGGAAAGAAGGATAAACACAATTTGAATACTATTCCGTCTGCATCTCAGCTAAGTTAAAAAGTAGTTATACAAAGAAAAGGAGCTGAAAATATTTCATTTAAAAATCTTGACAGAGGTTTTCTCCTAATGATGGGATTACAGCTGATTTGTCTTTATATTCTTTTGTATTATATTCTATTGTTTTGATTTGTCTTTATATTCTTTTGTATTATCTTACTACTCTCTATTACCTTTACCTATTTGAAATTGTTTTACAAATTACAAAAATATTATAATATAGGCTTATTGTAAAATTTTCAAATCACACAGAAAAATACATATGGAAAGTAAGGCTGGGTGCGGTGGCTGACACCTGTAATCCCAACACTTTGGGAGGCCAAGTTGGGTGGATCACTTGAGGTCAGGAGTTTGAGATCAGCCTGGCCAACATGGTGAAACCCTGTCTCTACTAAAAATATAAAAATTAGCCAGGCATGCTGGCACATGCCTGTAATCCCAGCTACTCGGGAGGCTGAGGCAGGTGAATCACTTAAACCTGGGAAGTGGAGGTTGCAGAGAGCCAAGATTGTGCCACTGCACTCCAGCCTGGGCCACAGAGTGAGACTCCATCCCAAAAAAAAAAAAAAAAAAAAAAAAAAATAGAAAGAAAGAAAGTGAAAGTGTCACTTCACCCAAGAGTCAACAGCATTCAATGCCAGTCAATACCAAGGTATAACCACTGATAAAAATTTATTGTGGCTGGGTGAGGTGGCACATGCCTGTAATCCCAGGATTTATAAGAGCTGATTCAGGCAGATCACTTGAGCTCTCAGGAGTTGGAGACCAGCCTGGGCAACGTGGCAAAACCCAGTCTCTACAAAAATTAGCTGGGTGTGGTGGTGTGTGCCTGTAGTCCCAGCTACTTAGGAGGCTGAGGTGGGAGGGCAGCTTGAGCCCAGGAGGCAGAGATTGCAGTGAGCCGAGATTGTGCCACTGCTCTTTAGTCTGGGCAACAGAGCCAGATCCTGTCTCAAAAAAACAAAAAACTCATTGTGTGTATACATGCATGTGTACATTTAAATAAGGATAAGTATATTTAAACATCATTTTTTTTTCTCCTAGCATTATGTATTAAAGATCTATTAATGTCAGCTCTCCAGCCTGGGCAACAGAGCCAGATCCTGTCTCAAAAAAACAAAAAATTCATTGTGTGTATACATGCATGTGTACATTTAAATAAGGTTAAATATATTTAAACATTATCAATTTTTTTCTCCTAGCACTATGTATTGAAGATCTATCAATGTCAGCTCTATCTCATTCTTTTTAAAATTTATTTTATTATTATTATTATTATATTTTGAGACACAGTCTGGCTCTGTCGCCCAGGCTGGAGTGCAATGGTGGGATCTCGGTTCACCGCAACTTCTGCCTCCCAGGTTTAATCAATTCTCCTGCCTCAGCCTTCCAAGTAGCTGAGACTACAGGCACGCGCCACCATACCCAGCTAATTTTTGTATTTGTATTTGTATTTGTATCTTATTTTATTTTATTTTTGAGTTGGAGTCTTGCTCTGTCACCCAGGCTGGAGTGCAATGGCACGATCTTGGCTCACTGCAACCTCCGCCTCCCAGGTTCAAGAGATTCTTCTACTTCAGCCTCCCGAGTAGCTGGGACTATAGGTGCGCGCCACCACATCTGGCTAATTTTTTGTATTTTTAGTAGAAACGGGGTTTCACTGTGTTAGCCAGGATGGTCTCGATCTCCTGTCCTCATGATCCGCCTACCTTAGTCTCCCAAAGTGCTGGGATTACAGGTGTGAGCCACCGCACCCAGCCAGTTTTTGTATTTTCAGTAGAGACGCAGTTTCACCATGTTGGCCAGGATGGTCTTGATGTCTTGACCTTGTGATCCGCCAGCCTTGGCCTCCCAGAGTGCTGGGATTACAGGCGTGAGCCACTGCACCCAGCCTCATTATTTGGTTTTTTTGAGACAGAGTCACACTCTGTTGCCCTTGCTGGAGTGCAGTGGTGTGATCTCGGCTCACTGCAACCTCCGCCTCCCGGACTCAAGTGATTCTCTCCCCTCAGCCTCCCAAGTAGCTGGGATTACAGGTTTGTGCCACCACATCTGGCCAATTTTGTTGTTGTTTTTGAGACAGAGTCTGGCTCTGTCGCCCAGGCTATAGTGCAGTGGTGTGATCTCGGCTCACTGCAACCTCTGCCTCCCGGGTTCAAGCGATTCTCCCGGGTTCAACCCTCCCGGGTTCAAGCGATTCTCCTGCCTCAGCCTCCCAGGTAGCTGGGACCATGGAGGCGAGCACCACCATGCCCAGCTAATTTTTGTATTTTTAATAGAGTTGGGGTTTCACCATATTGGCCAGGCTGGTCTCGAACTCCTGACCTTGTGATCCACCCACCTCGGCCTCCCAAAGTGCTGGGATTACAGGTGTGAGCCATTGCGCCTGGCCGTTACACCTGGCTAATTTTTGTATTTTTAATTAAGAAGGGGTTTCACCATGTTAGCCAGGCTTGTCTCGAACTCCTGGCCTCAAGCTATCTGCCCACTTTGGCCTCCCAACATGCAGGGATTACAAGTGTGAGCCACCGCACCTGCCCTCATTCTTTTTTTCACTATTTTCCTGACATTCAATAGCTCATTCTTTTAAATTGCTGCTTAGTCTTTTATAGCATGAATGTATTATAATTTGATTAAATTGCTTATCAATGAATATAGAGGTCATTCCCAATCTTTTGTAATTACAGTCTATTCTGTATTCGAAATTATTGCATGTACTTCCCTGTATACATGTGTGTTTCTTCAGGATCAATTTAGAGAAGTGGAAGTTATGGGCCCAAGGTATATGCAGTTAAATTCTGGACATAACTTGCCAAATTGCTCTTCCAAAGGCCCACCAATTTATTTTCTGCTCAACAATAAGAAAGAGTGATCATTCTTCCACAGCTTGCCAGTAATAAATATTACTATATTTAAAAATTATTGATAATTCTACTTGCCCCGATGATATTATGTTGTTTTAATTAATATTTCTCTATTTTTTTTTTTTTTTTTGAGACAGAGCCTTGCTCTGTGGCTAGGCTGGAGTGCAGTGGTGCAATCTTGGCTCACTGCAACCTCAGCCTCCTGGGTTCAAGTGATTGTCCTGCCTCAGCCTCCCAAGTAGCTGGGATTACAGGCGTGTGCCATCACACCCAGCTAATTTTCGTATTTCTTTTTTTGAGACGGAGTTTCGCTCTTGTTGCCCAGGCTGGAGTGCATTGGTGCAATCTCATCTCACCGCAGCCTCCGTCTCCCGGGTTCATGCGATTCTCCTGCCTCAGCCTCCCGAGTAGCTGGGATTACAGGCATGCGCCACCACTCCTGGCTAATTTTGTATTTTTAGTAGAGACGGGGTTTCTCCATGTTGGTCAGGCTGGTCTCGAACTCCCAGCCTCAGGTGACCCACCCACCTTGGCTTCCCAAAGTGCTGGGATTACAGGCGTGAGCCACCACACCTCGCTTAATTTTTGTATTTTTAGTAGAGACGGGGTTTCACCATGTTGGCCAGCCTAGTCTCAAACTCCCGACCTCAGGTGATCCGCCTGCCTCAGCAGCCCAAAGTGCTGGGATTACAGGTGTGAGCCGCTGCGCCCAGCCCACATTTCTCTATTACTAGTAAGAATGAGTAACTTTTTGTATCCTTATTAAATGTTTATATCTCTTCTATAAATTAAACCTTTATTGTCTTTTGTTTGTCACTGTCTTTCTTTTCTTTTCTTTTTCTTTCTTTCTTTTTTTTTTTTTTTTTGAGATGGAACCTTGCTCTGTCACCCAGGCTGGACTGCAGTGGCACGATCTTAGCTCATTGCAACCTCCGTCTCCTAGGTTCAATTGATTCTCCTGCCTCAGCCTCCTGAGTAGCTGGGATTACAGGCACTTGCCACCACGCTCAGCTAATTTTTGTATTTTTACTAAAGATGGGGTTTTACCATGTTGGCCAGGCTAGTCTCAAACTGCTGACCTCAGGTGATCCGCCCACCTCAGCCTCCCAAAGTGCTGAGATTACAGGCATGAGCCAGTGTGCCTGGCTTTAATTTTATTTCTAAATATTTGATTGCCCCGTACCATGCCATGAACACTCATTCCATTTCACTGATTTGAGAATTCCATTTTTAAAATTTTTTTTTGAGATGGAGTTTTGCTCTCGTTGCCCAGGCTGGTGTTCAACTGCACGATCTCGGCTCACCACAACCTCCGCCTCCTGGGTTCAAATGATTCTCCTGCCTCACCCTCCTGAGTAGCTGAGATTACAGGCATGTGCCGCCATGCCTGGCTAATTTTGTATTTTGAGTAGAGACGGGGTTTCTCCATGTTGGTTATGCTGGTCTCGAACTCCTGACTTCAGGTGGTCCGCCCGCCTTGGCCTCTCAAAGCGCTGGGATTACAGGCGTAAGCCACCGCAGCCGGCCTTTGTTTTTCTTTTTCTTTTCTTTCTTGTTCTGTTTTTTTTTTTTTTTTTTTTTTTTGAGACGGAGCCTTGCTGTCTCCCAGGCTGGAGTGCAGTGGCATGATCTCGGTTCACTGCAAGCTCCGCCCCCCGGGTTCACACCATTCTCCTGCCTCAGCCTCCTGAGTAGCTGGGACTACAGGTGCCCGCCACCACGCCCGGCTAATTTTTTTTTTTTGTATTTTTAGTAGAGACAGGGTTTCACTGTGTTCACCAGAATGGTCTCGATCTCCTGACCTCGTGATCCACCTGCCTTGGCCTCTCAAAGTGCTGGGATTACAGGCGTGAGCCACCGCGCCCAGCCTGTTTTTCTTTTTTTTCAGACAGGGTCTCGCTCTGTTGCTCGGGCTGGAGCGTAGTGGTTTGATCATAGCTCACTGCAACCTCAACCTCCTTGGCTCAAGGAGGTCTCAGTCTCCCGAGTAGCTGAGACTACAGATGGCAGGTCACCATGTCTGGCTAATTTTTAATTTTTTTATAGAAGCAGAGTTTCATTATATTGCCCAGGCTGGAAAAATTCCATCTTTATTATAGACAAAATATTTTCATATATAAAATAATATGTTTTTGGATTTTCTATTCATTTCCATTCATTTGTTTATCCATGCAATGATGTCATATTGTGTAGATTACTATTGCTTTTTACTATGATTTGCTATCTGATAAGGCAACTTGCTTCATTATTGATTATTTTCCAAAATGTTCTTTGCTGTGCTCGCACATTTTCAATTCAAATCTTGAGAATCAGATAAGCTTGAGGATGACCATATGATAATTACAAGAGATGTCAAAAAAGCATCTGATGAGCTGCGCGCCGTGGCTCACACCTGTAATCCCAGCACTTTGGGAGGCTGAGGTGGGCGGATCACGAGGTCTGGAGTTCCAGACCATCTTGGCCAACATGGTGAAACCTCGTCTCTACTAAAAATACAAAAAACGAGCTGGGCATGGTGACATGCGCCTGTAGTCCCAGCTACTCGGGAAGCTGAGGCAGGAGAATCGCTTGAACCCGGGAGGTGGAGGTTGCAGTTAGCCCAGATCGTGCCACTGCACTCCAGCCTGGTGACAGAGCAAGACTCTGTCTCACAAAAAAAAAAAAAAAAAAAAAAAGGCATCTGATGAAATTGAACATCTGTAATATGAAAATATTTTGCAATTGTTTTATTTTAAAAAGAAGAAGAAGAAAAAGAAACAAAAACACAGGTCTTGAAGGATACACATGTAACTGCTAATTTTTGTATCAGGAGAGGAATAGGAGTTTAGGGCTCTAGTAGCTACTGTGGTGTGTTCTCTAGATGCCCCTCTTTAGTACAAACCACTTATTCCAGTTGCCAGGAATGTTGCCTGCTGACAGCTTACTGTATAGTGCCTCGCCAGACTGCGATTTTAGTTGTGGGTAGCTGCTTTGCGAAGTTTAAGTTCCTGCCTAAGGACAGATTGCATCCAATGACTGAATATTATGGGATATAAATGCATCTCCCCTTTGCCTCAGTTTGGGACAATTCTGAATGGCCATCCTAGCTTCAGAGCTCCCTGAAGGACTGCTGAAGCCTCTGTTGCAACTGCATCACAACCTAACTTCTCTCTGTGCCAGATCTTGCTTTTCTCACTGCCTTACACGTTTCTAAGAGCATTTGCCAATGAACCATCCGCACACAAGTTTGTTCCAGAGTCTATTTCCTGGGGTTCCTGGCCTACAATGGGCAATAATGATTGGGTGGTGAGGAGAGATGAGTTTTTCACATTTTGCTGTCTTAAGCAAACTTGAATAGTTTTTAAGAATCTATTATATCACTTTATTTTATTTATTTATTTATTTATTTATTTATTTAATTTTTTGAGACAAAGTTTTGCTCTTGTTGCCCAGGCTGGAGTGCAATGGCGCAGTCTCGGCTCACTGCAACCTCTGCCTTCCGGATTCAAGTGATTCTCCTGCCTCAGCTTCCCAAATAGCTGGGATTACAGGGGCCTGCCACCACACATGCCTACTTTTTGTTGTTGTTGTTGTTAGACAGAGTCTTGCTGTGACACCCAGTCTGGAGTGCAATGGCGAGATCTCAGCTACTGCAACCTCCGCCTTCCAGGTTCAAGTGATTCTCCTGCCTCAGCCTCCCGAGTAGCTGGGATTACAGGCACGCGCCATCATGCCTGGCTAATTTTTGTATTTTTAGTAGAGACGGGGGTTTCACCATGTTGGCCAGGGTAGTCTCAATCTCCTGACCTCGGGTGATCCACTTGCCTCAGCCTCCCAAAGTGCTGGGACTACAGGCGTGAGCCACCATGCCTGGCCCTAATTTTTGTGTTTTTAGTAGAGATGGGGTTTCACCATGTTGGCCAGGCTGGTCTCGAATTCCTGACCTCAGGTGATATGCCTGCTTTGGCCTCCCAAAGGGCTGGGATTACAGGTGTGAGCCACTATGCCCAGCCTATTATATCTTTTATATCACTTTAAATTTGTGTTATCTTTTTTTTTTTTTTGAGACATTGTCTTGCTGTGTTGCCCAGGCTGAAGTCCAATGGCACGATCACAGTCACTGCAGCCTCAACCTCCTGGGCTCATGCAATCCTCCCACCTCAGCCTCCTGAGCAGCTGGTACTGCAGGTGCTGCCACCATGCCTGGCTAATTTTTGTTTTTTTGTTTTTTTTTTGTAGAGATGGGGTTTCGCTATGTTACCCAGCCTAGGTGCTTAAATATTACCAACAAGTAGAAAACATAACAACAAAGTTATAGTGACTTTTAAATTTTAATTTAATTTTGTTATTATTATTATTACTATATATATATATATATTTTTTTTTTTTTTTTTTTTTTGAGATGGAGTCTTGCTCTGTCCCCAGGGTGGAGTGCAGTGGTGCGATCTAGGCTCGCTGCAACCTCTGCCTCCCGGGTTCAAGCGGTTCTCCTGCCTCACCCTCCTGAGTAGCTGGAACTCCAGGCACGTGCCACCACGCCCAGCTAATTTTTGTATTTTTAGTAAAGACAGGGTGTACCATGTTGGCCAGGATGGTCTCAATCTCTTTTTTTTTTTTTTGAGACAGAGTCTCACCTATCGCTCAGGCTGGAGTGCAATGGCGTGATCTCAGCTCACTGCAACCTCCGTCTCCTGGGTTCAAATGATTCTCCTGACTCAGCCTCCCGAATAGCTGGGATTACAGGTGTACACCACCATGCCCGGCTAATTTTTTGTATTTTTAGTAGAGATGGAGTTTCACCATGCTGGCCAGGCTGGTCTCGAACTCCTGACTTCGTGATCCGCCTGCTTCAGCCTCCCAAAGTGCTGGGATTACCAGCGTGAGTGACCACACCCGGCCGGTGTCGATCTCTTGACCTCATGATCCACCTGCCTTGGCCTCCTAAAGTGTTGGGATTACAGGCATGAGCCACTGTATTATTTTTTTTCTAAGAGACAGGGTCTCCCTATGTTGTGTAGGCTGGTCTTGAACTCCTGGGCTCAAGGGATCCTCCTGCCTTGGCCTCCTACAGTGCTAGCATTACAGGCGTGAGACACCATGCACAATCTATGTTGTAGAAACTTTAAAAAAAGAAACCCTCATGTCCTGCCCACATTCCCACTCAACAGTCTCACTACTGCAGTACAAGAGTCATTTTATTTCTACATACTTCCCTTCAGCAGGGATCATATACAGTCATATTTTTGCCTGGCTTGCTGTGGTGGAAAGTTTCACATGGTAATACAATCATTTATCATAAAGGTGAATTTTTCACTGCTCTATAAAGATGACTAAAGAAAGCAAGGTATAGCTGAACCAGAACGGGCATTCAGAAAACTCTGACAGCTGTTGTCCCAGCCTTGGGTCTAAAACAGGTTAACTTAGTTGTATCTTCTGTAAAAGGAAATTACTGGAGGAAGTTTGCTTAACATAACACAGCCTCTTAGCCAAAGCACCAGAACTGAAAACTAGGGTTCTAAGTTCTGGATTCCCAGTGCAGTATTTGTTCCACCAAGAAAGTCGCCCCCTTGCCCCGCCTTTTTTTTTTTTTTTAAAAAAAAAAAGAGAAACGTGTTTAATGGTAAAACTCAGCACATGCCAGCACCAGGAATGTTATGGAGTTGTAGCAGCAAGGGTGAGTAGGTGACCCCCATGGAGCTTCACATGGCAAAGAGGATGAGGAAGGTGACTGTCAAACAGAAGAGTCCCATGGCCTCAGATAGGGCAAAGTCCAGAATGGCATAGAAGAGCTGTTCCTTGAGAGATGGGCTGATGGCATAGTGAATGATCAAGTTGCCAGACACCATTGCTATGCCAGCCCCTGAGCCAGTTACAATCGTGGGTTGGGTGTGGTGGCTCACACCTGTATTCCTAGCACTTTGGGAGGCCCAGGCAGGCAGATTGCTCGAGCTCAGGAGTTCACGACCAGCTTGGGTACATTGCAACACCCGGTCTCTACAAAATATCAAACAATTAGCTGGGCATGGTGGCATGCATCTGTAGTCCCAGCTACTCAGGTGGCTGAGGTGGGAGGATCGCTTGAGCCCGGGAGGTTGAGGCTGTAGTGAACTGTGATTGTGCCACTGCACTCCAGTCTGGATGACAAAGTGAGACCCTATCTCAAACCAACCAACCAATTGTGATTGCCCCAGCATCAATAAACTTGGCTGCTGTGTCAATGTCCCAGGAGACAACACTGGTCTGGAACTCCTATCTGGCCACGTGGAGCGGAGAGCTGCCGTAGGAAAGCTGTTTGGATAAATTATTTGGCCTATTCAGAAAGGAGGCAGACACAGACCTGAGTAAACCCCTAGTACTACAGCAGATCAGAGCCTGAGAAATGAGTAGTGCCCCAGGGGTCTGCATTTTTTCAGTCTGCACTCCCACTGCCCTGCATCTCCAGCTTGGCCCACAGCATTCACCCTGCCCAAGATGACTTAGAAGTTGCAATTTTCTAAATGCTGATGTGTTCTCTGATCAGAATCTTCCTCTGAGTGGGCACAGCAGGCTTCTGTTCCCTGGGCAGGGCAGAGGAATTCTTGTCCTTGGATGTAAAGAAAATAGGGAAATCTGCCCAAAGAATTAGCTGTGGTTCTTAATGCTCAGGAGTCTTCCTGGTTCCCCTAACTTTCCTCCAGAGTTCTATTTTCTTTCTTTCTTTCTTTCCTTTCTTTCCTTGCCTTCCTTGCCTTTCCTTGCCTTTCCTTGCCTTCCTTGCCTTCCTTGCCTTCCTTGCCTTCCTTGCCTGCCTGCCTGCCTGCTTTCTTTTCTTTCTTTCTTTTTCTTTCTTTCTTTCTCTCGCTCGCTTTCTTTCTTTCTTTCTTTCTTTCTTTCTTTCTTTCTTTCTTTCTTTCTTTCTTTCTTTCTTTCTTTCTTTCTTTTTTTCTTCCCTCTCCCTCTCCCTCTCTCTTTCTTTCTTTCTTTTTTGAGACAGAGTCTTACTCTGTTGCCCAGGCTGGAGTGCAGTGGTATGATCTTGACTCACTGCAACCTCTGCCTCCAGTTTCAAGACATTCTCCTGCCTCAGCCTCCTGAGTAGCTGGGATTACAGGCAGCCATCAGGCCCGGCTAATTTTTGTGTTTTTAGTAGAGACAGGTTTTCTCCATGTTGGCCAGGCTGGTCTCGAGCTCCAGACCTCAGGTGATCCACCCGCCTCGGCCTCCCAAGGTGCTGGGATTAAAGGCGTGAACTGCCACGCCTGGCCTGGAGTTCTATCTTTAAGTTTCTCTGTTCTCTGATCTTCAGAAGCTGCTGGAGAACATGGTCCCACTAGTTATTCACACACATCCATAAAACTCCCCACTTAAGAGTCAGAATGTCAGGTTGGCCAATGACCAATGAACCACAAGTCGGTGGTTGGAAACTTTCTTCAAAAATGAGGAACTTAAAAGTTGAAGAGCCTGTGTTGGTTGTTCCAGGGCAATTGTCCTTTATTCTGACCCAAAAAACCTCATGTAGCTCTAAATTCAGAAAATAACACGTGTTGGTGAGAATGTGGAGAAATTGGAACCTTTACGCATTGTTGATGGGACTGTAAAATGGCACAGCCACTGTGGAAAATAGCATGGAAGTTCCTTTAAAAAATTAAAAACAGAACAACTCTATGACCCAGCAATCTCACTTCTGGATATATATCCAAAAGAATGGGAAGCAGGGCCTCAAAGAAATATTTGCACACCCTTGTTTATAGAAGCTTATTCACAATAGCCAAGAGGTGGGAGCAAACCAAGTGTCCATCAAAGGAAGAATGGATAAACAAAATGTAGTATATACATACAGTGAAATATGATTCAGCCTTAAAAAGGAAGGAAATCCTGTCACATGCTACAACATGAGTAAATCTTGAGTCATTTTGCTAAATGAGATAAGCCAGTCATGGCCGGGCATGGTGGCTCACGCCTGTAATTCCAGCATTTTGGGAGGCTGAGGCAGGTGGATCACAAGGTCAGGAGTTCAAGACCAGCCTGGCCAACATGGTGAAACCCCGTCTCTATTAAAAAAAAATAAAAATAAAAAAAAAATAGCCAGGCTTGGTGGCGGGTGCCTATAATCCCAGCTACTCGGGAGGCTGAGGCAGGAGAATCGCTTAAACCAGGGAGGCAGAGGCTGCAGTGAGCCGAGATCACACCACTACACTCCACCCTGGGCAACAGGGCAAGACTCTGTCTCAAAAAAAAAAAAAAAGAAAGAAAGAAAAGAAATATGCCAGTCACAAAAAGGCAAATATTGCATGATTTCACTATCTAAAATAAAATTTAGTTAAATTTTATTTATTAAATTAATTAAATTTATAGAAACAGAAAGTTGAACAGTAGTTGCCATGGGGTGGAGGAAGGGGGAACTGAGGAGTTATTTAATGAGTATAGCATTTTAGTTTTGCAAGATGAAAAAGTTCTGGAGGCTGGGCATAGTGGCTCATGCCTGTAATCACAGCACTTTGGAAGGCTGAGGAGGGCAGATCCCTTGAGCCCGGAAACAAGACCAGCCTGGGCCACATGGTGAAACCCTGTCTCTACAAAAAATACAAAAATTACCTGGGTGTGGTAGTATGAGCCTGCAGTCCCAGCTACTCGGGAGGTTGAGGTAAGGGGATCACCTGAGCCCAGGGAGGTAACTGCAGTGAGCCATGATAGCATCACTGCACTCCAACCTGGGCGACAGAGTGAGACCCTGTCTCAAAAAAAAAAAAGTTCTGGAGATCAGTTGCACAACAATGTGAATACACTTAACAGTCTTGAACTGTATGTACACTTAAAAATGGGTAAGATGATAAATTTTATGTTATGTGTTTTTTACAATTAATCGGCTGGGCACGGTGGCTCACGCCTGTAATCCCAGCACTTTGGGAGGCCGAGGTGGGCAGATCATGAGGTCAGGAGATCGAGACCATCCTGGCTAACATGGTGAAACCCCGTCTCTACTAAAAATACAAAAAATTAGCCGGGTGTGGTGGCAGGCACCTGTAGTCCCAGCTACTCGGGAGGCTGAGGCAGGAAAATGGTGTGAACCTGGGAGGCGGAGCTTGCAGTGAGCTGAGATAGCACCACTGCTTTCCAGCCTGGGTGACAGAGCGAGACTCTGTCTCAAAAAAAAAAAAAAAAAAAAAATTAAAAAACTCAATGAAAAGGTTAACAAACAAATTAGATATAATTGAAGAAGAAATTAATAAACTAGAAGAACTACCAAAATTATTCAGAATATAACACAGAGAAACAAAGAGATATCAGGAAACATGCATAATAGAGTGAGAAGATCTAACATTTGGCTAACTGGGGTTCTAGAAGAAAATAATAGAGAAAATGGACAGGTAACACTCAAAGGGAAAATGCCTGAGAAATTTTCCAGAATTGCTGAAAAATATATATCCTGTTTCTTTTTTTTCTTTTTCTTTTTCCAGTAAGCCTTTTGCACTCCTAAAATCCTGTTTCAGAAATCACAATGAATCTCAAGAATGATAAAAATAACCCACACTTAGACTCCTCACAGAGAAACTGCAGATCAAAGACAGGAAGATTACATTAAAAGCATCCAGAAAGCAATCAAGATGTATTTCAAGCCTGGCACGGCAGCTCACGCCTGTAATCTGCTGAGGCGGGCAGATCACTTGAGGTCAGGAGTTCAAGACCAGCCTGGCCAATGTGGTGAAACCCTGTCTCTACTAAAAATACAAAGAATTAGCCAGGTGTGGTGGTGCACGTCTGTAATCACAGCCTGTAATATGCTGAGGTGGGCAGATCACTTGAGGTCAGGAGTTCAAGACCAGCCTGCCCAACATGGTGAAACCCTGTCTCTACTAAATATACAAAAAATTAGCCAGGCGTGGTGGTGCACGCCTGTAATCCCAGGTACTTGGTAGGCTGAGGCAGGAGAATTGCTTGAACCCGGGAGGCAGAGGTTGCAGTGAGCCAAGATGGTGCCATTGCACTCCAGCCTGGGCAACAAGAGCGAAACTCTGTCTCAAAAAAGAAAAGAAAAGAAAATGGAGGAGGCCTTGTATTTGCAGGAGCCAGGGGATAAATGGAAACTTTCTGCTCAACTTTGCTGTAAACCTAAAACTGCTCTAAAAAATTAAATCTGGCTGGCCGCAGTGGCTCACGCCTGTAATCCCAGCACTTTGGGAGGCCAAGGCAGGTGGATCACCTGAGGTCAGCTGTTCAAGACCAGCCTGGCCAACACGGTGAAACTCCGTCTCTACTAAAACTACAAAAATTACCTGGGTATGGTGGCAGGTGCCTGTAATCCCAGCTACTAGGGAGGCTGAGGCAGCAAAATTGCTTGAACCTGGGAGGTGGGGGCTGCAGTGAGCAGAGATCGTGCCACTGCACTCCAGCATTGGGCAACAAGAGCGAAACTCCGTCTCAAAAAAAAAAAAAAATTAATTTGAAAAAAAAAAAAAAAAACCTCAAGGCCAAAAAAGACATCTAGAGAGAAAAAAAGTAATGAACAAAAATAAGCAACAAAATAATAATTACATAGACAGGAAACATCTTAATTGAAACAAAACAAGACATTTTTCAAAACAAAAAAAATACACTTAATAAGGAATTTGAAGTTAGCTATTGCTCGGTATGGTCCTGCCCTATTTCCTACTCTCTTTCTCCTACCCTCTGTCTTCATTAATTTATTTTTCTTTTTTGAGACGCAGTCTTGCTATGTCACCCAGGCTGGAGTGCAGTGGTGTGATCTCAGCTGACTGCAACATCTGCCTCCCAGCTTCAAGCAATTCTTCTGCCTCAGCCTCCAGATTAGCTGGGATTACAGATGTACACCACCATGCCTGGCTACTTTTTGTAGAGATGAGATTTCACGTTGTTGGCCAGGCTGGTCTTGAACTCCTGACCTCAAGTGATCTGCCCAACTTGGCCTACCAAAATGCTGGGATTACAGGCGTGAGCCACCACCCCCAGGCTGTTTGTCTTCATTAATATGAATGACAGCTTTTATTCTGTAACTAGGAGAAGAGAGAGAGACTGAGATGAAGAAAGAGAGGGGAAAGGAAGTTTGTTGAAGGAAGAAAGGGTATTTGGCTTTTAATACTGATATTGACCTGGAGAGGAAAGGGGTCTAGAAAGGCCACTGCTTCATTATCATCTGGGGTTGGGGTAGGGGTTGGGGGAGTATGGTAAAATTATTCCCACAGCAAACCTCTATGGGGCAGAAGACCACTAGAGACACTTTCAATGATGGTGCCCATCTGTGCAAGAGCTTAGAAGCTATAAAGTATACTTACATATGTCATCTCATTTAATCTCTGAGAGAGAGGTCACTTGCCTACTCTGTCAGGTAATGCCAACAACAGCATTTCTAGATATATTGGTTAGTCTTTTTTTTCTTCTTCTTTTAGAGACAGGGTCTCACCCTGTTGCCTAGGCTGGAGTACAGTGGTGTGATCATATAGCTCACTGTAATCTAGAATTCCTGGGCTCAAATGATCCTCCTGTTTCAGCCTCCCCAGTAACACGGACTAACAGGCGGTGCCACCACACCCAGCTAATTTTCTTTTTTTTTGAGACAGAGTCTCCCTCTGTAGCCCAGGCTGGAGTGCTAGTGGTGTCCTCTCAGCTCACTGCAACCTCCTAGGCTCAAGCAATCCTCCTGCCTCAGCCTCCCAAGTAGCAGGACTACAGGCCCATGCCACCAAGCTTGCCTTTTTCTTTTTCTTTTTCTTTTTTTTGAGACGGAGTCTTGCTATGTCTCCCAGGCTGGAGTTCACTGCAATCTCTGCCTCCTGGGTTCAAGCAATTATCCTGCCTCAGCCTCTCGAGTAGCCGGGACTACAGGTGCATACCACCATACCCTGCTAAGTTTTGTATATTTAGTAGAGACGGGGTTTCGCCATGTTGGCCAGGCTGGTCTTGAACTCCTGATCTCAAGTGATCCACCCACCTCAGCCTCCCAAAATGTTGGGATTACAGGCATGAGCCACCATACCCAGCCCCTGGATAATTTTTTGTATTTTCAGCAGAGAGAGGTGTTTTCCATGTTGCCCAGGCTGGTCTCCAACTCTTGAGCTAAAATGACCTGCCCATTCGGCCTCTCTAGGATTACAGGCATGAGCCACCATGCCTGGCCCCTAATTTTTGTTTTTTGATTCTTTTGTGGAGATGGGATCTTGCTCTGTTGCCTGGCTGGTCTTGCACTCCTGGCCACAAGTAAGGCGTCTGCCTTGGCCTCCCTAGTAGCTGGGATTACAGGCATGAACTACCATCCCCAGCCCTCTTGGTTAGCCTTATACTTCCTGATATTTGTTAGTTGCAATTTTGCAGGCTCCCTCTAATTTCAACATTTCTTGTTGCTTATGAGCAGAGAAAGGTAAGCTAAGATTTTGAAAATTTTTATCTCCAGCCTGGACCTTTCACAGGAAATCTGGACTGCTAATTGAAAGCAACACTGGAATATCTAAACAAGCACTTCAGGCCAGGTGCAGTGGGTCACGCCTGTAGTCCCAGCACTTTGGGAGGCTAAGGCAGGCGGATGACTTGAAGTCAGGAGTTTGAGCCCAGCATGGGCAACATGGTGAAACCCCGTCTCTACTAAAAATACAAAACTTAGCCAGGCGTGGTGGCTGACACCTGTATTCCTAGCTACTGGGGAAGCTGAGGCAGGAGAATAGCTTGAAACTGGGGTGGCAGAGGCTGCAGTGAGCCGAGATCGAGCCACTGCACTCCAGCCTGGGTGACAGAGCAAGACCCTGTCTCAAAAAAAAAATAAAATAAAATAAATAGGCCGGGCGCGGTGGCGCATGCCTGTAATCCCAGCACTTCGGGAGGCCGAGGCAGGCAGATCGCCTGAGGTCAGAAGTTCGAGACCAGCCTGACCAACATGGAGAAACTCCGTCTCTACTAAAAATACAAAATTAGCCGGATGTGGTGGTGCATGCCTGTAATTCCACCTACTCGGGAGGCGGAGGCAGAAGAATCGTTTGAATCTGGGAGGCAGAGGTTGCAGTGAGAAGAGACTGTGCCATTGCACTCCAGCCCGGGCAACAAGAGCAAAACTCCATCTCAAAAAAATAAATAAAAGGCCGGGCGTGGTGGCTCACGCCTGTAATCCCAGCACTTTGGAAGGCTGAGGTGGGCCGATCACTTGAGGTCAGGAGTTTGAGACCAGGCTGGCCAACATGGTGAAACCTCATCTCTACAAAAAATACAAAAATTAGCTGGGCATGGTGGCAGATGCCTGTAATCCCAGCTACTCGGGAGGCTGAGGCAGGAGAGTCACTTTAACCTGGGAGGTGGAGGTTGCAGTGAGCCAAGATCGCGCCACTGCACTCCAACTTGGGCAACAGAGTGAGACTCCGTCTCACACACACACACACACACACACACACACACACACACACAAATAAACAAGCACTTCAAATTTATGATGCCCAAACAGTCAGTCTGCTGAATTAGTTCTTTCTAGTTGCTTGTCTTGCAGTCTTTCCTATCTCAGAAAATGGCAACACACTATCCTTCCAGATGCTTAGACGAACACCTTGGAAGCAGCCTTCTCTTCTTGCTTCTCTCATATCTCATGTCCAACCTATTAGAAAATCCTGTTGGTTTTATGTTTCAAACTGTATTCAGAATCCAATCACTTCTCATAACCTCCTCTACTACCATACCAGTCTTAAGTCTCCATCACCTCTCATTTGGATTACTGCAATAGCCTGCTTAACTATCACATGTGGTAGGAGCTCAATAAATAACTGAAGAATGAATAAATGAAATGCCACCCAGGTATGGGTTATCATTGGCTCTTTTGTGTCTCATGGTTAAACTAGAGACCCCTCACCATATTTTGGGAGAGAGCGGAAAGACATAATATTTGGGCAGGAAATACTGTGTGCCCACAGAGGAGGCAATGTGAAGGGAAGTTAACTCGATCATGAAACAGACAGGAGAGAGAAATCAGCAGAACTGTGGCTCTGAGGACTCTGAGTGGGACTCAGCAAAGGCACACCAGGCCACCAAGTGCCCTGTCCCTGCCGCTCTGACTGCCCATCCTTTGCTCCTGTAGAGCTTGACTGGATACCCTGTTTCCCTCTGCTGACCAATTCAACCCAGGGTCCTATATGGTGATCTTCAAGAAGCCAGCCAGAGCTGGCTGGGTGCGGTGGCTCATGCCTGTAATCCCAGCACTTTGGGAGGCCAAGATGGGTGGATCACCTGAGGTTGGGAGTTCGAGACCCGCCTGACCAACATGGTGAAACCCCATCTCTACTAAAAATACAAAAATTAGCCAGGTGTGGTGGTACGTGCCTGAAATCTCAGCTACTCAGGAGGCTGAGGCAGGAGAATCGCTTGAATCCGGGAGGCGGAGGTTGCAGTGAGCCGAGATCGCACCACTGTACTCCAGCCTGGTGACAGAGTGAGACTCTGTCTAAAAAAAAAAAAAGAAGCCAGCACAGGTGAATGACCCTCCCTTAGGACCAAGTGAAGAGAGCAGTTTCCTTCTGAGCTTTGGAGCTGCGTCCTCTAGAGGGAGGGAATTCAGTGGAGCAGCGAAGTTCTTCAAACTGGGGCGAGAGAGGGAAACTAAGGAAGGGTTGTAGGTGTGGCCTGGCCTGGGATCCTTTCTACTCTTGTGCCACTCTAGGGTCCATCCTTCTCCCTCTCCCTATAGGGGAGATGCAGAAGCTGCTCTCTAGAGCCTAGGTCTTCTGCCTGCTTTGGGAGTCCTTCCAGGAGTTTGTAGTTTGTTCCCCTGTCTCTTATTAGCCATTTTTTCAGTAGGTACCTAAGGCCTGGTTCCTTCCTCTTGGTCACTCAGGAGCTCTTCTCCAGACTGGCTAAAGCAGTATGGTTTGGGAAAAGCACTTGGCTGGGTCTCCTACATGTTGAGTTCAATTTCCTCCTTTGGGTGTGTTTTAGCTTCCAGCTGGGATTTTTGCCATAGTAATTATAACAACCACACTCTGCATAGAGACTCTAAAAGCTATATAGGCAAACACATAAATAGAAAGGAATTCCTAAGGCAAGCCAAGTAGTTATCAGAATCTCCACCCCTACCAGAGTCGGAAGCTCTGTACTTGCCTCCTGGTAACTGCTTAGTGAGAATTATTTAGCCAGCTTGGATTCTTTCTACAACCACATTGAAATCAGATATCCTGAGGGAAGGGGAAGGTTTATCCCACCCCAACCCTGTTCCTCTCCAAGCCTTTCTCATCTAGCCAACAGCACTGTCATTCACATGTCTGCTTGAGACAAAAACCTAGAGGTTTGCTTTTATTCTTCCTTGTCCCTCACCTCTCATCTTATCAGCAAAGCTTATTGCCTCTACAAAATGTGCCTGGAGTCTATCTTCTTCTCCTCACTATTGGGTGTCAACTGTGTTCATCTTGGACAATTGCTAACTGATCTCCTTGCTTCCACTGTTGGTTCTTTCTTTCTTTCTTTCATCCTTTCTTCCTTCCCTCCCTCCCTCCTTCCTTCCTTCTTTTCTTTCTTTCTTCCTTTCTTTCCTTTTTTTTTTTTTCCTTTTGATTCAGTCTTGCTCTATTACCCAGGCTGGAGTGCAGTGGCATGATCTCAGCTCACTGCAACTTCTGCCTCCCCAGCTCAAGTGATCCTCCCACCTCAGCCTCCTGAGGAGTTGGGACTACAGGTGCACACCACAATGCCCAGCTAATTTTTGTATTTTTTGTAGAGACAAGGTTTTGCCATGTTGCCCAGGCTGGTCTTGAATTCCTGGGCTCAAGCTCTTCACCCTCCTCGGCCTCCCAAAGTGCTGGGATTACACGCATGAGCCACCGTGCCCAGCATCTGCTTCCACTTTCATACTGCTACGTATCATTCTCCCCATAGCTTCTGGAGCCATCTTTTAAGACAATAAATCCCATCATTGCCTTGCTCACAACCCTTGTTGGCTCTTGCGGCTATGAGGAGAATGAACTCCTACTGAACTTTTGATCATTTCAGACTTCTTCATGGCCCAAGAGGCTTTAATGTGGCTCAGCCTTCCTCTCCAACCACGCTTCTTAGGGCTCTCCCCCTCAGCTACCTGACCGTCTCTGTTCCTCAGTGTGCCAAGCTTGTTCCTGTCTTCAAGCCATGGGATTTGTTGTTGGCTATGCTTAAAATGCTCTATGAAGATTTCCTCATGGCTGACTCCTTGGTATTTAGGCCTGAGTTCAGTTACTATTGCTCCATAGTGAAACACTCCAAAACTCAGTGGCTTCAAAACAACAATCATTTATTTTGCTCATATATCTGTATTTTGGGCAGGGCTTCATGGGGAAGGCTCATTTTGCTCCATGCACCATCAGCTGGGGCAAATCAGCTAACTGAGAATTTGCCTCTGAGTTGGCTCACTCACATGGCAGTCCTCTATGAGTTAAGCAAGGGTTGAAGGCTGGGGCTTTAGCTATTCTCCACGTAGCTAGGCTCCTGGGAATGTGTCCTAAAAGAGTTGGGTAGAGGCTGGGCACGGTGGCTCACGCTTGTAATCCCTACACTTTGGGAAGCTTCAGCTCAGGTGTTCGAGAGCAGCCTGGGCAACATGGTGAAACCCCGTCTCTACAAAAAAAAAATACAAAAATTAGCTGAGCATGGTGACGTGTGCCTGTAATCCCAACTGCTTGGGAGGCTGAGGCATGAGAATTGCTTCAGCCCAGGAAGCAGAGGTTGCAGTGAGCTGAGATCATGCCACTGCATGGCATGGCATGTCATCCAACCTGGACAACAGAGTGAGACTCTGTCTCAAAAAAAACAAAACAAAAGTCAGGTGGAAGCTGTAATGTCTTTTCTGACCTAGCCTTGGGAGTTCTGTTGTATTTTATTAGTTGAGAAGACCAAAAGACCCATGGGAATTCAACTGAAGGGAACACAGAGTCTGCCACTTGAGGGAGTGGCAGGGTTCTGAAACAGCGTGTGGAAATTGAAATATTGTTTTTCTGGATAATTTTTGGGAAATACTATCTGCCACAGCTACTGCCACAGTGCAGTCTTCACTGACTGCTCTCTATGTATTAACCACTCCTCTACACCCCAAACAGCTATTCTCTACCATTTCAACATCTGCTTCCTCATAGCACCTGCCATTCTCTTGTTCCTTGATGTATTTGCTCACTTGCAGCCTTATAGAAGAATATAAGCTCCCTGAGAGCAGAAGTCTTGCATGAAGGGAGACCAGATGGAAGGCTGTTGCACAAAGGTCTGGCAGTTGCAGACAGAAAGGCATTGGCTATTTAGAGACATGTGTAAGGAGGGAGAGGTTGGTATTTAGTGATTGATTGACTATGGGGGATGACAGGATGAAGGTGGACACTGGGTTGCCAGTCCATCTCAGATCGAGGACTGGCATGGGACTGAGGGTATGCATACTTTAGGATTGCCTGGCAAAGGCCACGCTCAGACCTGTCCTACTGGAGGGGTAAGTGGTGCTTACCATATGTGTGGAGAGACTGACTAGATGCTCACCAAAACCCTTTCTTCTCCTTCCTAAGCTTCTAGCTAGGTCACACTTCCTAGCTCTCTTGCAGCTAGATAGGAAATCATATAAAGTTATGGCAAAAAAAATATAAGTAGGAGCTGACATATAGCACTCTGAAGCTTGGCCTATTAAAAACCATCCTGGAAAATTCTTTTTTTTTTGAGACTGAGTTTCGCTGTTGTTGCCCAGGCGGGAGTGTAATGGCTCGATCTTGGCTCACTGCCACCTCCACCTCCTGGGTTCAAGTAATTTTCCTGCCTCAGCCTCCTGAGTAGCTAGGATTACAGGCACACACCACCATGCCCGGCTCATTTTTTGTATTTTTAGTAGAGACGGGGTTTCACCATGTTGGCCAGGGTGGTCTTGAACTCCTGACACCCGGCCCATCCGGTAAGATTCTGCGTGGTGGCCGGGCGTGGTTGCTCTTGCCTGTAATCCCAGCACTTTGGGAGGCCAAGGCGGGCAGATCACCTGAGGTCAGGAGTTCCAGACCAGCCTGGCTAACATGGTGAAACCCCATTTCTACTAAAAATACAAAAAATTAGCCCGGCGTGGGCGCGCACCTGTAGTGCCTGTAATCCCAGCTACTTGGGAGGCTGAGTCAGGAGAATTGCTTGAACCCGGGAGGCGGAGGTTGCAGTGAGCCGAGAGCATGCCATTGCACTCCAGCTTGAGCAACAAGAGTGAAACTTCGTCTCAAAAAAAAAAAAAAAAAAAAAGATTCTGCATGTTCCCTTCCTGTTCCTGGGTGGCCTTGTAGGAAGTGTGTTAACCATGACAGCATCGCAGATGGGAGAAGTCTACGTTACTGAATTTGTGGAATAGAGAACTGCTCCCTAATCCCCCAATCTTTTTTATTTCATGACAGAATTTTTGAAAAAACAAAGAAAGTTGTAGAATGTCCCCACATTTAGGATTTGTCTGATGGTTTATTCACATTGTTATTTAACTTCTTCCTCTACTTCTTGTATTTCCTGTAAAATAAAAGTCAACTCTGTAGCTTCAATTGGATTTGAGTTTGCTTTTATGGTAAGAAGTTTTTCAAAGGTCACATTGTAGGCTGGGCATGGTGGCTCACACCTGCAATCCCAGCACTTTGGGAGGCCAAGGCAGGTGAGTCACTTGAGACCAGCCTGGCCAACTTTGTGAAACCCTGTCTCTACTAAAAATACAAAAGTTAGCTGGGTGATGCATGCCTATAATGCCAGCTACTCAGGAGGCTGAGACACAAAAATTGCTTGAACCTGGGAAACGGAGGTTGCAGTGAGCCAGGATCATGCCACTGCACTCCAGCCTGGGTGACAGAGCAAGACTCTGTCTCAAAGGAAAAAAGTGACATTGTACTTTATATTGCATCATACCAGCAGGGACATCATGTCAGGTTGCCCCACCATTGGTGATGTTACATCTGAAGATTGTGTTCAGATAGTAATTGCCAAGTCCCTCCATTGTAAAGGCTCTTCCCTCCCTTTGCTATTAATATGCATAGTAATGGAGTAGTATGGGATAACCCTTGGTCATCATTCTAATATATATATATATATATATTTTTTTTTTTTTTTTGAGATAGGGTCTCACTCTGTTGTCCTGGAGTGAGGGAGTGAGATCCTGGAGTGAGGCTGGAGTACACTGGCTCAATCTCAGCTCACTGCAGCCCCAACTTCCTGGGCTCAGGTGATCCTCCCACCTTGGCCTCCCAAGTAGCTGGGACTACAGGTGCATGCCACCACGCCCAGATAATTTTTGTATTTTTTTTGTAGAGACAGGATTTCACCAAATTGGCCAGGCTGGTCTCAAACTCCTGGGCTCAAGTGATCTGCCTGCCTCAACCTCCCAAAGTGCTAGGATTACAGGTGTGAGCCACTGTGCCTGGCCAATAAAAATGTTTACATGGCAAATATTATGTGTTAGTGGAATTATTCTTTCTGTATTTTCCTGAAGGGTCACCTGACCAGATTGGTTTTCTGGCCTCTTACAGGGTTGGTTCTGGCTTCTACATCTGCCTGTGGAGCTCAGTCAGGGGACCTGCCTTCTATAGGTATATCAGCTCTGGGCAAAAGGGACAGAACTAAGGGTTTGAATTTGTAGAAATGGATTCTAGATCTTAAGGCATGGTGAGCCCAATCAGATGCAGCCTTTCTGTGGGTCTTGTTCAGGAAACCTGAGGGCCTCCCTGAAGGACACCTCTATTACGAAGCTCTTTACCTGCAGCACACTGCAAACAATCATTCAGGGAATAATGACATAACCACATACCCTCATCTTCAACCAAGATCATCAAGTGAGGCATTCACATAGGAAACAGTTCTGCCACAAAGAACACAGAATTACAATGGAAAAAAAAAGTCCATTATGATGCCCACCAGCAATGATATGAAGATCAAATGGCAAATTGTCGTAGAGTAAGCACCATAATAAATTTGTTCTCTTAAAAAAAAGTTAACTTTTATAGCATTTTGGAGGAATATTGACATCTTTGCAACACTGGTTTTTTTTTTTTTTTAATCTTAAAAAATTTTGAAGCTGGGTGCAGTGGTTCATACCTGTAATCCTGGCACTTTGGGAGGCCGAGGCGGGTGGATTACCTGAGGTCAGGAGTTCAAGACCAGCCTGGCCAACATGGTGAAACCTCGTCTCTACTAAAAATACAAAAATTAGCCAGGCATGGTGGCACATGCCTGTAATCCCAGCTACTTCGGAGGATGAGGCAGGTGAATTGCTTGAGCCGGGGAGACGGAGGTTGCAGTGGCCAAGACTGTGCCACTGCACTCCAACCTGACCCACAGAGCAAGACTCTGTCTCAAAAAAAAAAAAAATTTGAAGCAGATTTTATTTTATGGAACTGTTTAGACTTATATAAAAATTGAAGATATAGGCCAGGCGTTGTGGCTCACACCTGTAATCCCAGTACTTTGGGAGGCTCAGGCGGGTGGATCACTTGAGTTCAGGAGTTCAAGACCAGCCTGGCCAACATGGTGAAACCCCATCTCTACTTAAAATACAAAAATTAGCTGGGTGTGGTGGCGTGCACCTGTAGTCCCAGCTACTTAGGAGGCTGAAGCAGAAGAATCACTTGAATCCAGAAGGCAGAGGTTGCAGTGAGCCGAGATCAAACCACTGAACTCCAGCCTGGGTGAACAGAGTGAAACTCCATCTCAAAAAAAAAAAAAAAAAAAAAGAAAAAATTGAACATATAGTTACCCCTTTACTCCACTCTGTTTCTCCTATTATTCCTATTATTAATCTTATGTTAGTATGGTCCATTTGTTCCAATTAATTAACCAATATTGACCAATGATTATAAATGAAGTCCACAGTTTATTCAGATTTATTTATTTATTTTTAAATTTAGGGACAGGACCTTCCTCTGTCAGCCAGGTTGGAGTGCAGTGACATGATCATGGCTCATTGTAAATTCAAACTCCTGGGCTCAAGTAATCCTCCTGCCTTGGCCTTCCAAAGTTCTGGGATTATAGGTGTGAGCCACTGCACCTGGCCCAGATTTTCTTAAGTATTTTTTTTTTTTTTTGAGCTGGAGTCTTGCTCTGTCACCCAGGCTGGAGTGCAGTGGTGCGATGTTGGCTCACTGCAACCTCCACTTCCCAGTTTCAAGTGATTCTCCTGCCTCAGCCTCCTGAGTAGCCAAGATTACAGATCCATGCCACTATGCGCGGCTAATTTTTGTGTTTTTAGTAGAAACGGGTTTCACCATGTTGGTCAGGCTGGTCTTGAACTCCTGACCTCGTGATCCGCCCGCCTTGGCCTCCCAAAGTGCTGGGATTACAGGCGTGAGCCACTGCGCCCAGCCGATTTCCTTAATCTTCACCTAATGTCCTTTTTGTAATCCCGGATACCATTCAGTGTATCACACTGCATCTAGTTATCATGTCTCCTTAGGCTCCTGTTGGCTTGGGGTGGTTTCTCGGATTCTCCTTGGTTTTGATAACCTTGACAGTTTTGATGAATATTGGTCTCGTATTTTGTAGAATGCTCTTCCATTGGAATCTGTCCAATGTTTTCAATGTTTTTCTCACATTTAGACTGGGGTTATGGATGTTTTTTTTTTTGGAGATGGAGTTTCACATTTCACTCTGTTGCCCAGGCTGGAGGGCAGTGGTGCAATCTTGGCTCACTGCAACCTCTGCCTCCTGGGTTCAAGTGATTCTCCTGCCTCAGCCTCCCAAGTAGCTGGGATTACAGGTGTCCCCCACCACACTTG
This sequence comes from Homo sapiens, assembly GCF_000001405.40. Classification (NCBI taxonomy): domain Eukaryota; kingdom Metazoa; phylum Chordata; class Mammalia; order Primates; family Hominidae; genus Homo; species Homo sapiens. Next base: position 138,905,230 of record NC_000003.12, read on the forward strand.
GCTATTTTTTTTTTTTTTTGAGACAGAGTCTCGCTCTGTTACCCAGGCTGGAGTGCAGTGGCGGGATCTTGGCTCACTGCAACCTCCTACCTCAGCCTCCTGAGTAGCTGGGATTACAGGCTCCCGCCACCACACCCAGCTAATTTTTGCATTTTTAGTAGAGACAGGGTTTCACCACGTTGGCCGGGCTGGTCTCGAACTCCTGACCTCAGATGATCCACCTGCCTTGGCCTCCCAAAGTGCTGGGATTACAGGGCGTGATCCACCGTGCCTGGCTGGTGGTTATAGGTTTTTGGGAGGAAGACCACATATTCATCACATCATATCAAGGTACATACAATCAACATGAGTCATCACTGTTGATGTTGAGTTTGGTCACCTGGCTTCATCAGGTTTCGCTACTGTAAAGTTACTTTTTTTTCGCCCTTTCCACAGTGTTCTTTTTGGAAGGAAGTCACTATGCCCACTCCTTAAGTGTGGGAGTTATGTTCCACCTCCTTGAGGAGTATGTCAGCTTCCTAAGGCAATGGTGACAAAGTACACAAACTGGTGGCTTAAAAGAACAGAAATGTGTTCTCTCATGGTTCTAGAGCAGCAGTCCTCAACCTTTCTGGTACCAGGGACCAGTTTCATGGAAGACAGTTTTCCCACAGATGTGGGGACTGGGGGATGGTTTTGGGATGAAACTGTTCCACCTCAGATCATCAGGCATTAGTTAGATTCTCATGAGGTGTGTGCAACCTAGATCCCTTGCATGTGCGGTTCACAATAGGGTTCACGGTCCCAAAAGAATCAAATGCTGTCACTGATCCGACAGGATGCAGAGCTCAGGCAATGCTCATTCACCTGCTACTTACCTCCTGCTTTGCAGCTCGGTTCCTAACAAGGCATGGACTGGTATTGGTCCTCAGCCCAGGGGTTGGAACCCTTGTTCTAGAGGCTAGAAGTCTGAAATCAAAATGTCAGCAGGGCTATGCCCTCTCTGAAGGTTCTAGGGGAGAATTTGATCCATGTCTTCTGTCTTAGTTCACTTTATGTTGCTATAACAGAATACCTGAGACTGGGTAATCTACGAAGAACATAGACTTATTTGTTACAGTTCTGGAGGCTGGGAAGGCCACGTTCAAGGGCACTGCATCTGCTGAAGGCCTTCTTGCTGCTCATTCCATTGTGGAAGGCAGAAAGACAAGAGAATATGCTTGAGAGAGAGAAGGGAATGGGGGTCAAATTTATTATTTTATCTGGAACCCGCTTCCAAGATACCTAACCAACTCCCACAATATGGTATTAATTTATTGATGAGGGCAGAGCCCTCATGACCTAGCAATCTCTTAAAGATCTCATCTTTCAACACTGGTATACTAGGGATTAAGTTTCCAACACATGAACTTCGGGGACAACTTAATTTCTGGTGCCGCTGGCAACCCTTGGCCTTACAGACACATCATCACTCCACTCTCTGCCTCTGTGGGCACATGACGCTCTCCTTCTGTTCTCTTTGTCTTTGTCTGTGGCTCTCCTCTTCTTATAATGACATCAGTCGTACTGGGTTAGGGCTCACACTAAATATCTCATTTTAACTTGATTCTACCTGCAAAGACCCTATCCAAATAAGGTCACAGGTACCAGGGTTTAGGCTATAACATATCTTTTTGTAGAACACAGTTAAATCTATAACAATAGGGGAGTATCTATATACATTAATTTTTAATTTTTTTTTTTTTTTTGAGACAGAGTCTCACTCTGTCGCCCAGGCTAGAGTGCAGTGGCACGATCTCGGCTCACTGCAAGCTCTGCCTCCCTGGTTCACGCCATTCTCCTGCCTCAGCCTCCCGAGTAGCTGGGACTACAGGTGCCTGCCACCACGCCCGGCTAATTTTTTGTATTTTCTAGTAGAGACGGGGTTTCACCGTGTTAGCCAGGATGGTCTCGATTTCCTGACCTTGTGATCCGCCCACCTCGGCCTCCCAAAGTGCTGGGATTACAGGCATGAGCCACCACGTCTGGCCTAATTTTTAAATTATTATTATTATTTTTTGGAGACAGGGTCTTTCTCTGTTGCCCAGACTGGAGTGCAGTAGCGTGATCTTGGCTCACTGCAGCCTCGACCTCCCAATCTCAAGCAGTCCTCCCACCTCAGTCTCCTGAGTTGCTGGGACTACAGGTGTGTGGCACCATGCTGGCTAATTTTGTTTATTTTTTGTAGAGACGAGGTCTCACTATGTTGCCCAGGCTGGTCTCAAACTCCTGTACTCCTCCTGCCTCAGCCTCCCAAAGTGCTGGGATTACAGACATGAGCCACTGTGCCTGGACTATATATATTATTTAGAATTCTTCTGCAAAGAAGATTTATCACTTCTCTCTCATTTAATTGTTTATTTATATCAGTGTGAACTACGACCTTGCTATATTTATTTATTAGTTCCTGAAGTTGTTTTGTCAATTATTTGGGATTTTCTGCATAGACAGTCATGTCATCTGCAGCTCCTTCGCAATCTGCATTTGGTTCCTCTTCTTGGCCTATCACAGTAGCCGGGACATCTAATACAATGTTGAGTAAGAGTGGTAAGAGAGAAAATCCTTGCCTTATTCCCAATTTTAGGGGGAAGGCATCCAATTTTTTACTACTAACTATAATGCTAGCTGTAGGTTATTTTGCCCATTCTGATAATCTCTGTCTTTTATTTTGTGTATTTAGGCTAGTCACATTTCAAAAATATTTTAAAAATAGACTTTGTTAGAGCAATTTTAGGTTTTCAGTAAAACTGAGCTAAAAGTACAGAATTCCAAATATTTCCTCCCAGTCTGTGGCTTGTCATCTCATTCTCTTGAGACCATTCACCTTTAAAGTGATTATTGATATAGGCCACCCCTGCTTCCACCCTTTGGTTCCCAGGCCCAGGAGGACTTCCCTACCCATTGCAGTTTAATATTCACCATGTTTGTAGCTGTTTTCTACTTGTTATATCCTCTTCCTTCTTTTTCTGCCTTTTCTGATTTTAATTGAGCATTTTATATGATTCCATTGTAAATTTGATCTTATTTATTTATTTGAGACAGGGTCTGGCTCTGTCACCCAGGCTGAAGTGCAGTGGCACTGTCTTGGCTCACTGGACCGTTCACCTCCTCAGCTCAAGCAATCCTCCCACCTCAGCCTTCCAAGTAGCTGGGACTACAGACACACACCACCATGCCTGGCTAATTTTTTTTTTAGACAAAGTTTCTCTCCTGTTGCCCAGGCTGGAGTGCAGTGGCCCTGTCTTGGCTCACCACAACCTCAGCCTCCCAGGTTCAAGCGATTCTCCTGCCTCAGCCTCCCGAGTAGCTGGGATTACAGTCATGTGCCACCACGCCCGGCTAATGTTGTATTTTTAGTAGAGACAGGGTTTCACCATGTTGGTCAGGCTGGTCTCGAACTCCCGACCTCAGGTGATCCGCCTGCCTCAGCCTCCCAAAGTGCTGGGATTACAGGCGTGAGCCACCGTGCCCAGCCATTTTTTTGTATTTTTTTGTAGAGACAGAGATTCACCATTTGCCCAGGCTGGTCTTGAACTCCTGGTCTCAAACAATCCTCTTGCCTTAGCTTCCCAAAGTGCTGGAATTACAGGTGTGAGCCACTGGGCCCGGCCTCTTGATCTCTTTTTGAAGAAAGATTTTACTGCTCTTCATTACGTGAGTAGTTCTTAACTGGTGGCGATTTTGTCCAGCAGTGGGTATTTTGCAATGTCTGAAGACATTTTTGGTTGTCACAACTGTGAAAGTCTTACTACAGTTATCTAGTGGGTAGAGGCCGGGGATGTTGCTAAAACATCCTACGTGCATAGTACAGTCCCTATAGCCAAGAATTATCTGATTCAAAATGTCTATAGCATTGCTATTGGCAAACACTGAATTAGATAATAGGAACCAATGTACATTAGTCAGGAAAGTCTGGGTTATGGTTACAAAAAGGATTTCTCCCACCTTTTTTTTTTTTTTTCTTCAGGCAGAGACTCTTCTGTCACCCAGGCTGGAGTGCAGTGGTGCAATCTTGGCTCACTGCAACCTCTGCCTCCCGGATTCAAATGATTATTGTGCCTCAGCCTCCTGAGTAGCTAGGATTACAGGCTTGTGCTGCCATGCCCGGCTAATTTCTTTGTGTTTTTAGTAGAGAGAGGGTTTTACCATGTTGGCCAGGCTGGTCTCGAACTCCTGGGCTCAAGTGATCAGCCTGCCTTGGCCTCCTAAAGTGCTGGGATTACAGGCGTGAGCCACCGTGCCTGGCCTCCCCAAATCTTACTAACTTAAAGCAACATATCTAGTCACATGGCCCTATCCAATTCAAGGAATCAATCATATCAAGGTGCCTGGAAGTGGGGGAACTACAAGTGTTTGATGAAGAACACTAATGAATACTATACAGTAATATTTTTCCTTTGACTTCCGGGAAGCTTGGAACTCACTTTTATACACAATAGCAGTAGCTTTTGTGTTAGTGCCGGTCTTCCAAAAAGTAGATGCCAAGATTGGGTTAGACCTCAAGAGATTTACTGAGAAAAGGCCTGAAAGGGAAAATGGAAAGGAAGCTGGTGAAGCCTGGGAGAGCATCAGGCTATGATGGAGAAGAGAGGGGAGGAAGGAAGGAAGGCAAGTTAGACGGGAAGAATCTTACAGTGCAGTGCAATTCTAAGAAAGTTTTGGCATCACTTTTGAGGGGGAGTCTTTGAGCCAAAACTGCCTCTGAGAAGAGTCCTACATCTCCTGGGTACAGTGTTCCCACAATGCTCAGACATTGACTGGGAGCAGCCTGTGCTCTGACAGATTTCAGAGCACACACAGGACCATTGGTGAAATATGCTCCCTGCAGGTGAGATCTGAGAGGCACATTCTCATGGTTGCTTCAGTTCACCTGCTGGTATTGCATGAACATGCCTTTCCACACAGGTCCAGGGAGAAGTTCCTCTGTGGTTCCTCAAGGCCTCTTTTTCTAACTAGTTGGACAGCTACAGCCCCCATTGCTGCAGCTGATCTCATGGTTGTAACTGGTACTTATCTTCTCCCTCCTCCACTATCTACTCAATCCCCCTCACCCTCATGGATCACTTTTGCTGGTTGTAGCTTACGCGGTGGAGTGACCCTTGGTAATTATACCCTTCTTAGACTGGGGTTACTACACATGTCCATTCACAATTGCAATGCGGGGGAAAGGTGCAGTGGCTCACGCTTGTCATCTCAGCACTTTGGGAGCCCAAGTGGGGGCAGATACCTTGAGCCCAGGAGTTGGAGACCAGCCTGGGCAGCATAGCGAGAACCCCATCTCTACAAAAAATACAAAAATTAGCCGGACGTGGTGGTGTGCCCCTGTAGTCCCAGCTACTTGGGAGGCTGAGGCAGGAGAATCGCTTGAACCCAAGATGGAGTGGGTGGCGGGGTCAGGCGAGTCGGGGGCGGAGGCTGCAGTGATCTGAGATTGCCATCAATTACTCATGCTGTTATGGGGACTCCTTCTCTCATCAGCTAGACACTGGTGAGTAGCTATAGTTTGTAATTCAATAGGACCCTTGTTGTGTCCCCTGGCAAGAGTGCAGCGCCTTCGGGGACTAGGGTCTCTAACCTTGCAAAGCCTAGAGTCGCGGGGACAGGAAGCACAGAGTGGGTCATTGGGACTGATGGTAATGGGGCTACTCCTCTTCCCTGGCTTAGGTGAGCTATGGCCTTGTGGCAATCTCCCTCTACCCCACTTGGATTAGTTTTGCCTCCTCAGGTTGCCTCTAAGCTCCAGGTTCCTGGCTTTCCACTCTGGAAAGCTTCATTGTTTCCTCCGGTGTGCTTTGTTTGCTGTTTGTTTTGACTGGGCAATTATTCAGAAGATTCAAAATTCAAGAGGCACAAAACAGCATTTTAATGAAAAGTCTCCTTCCTACTTCTATTTTCCAGCTATCCAAGTTCCCCTCTACAACAAATGTTTTCAATTTTTTAGATACCATAACACACCTTTTTTACCCAGATGGTAACATACTATACACATTGTTCTGTACCTTGTGTGCATGTTTTTAAAAATTTGCATACAGATGAGATTAGATCTTAGAAAGCATTTCAAATCAGTACGTAAAGAGATTTCTTTTTTCTTTTTTGAGACAGAGTCTTGCTCTGTTGTCCAGGCTGGAGTGCAGTGGTGCCATCTTGGCTCACTGCAACCTCCACCTCCTGAGTTCAAGTAATTCTCGTGTCTCAGCCTCCCGAGTAGTTGGAATTACAGGCGTGCGCCACCATGCCAGGCTAATTTTTTGTATTTTTAGTAGAGACGGTGTTTCACCATATTGGCCAGGCTGGTCTCGAACTCTTGACCTCAGGTGATCTGCCTGCCTTGGCTTCCCAAAATGCTGGGATTATAGGCATGAGCCACCGTACCTGGCCCCTAAAGAGATTTCTTATTTAATTTTTATGGATAATTTTTGTGTGTGTCTGTGTGTGTGAGAGAGAGAGAGAAAGAAAGAGAGAATGTACTATAATTTATTTAACCAGTCCACCAATTGATAGGTGCTTGGTTTTTTCTTATTCTCTGTGATTACAAACAATGTCGTAATTAATAACTGTGTACATTCCAGGTATGTGAGTATATCTGTAGAATAAACTTCTAGCAGTGGAATAGCTAGGCCAAAGGGTATTTAGATTTGTCATTTAACAGTTAATTGCCAAAATCACCTTTCATAGGGATGGTACAAGTTTGTCTTCTGCCCTTAATGTGCCTGTTTCTCCAGAGTTTTGCTGATTCAAGATGTTAACAAACCTTTTTAATCTTTGCCAGTATGAAAGGATAAAAATAATATCTCAAAGTTGTTTTAATTCATTAAGATTAGCCATATAAAGCTGCCGTTTTTAAGGTAAAACTAATCGTTGAATAGTAGCAATTTCATATTCTTTTATTTCTTTGTGAGATTGTAGATCTCAGTTTTTTTTTCGGATTTCTTCTGTTTTTAATTTAATTTTTTTATTTTTAAAATTTCATTAGCTTTCGGGGTCCAAGGGATTTTTGCTTGCATGGAGATGGACTGGGGGCCAAGACTTACAGGAACCAGATAAGACGCCTGAAAGAGTATGGTTAGATGGGGCAAAGCTAGGAAACTCTTGGGCTCAGCTAGGCCTGATAGGATCAGTATGTGTTGCTCGGTCTCCTCTAGGCGCTTGTGTTTGTTCCAAATCTAGCAGAACAAGCTGCTTCAGCCCAGCCCAGAGCACTAGCAGGGATGAAATGATGGGAAACTTGGGCTCTGCACATCCAGAAGTCTTGTAGCTCTGCTGAGCTCAGACTTGGAGTTACTCCAAGGGGCTGCCCCATCACATTTTGTTTGTTGTGAGCCTCAGAGCCCCAAGAGCCTGTCCTATCTTCTTTCTCTCTCTGTGGCGCTCAATAAGTACTTGTCCTGTCCTGTCCTGTCCTGGGCACTGAGGGTGGAGAGAAGAAACAAAGCAGAATGAGGGGGTGTTCTACCTTCAGGACTCACCATTATCGGAGGCTATCTCCTTGGGGGTCCCCAGAGCAGCCCCCTGCCCTCTCAAAAGTTTTCATGACTCTTATTGTGAGTACCTAAGCTTTTCTTTGTCTTTTTTTTTTAAATTGAAGACGATTTTACATGTAATTTTCCTACATCCGCACATCTAGACCTGCTTTGATAACTTTAAAGGCTACATAAGCTTTCACTGGATGGATACATCATAATTTTTTAACAATTCCTGTGTTGATGGACATTTAGGTTGTTCTTGCCTTTGACAGCACTGCCACAAACCTTTTTTTATGATTCTTTGTGCAAATGTGCAAGTGTAACTGTTGAATAAGCTCCTAAAAGTAGAACTGTTGGGTTAAAAGATGTGTGCATTTAAAAAAGTTGATTAGTATTGACTGACTGTTCAGATAACAGCTCAAATTGTCTCTCATTGGAGAAACAGAGGCCCCCAGAGGCCAAGTCCCCTCCAGTCCTCCCTATGTCACATATCCCAATGTTCCACAGGACTCACTGCTTTTTCACATTTGGTCTGACTTGCTGATATGGGTCTCAAATTGTCTCCCATTAACACAATCTTCTTAAAATTACATTTTCTTCTATAGTATGGATAGACCATAATTGGATTCATTTCCCTATTGATGGAACTTTATTGAGGTTGCCTCGGGATGGCGCTATGCAGATAATTTTGCAAAGAGCATTTGGGGCAGTCACGGTGGCTCATGCCTATAATCCCAGCATTTTGGGAGGCTGAGGCGGGAGGATTACTTGAGGTCAGGAGTTTGAGACCAGCCTGGCCAACATGGGTGAAACTCCACCTCTAACAAAAAATACAAAAATTGGTTGGGTGTGATGGCAGGCGCCTGTAGTCCCAGCTACTGGGGAGGCAGAGGTGGGAGAATCTCTTGAACCTCGGAGATGGAGGTTGCAGTGAGCTGAGATGGCACCACCGCACTCCAGCCTGGACGACAGAGTGAGACCCTGTCTCAAGAAAAAAAAAAAGAAAAAAAGAAAAAAAAAGACAAATTGCACTTCTGCCCAAACCCTTGCCTGAGCTAACAATAGTAGCTAACATGTATTGAACACTTTCTATGTGTCTGCCCTGCCCTTTGCAATGTATTAGCTCAAAACTCCGATTAATTAGATATTTTTATTAGCTTAATTTTACAGATGTGAAAGCTGAGGCAGACAGATAAATGGCATGTTCAGGGTTTTAGAGCTGATAAGAGACGGGGTTGGAGTTAAAATCCACGTTCTAGTTCCAGTCAGTGGGCCTGCCTGACCACTGTGCAATTCCTGGCTGCAAGTCCCAGCCTGGGGCTTTGGGTGCAAAGGGTGGCCATATTTAAAAGTGAGATGCTGTCCAATTACTCTCCCAAAGGGCTATGCCATTCTCTGGTACCACCAGAGTAAGAGTGAGGCCCTTTTTCTCTTCAAGGAGTATGTCTTTTTCTTTTTTTTTTTTCTTTTTTTTTTTTGAGACGGAGTCTTGATGTGTTGCCCACGCTGGAGTGCAGTGGCACGATCTCGGCTCACTGCAAGCTCCGCCTCCCTGGTTCACGCCATTCTCTTGCCTCAGCCTCCCGAGTAGCTGGGACTACAGGTGCCTGCCACCACGCCTGGCTAATTTTTTGTATTTTTAGTAGAGACGGGGTTTCACCGAGTTAGCCAGGATGGTCTCAATCTCCTGACCTCGTGATCCGCCCGCCTCGGCCTCCCAAAGTGCTAGGATTATAGGCGTGAGCCACTGCGCCCAGCCAGGAGTGTCTTTTTCTTTTCTTTTTTTTGAGACGGAGTCTCACTCTGTTGCCCAGGCTGAAGTGCAGTGGCGCAATCTTGGCTCACTGCGATCTCTGCCTCCTGGGTTCAAGCGATTCTCCTGCTTCAGCCTCCCGAGTAGCTGGGATAACAGGCGTGCGCCACCACGCCTGGCTAATTTTTGTATTTTTAGTAGAGACGGGGTTTCTCCATGTTAGTCAGGCTGGTCTCCAACTCCTGACCTTGTGATCCGTCCGCCTTGGCCTCCTAAAGCGTTGTGATTACAGGCGTGAGCCACCGCACCTGGCAGGAGTGTGTCTTTTTCATTTCCATATCCCTGGGTGTAGGGGATATGGAAATGAAATATACCCCACATAAGGTCCAGCATGGAGCAGGTAGGTGCCTGTGGGACGGCTGGATGGATGAATGGATGGATGAAGGGGAGCAGACAGGTGTGGAGAGAGGGAGGACAGGTCACACCAGAGGGGCCATTGCTCAGTGTGGCATCTTGCCTCTAAAACTCATTCATTTAACACGTTGAAGTGTTCCTTATTTTTCGGTTCCTAGCTGACTCGCCCCTTCCTGGAGGGATCTGCTGAAGCGTCCCTCTCCGATCAGAGCCTTCCCTGACCTTCCTGTCTCCACCGCACCATGCATTCCTCACCCTCCTTATCCCGCTTAGTTTTTCTCCACAGCATCTATCCTCACCGTACATGCATTTACACTTCTGTTTTGCTTATCGTTTTCCCCATCCCCGCAGGGGAGAATAGGAACCTCACTAGGGCAGAGGCTTTGTTTGTTCACTGATTCATCACCGGGACTTAGGACATTTCCTGCTGTTGTCGCTCAGTCAGTATTTGGTGAATATGGCCCCTGTTATTCACTGTTCCAGGAGCTGGGAGTGCAGCGGCGGGCGGGACAGAGACCCCGCCTTCAGGGCTCGACATTAATCCTGCCTGAAGGTGGGAGCCCGAAGAGCCTCTCCCAGCCCTGGGCTCCAGATCACTTTGTCCCTTCCTAAAGAAATCTAAGGCTGGCAGCGACGGCTCTCCCTTGGGCGCAACAGCCGCGCCCCCGGCGGCAGGCCCGCCCCACAGCGCCCCCTGGCGGCCCCGAGCGCGCCGCACTGGAGCCCCGCGCTCCGCAGGCGAGCTGGAAACCCCGGGAGCTCCGGGGCCATTTCCTCCCAACTTTCGGACACTTCTGCTTTCGCCCGGGGCGGGAAGAGGAGGAGGGCTGGGGGAGGGCGCAGCGCAGGGCGGGGCAGGAAGGCTGGGGCTCTGGCGCTTTCTGCCACGGCGTCATCTGGAAGACCCGCTTTTTCAAGGGCGAAGACCCCACATTCTTGGAGGGCCTAGCTTTCCTCCGGGCCCAGCTCTACACTCACCTTACGCCTCTTCTCCCCGCGGGAGGTGAGGGGTTGCGGGGTCACAGGAGGAGGCGAGGGCCGGGCCAATGTTCGTCCTGCCGCCCTACGTCCCCTAGGTCCTGCACCAGGGTTTTGGGGCCAAAGCAAGCAGTGCCTCTGTGTTTGGGGTGGAGCTTCTTCACGGTCTGTGAACACTACGCGCAAGCCCTCGGGCGCGGTATGGGCGAGTGCCCTGCCCTGGCGGGGGTCCCAGGGATCCGCAGGGAGGGGAAGGCCTCCGAACAGAAGTCAGGGCGCCACCTGGCGGCCGCAGCCCACAGCCCACAGCCCACAGCCCACAGCCCGCAGCCCGCAGCCCTCAGAGCCCAGACGCGCCTTAGGGGCCGCTTGGCCAGCGGGATCTGCAGACCCTAACCCTCCTGCAGGATCCCGGGCCCATTTCCCGTAGTGGTTGCGGGCCTGGGTCACTGACATACGTAAGGTATGACAATCCTACGCTAAGGTAGGATTGGACTTTGAAGAGCTGAGCAATGGCTGGGCATGGTGGTTCACTCCTGTAATCCTAGCACTTTGGGATGCTGAGGCAGGAGAATCGCTTGAGCCTAACAGTTCGAGACCCTGCCTCTACAATAAATTAAATAAATAAATAAATAAATAAATAAATAAATAAATAAATAAAAAAGGAGCCAGGTGGGCCTGGTGGTGCGCGCCTGTACTCTCAGCTACCCGAGAGGCTGAGGTGGGAGGATCTCTTGAGCCTGGCAGGTCCAGGCTGCAGTGAGCTGTGATTGCACCACTGCGCTCCAGATTGAGCGATAAAGTGAGACCCTGTCTCAAAAAGCAAAACAATATATAAAAGAGCTGAGCACCGACCAGTCCAAGCATGAGAATGGCTTCTGTTGCTGTTGGAACTGAAGTTTCCTGACTTCATGGATGCCCTGAGGGCTCAAAATGGCTTTACCTCCTCTCCATAGTTCTCTTTTTTTCTCCTCTGTCTATATTGTTCCTTTTATTCAGTCTTGATAAAGTGTGTGTGTGACAATAAAATGAATACATAGTCGCTATTTTTAAAAATGGAGAAAGTTCCTGTGGTTCCTGTTGGAAGTTTTCCCCTTCCTGAGAACATGGGTCTGTGCTCACTGGAAATGCAGGTTTGCTGGTTCTCCTTCCTTAATCCTGGCAGGACTCTTGGCCCGGAGTCAAGTCCACTCCCCTTCCTGGTGTGGGCAGGAATGGCCCATTTATCTCCAGGGCTGGAAGCACCTTGGAGGCAGCTCTGGAATTGGTGAGGCTTTGGGGGTGGGAGGTAGGGGGTGTCAGAAGGGAGGCATTGGGCATCCTCAGATGTTTCTCACTTTTTTCCTTTTGCATAACTTGATTAATTTTTTTTTTTGTGAAGTTCTTGCCCATTCAAAAACAGTTTTATTTTATTATTATTATTTTTTTTGAGACAGGGTCTCACTCCGTCACCCAGACTGGAGTGCAGTGGCACAATCACGGCTCACTGCAGCCTCCACGTCCCTGGGCTCAGGTGATCCTTCCACCTCAGCTTCCTGAATAGCTGGGACTACAGGCGTGCATTGGCTAATTTTTTTTTTCTCTCTTTCTTTCTTTTTTTTTTTTGTAGAGATGGGGTTTCACCATGTTTACCAGGCTGGTCTTGAACTCCTGGGCTCAAGCTATCCACCCCGCTCTGCCTCCCAAAGTGCTGGGATTACAGGCGTGAGCCACTGTGCCTGGCCAGTTTTATTTTATTGTAGTAGGTTTGCCTGTTGTTTCGTCTTATTTTTTTTCAGACATGGTCTCACTCTGTCGCCCAGGCTGGAGTGCAGTGGTGTAATCTCGGCTCACTGCAGCCTTCACCTCCTGAGTTCAGGTGATCCTCCCACCTCAGCCTCCCAAGTAGCTGGGACCACAGGTGGGTACCACCACACCCAGCTAATTTTGTTGTTGTTGTTGTTTTGTAGAGATGAGGTTTCGCCATGTTCCTCAGGCTGATCTTGAACTCCTGGGCTCAAGTAATCCCTGCCTTGGCCTCCCAAAGTGCTGGGATTACAGGTGTGACCCACCGCGCCCGGCCAGTTTTATTTGCTTGTATTAGGTATACCTTGTTTTATTAGTAGCCACTCATAACACGGATGCCCCCTTCTCAGTTGATCTGATTTTCTTACAAAGGGTCACATCAGTGATGGGCCAGTATCCCAGATCTGGGGTGGCAGAAACCAAGGTTGGTGGTCCACTTTCCCACTTTGGTCAGGGGTGTCCAGTCCAAGAAGTCCAGATTCCAGTAATAGGAAAGTTAGGCTGTCTTCTCCTTCTCTTTCTCCTCCTCCTTCTCCTTCTCCTTCTCCCTCTCCCTCTCCCTCTCCCTCTTCTTCTTCTTCTTTCTTCTTCTTCGACAGTCTCCTCTGTAGCCCAGGCTGGAGTGCAGTGCCAAGATCTCAGCTCACTGCAACCTCCACCTCCCGGGTACAGCCTCCCAAGTAGCTGGGATTACAGATGTGTGCCACCACACCAGGCTAATTTTCATTTTTAGTGGAAACAGGGTTTCCCCGTGTTAGCCAGGCTGGTCTTGAATTCCTGACTTCAAGAGATCTGCCTGCCTCAGCCTCCCAAAATGCTGGGATTACAGGCGGGAGCTACTGAGCCCAGCCCTGCTGTCTTTATTTTCTACCTTACATAGTACAAAATCATATTTGTTCATTTTTTGTTACTTAAGAAATTTTTTTATTAGAACATTTCATTTCATAAAATAGAATGTATATCCTATTTGTTCCTAATAAACACCTGAAAATGCCCACTTCAACAATTCTGCTGATATTATGCTCCAACATATAGATGTCTTCTTTCAAAGAGCTGACAATCCCATCCTGGCTAACACAGTCAAACCCCGTCTCTACTAAGAATACAGAAAATTAGCTGGGTGTGGTGGCACGCGCCTGTAGTCCCAGCTACTTGGGAGGCTGAGACAGGAGAACGGCGTGAACCCGGGAGGCGGAGCTTGCAGTGAGCCGAGATTGAGCCAGTGCACACCGGCATGGGCGACAGAGTGAGACTCCGTCTCAAAAAAAAAAAAAAAAAAATGAAAAGAGCTGATAATCTATGTCATGTGGTTTATTCAGGCAGCTCAGGGGTACACAGAGTGAGGACAGGTCTATGCTCATAAACCAGGATCACAGAGGTTCCTGCTCTTGTGAGGCCCCAGGCCATTGTCTACTGTGGTGCTTCCCAGGTTTTTGGAGTTCATGAGCCCATGGAGTATTGGGCAAACCACACAGACTTGTCAATTGTTGATTTGGCACATCAGGACATTATTAGCAAAGCCAAATTCTATTATCAATTCAGAAAAGAAGGGATATTTTAATACCAAGAGCTTCTAAATGTAAGCTTCTCTCATTTCACCAAGGACTGGTAGAATAGGTAAGGATCTGCTGGTAGACCTGGCTGGTTCCCTTCACAGTTGGGTTGCTGCCTCGAGTACTCAAGGCCTCGACAACAAAGGGAGGGATATTCATTGTGGTTGTGAGTCTCTCAAAATACAGGCTTCACAGTGTCAAACCCAGTGTTTCACCTGCCCAGCCTGTTGCTGGTCGCCATCTCTGGGCTCTGGCACCTTTGGGACAAGTTTCTGTCGTTGCACTTCCCACGTTGTTTCATGGGCTTTACTGCCCCCCTCAGTGGCTTGCTGGCTAAAGACAGGAACCACATTAGATCTGACTGCTGGCTGCCCAACACTCAGCAAGTGCTCACCAAATGCCTGTTGCCCACATGAATTAAACTCAGTTTCACTCTTTTGTATCTCCAAATAATGAAAGAAATACTCACTGTACACTGCTTGAAAAATGAGAGGGGAAATGGCCAATTTCATGCTGAGAAAGGAAATATATTTGCTAGTTTTTCCCACAGGCTATTTTATAGCTACTTGATTTCATTTAGGTTGTGGTTATTTTCTGCTGGGCAATCTTTACTCCAAAGAGATGAGGGACCCATGCTTTGCATTGTCCCACCTTCTATAACCATGGTTCTCAGCCTTGCTGCACATTAGAAGCACCTGGGAGAGCTTAAAATACTGATGCTCAGGGGCCCACCTCTGACCAGCTCAATCAGACTCTCTGGGGGTAGGGTCTGAACATTGGTTTTTGTTTGTTGGTTTGCTTCATCTCTGAGAAAAACTCAGTGATGAGTTTTTCTCAGTGATTGTAATGTGCGTCAGTGGCTGAGAACCTGTGGCCTAGACACACTTTTTGGGCTCTTGCAACCGAGTGAGAGCCAGTGGTGAGATGGGGGAAGTCATGGACAAGGAAGGAGGGGAGACTGGAATTCCAGATATAGTCCGCAACTTCCCGTGGACTTGGACTTAAGCCCTTGGTTTTATCTTCTGTAAGATGGGGATAATGACGGCTGTCTCAAAATGCTGTTGAGATGATCTGAATGCCTGGCACAGAGGAATGCTTGTGATGGTTTCATGTGTCAATTAGGATAAGCTATGGTATCCAGATTTTTGGTCAAACAAGTAGCCTAAATGTTACTGTGAAGGTTTTTTTTTTTTTTTTTTTTTTTTTTTTTGGAGATGGAGTTTTGCTCTTGTTGCCCAGGCTGGAGTGCAATGGCGCGATCTCAGCTCACTGCAACCTCCGCCTCCCAGGTTCAAGTGATTCTCCTGCCTCAGGCTCCCCAGTAGCTGGGATTACAGGCTCCCGCCACCATGCCCTGTTAATTTTCTTTTTTTTTTTTTTTGAGACGGAGTCTCGCTCAGGCTGGAGTGCAGTGGCACGATCTAGGCTCACTACAACCTCCGCCTCCCGGGTTTTCTTACGCCATTCTCCTGCCTCAGCCTCCCGAGTAGCTGGGACTATAGGCGCTCGCCACCACGCCTGGCTAATTTTTTGTATTTTCAGTAGAGGCGGGGTTTCACTGTGTTAGCCAGGATGGTCTCGATCTCCTGACCTTGTGATCCGCCCGCCTGCGCCTCCCAAAGTGCCGGGATTACAGGCATGAGCCACCGCGCCCGACCTTAATTTTTGTATTTTTAGTGGAGACGGGGTTTTGTCATGTTGGCCAGGCTGGTCTTGAACTCCTGACCTCAGGTGATCCACCCGCCTCAGCCTCCCAAAGTGCTGGGATTACAGGCGTGAGCTACTGTACCTGGCTGGTATTTTTTTAAAGCTATGATTAACACTTAAATCAGTAGATTTTATTTTTTATTTTAATTTTTTAATTTTATTTTTTATTTTTATTTTTCGGGACAGAATCTCACTCTGTTGCCCAGGCTGGAGTGCAGTGGAGCAATCTCGGCTCACCCACCAGCTTCCGGGTTCAAGCAATTCTCCTGCCTCACCCTCCCGAGTAGCTGGGATCACAGGCACGCACCACCACACCCAGCTAATTTTTTTTTTTTTTTTTTTTTTTTTTGTATTTTCAGGAGAGATGGAGTTTCGCCATGTTGCCCAGGCTGGTCTTGAAATCCTGACCTCAATTGATGCCCCTCCTCAGCTTCCCAAAGTGCTGGGATTACAGGGGTGAGCCACTGTGCCTGGCCTTAAATCAGTAGACTTTGAGTAAAGCAGATTACCCTCCTTAATAGAAAAGACTGATGTCCCTGAAGAGGTAGGAGTTTTGCTTCCAGACTGCCTTTGGACTCAGGATTGCAGTGTGGGCCCTTGCCGGAGTTTCCTGTTTGTTCGCATGCCTTATAGGTTTTGGATTTTGGCCATCTTGTCGGAAGGAAAAAAATAAGATTTTGGATTTACCAGTCCCTGCAATCGCAGGAGTTAATTCCTTAAAATAAGCCCTTCTCCAACTCCTATTGTTTCTGTTTCTTTGGAGAATGCTGATGAATACAATGCTCAATAAATGATTGCTACTGTTGTTACCATCTAACTCAGTAGTGGCTAGGGCTGGTTTGGGGCAATAAGTAAGACTGAAGCTTTATGGGTCAGGGCAATAGGCATTATCCCAAGGAAATGACAGTGATGAGCTCTCACTATTGAATTCCAGAGTGTGAAGTCCAGATGTGAAGATAAACGCAGGGTGCAGAAATCTTTTCCTTTTCCTCATCTGGAATGTGGAGATTTTCATCAGGAGAGAGGGCCTGCAGCACAGGGTACAGAGCTCCAGACTTGTGGTCAGGAGGCCTGGCTTTGGCTCCTGGCTGAGTCACCAGTTCACTATGCCACCTTGGGCAAGGCCCCAGCCTATTTTATTTTATTTTATTTTGTTTTTTGGCTCCCTGAGGGGGTTGAGCTGGATGATGCGTGAAGTGCTTTCCATCTCGCTGGGGTTTGGTTTCTGCTTCTTAAGTGGTTCCAAGTTGGGCCGCTTGTATTTATGCTCAGGAGAGAGGTCACATGGCTGAATTGTGGCTGTCCTATCCAGGGCTTGAGAAAATGCCACAGACCTTACCCCATGTACTCTGAGATAGAGAGTCCAGGACATGGAGAAGCTGGGCTCCTGCATGTCTCTGCTACTGGGATTCCCTTCCCAAGTCCCCTCAGACACACCAGGCCCTTTCCTGACAGCTTGCCCTGGAGAGGGCAGAGACCACATATAGAGCAGTGGTCCCCAACCTTTTTGACACCAGGGACCAGTTTCACGGAAGACAATTTTTCATGGGGGTGGGGGGTGGTTTTGGGATGATTCAAGTGCATTACATTTATTGTGCACTTTATTCCTATTATTATTACATTGCAATATATAATGAAATAATTATACGACTCACCGTGATGTAGAATCAGTGGGAGCCCTGAGGTTGTTTTGCTGTAACTAGACGGTCCCATCTAGTGGTGATGGGATACAGTGACAGATCATCAGGCATTGATTCTCATAAGGAGTGGGCAACTTAGATCCCTCACATGCACAGTTCACAATAGGGTTCGCACTCCTATGAGAATCTAATGCTGCCACTGATCTGACAGGAGGTTGAGCTCAGGTGGTAATTCGGAGCAGCTGTAAATACAGATGAAACTTCACTGGCTAACCTGCCACACTTACCTCCTGCTGTGCGGCCCGGTTCCTAACAGGCCATGGACTCGTACCAGTTGGTGGCCCGGGGATTGGGGACCCCTGATATAGAAAATTTATTATTTACCCCTGATATAGAGAATTTACTATTGCTTTACAAACTCAAGTGTGAAACAAACAGCATTAGTTGTGGTCCCCTTTTTCATTTATTTATTTTTTAGAGACAGGCTCTTGCTCTGTTGCCCAGGCTGGAGTAGGGTGGCACAATCGTAGCTCACTGTAGCCTCGACCTCCTGGGCTCAAGTAATCCTTCTGCCTCAGCCTCCCAAATAGCTGGGACTACAGATGTGTGCCACCAAGCCCAGCTACGTGGCCTTCTTTAAATGATCCAATTTCTGACTCTAAGCCCCCATCCTGCCTATTGTCAGGGGTCTTGGGACGTCAGTCTTCGGATATTATTACCACGTTATTTGCTCCCAGGGCTGCATGTCCTTGGGGCCTGGCGTCTCTTCAATTTCATGCCATGCTGGTGTGCCTGGGTCACAGGTACAGCCTATGATCATCTCCTCTGAGCACCTGCCATCTTCCCAGGGCATCTTCAGGAAAAATTATTGAAACTAGGAACTATTGAGCTTCTCTTGTCTGTGGGTGCTAGGGGCCCCCAGCCCTAACCCAGGCATCAGCAGCTTCAGTTTCCATCTACAGAATGCAAGATCTCAGCTCACTGCAAAACTGCCCTTCCTCTGGGTGCTTCCAGGAGTCCACAGGGGATGTTTCTTGAGTAACAAGCTTTTCTCTCACCTACTTCCACTTTGGACCACACTGCCCCCTTGTGGAGGGTGGTGACTCTGCCATTGCTTTATACGCCTGTGATGGCTGTGAGTTACGTTCTTGCCCAGGGTGCATCTGACAGCCACTCAAAGCTGCAGTCCTCGAGGATCCAGAGGGTCCACACAGTTGTGTGGTCCCTCGCAGCCAGGCTGTCACCCCAGCACTCCTCCCCTGATCTGAGTTGCACCTTGTGACCTGGGCATGGAGGCAGTGCTGCCTGTGGTCCTGGGACTCTTGGGATCCTTCTTGAGGAGGACTCTTCTGCCTCAGCCTGTGGCTTTTTTCTCCGTAACACAGGCCCAGTGTATTAGGAGTCTTCCAATTGCAGATGACGGAAACTCAGCTTAAGTTGTTTACAATTCCAATAAATAAATAAATAAATAAAAAGAAAGAAAGAAAGTGTATTGGTTTGTCACTGAAAACTCATGGCAAGTCTTCAGGTATAACTGGATCCAGGAGCTTGAACAGCGTGGTCAGAGCGCAGTCTTACTCCTGTCTGTTCTGCTTTCCTTTGTGCTGGCTTTACTCCCATGCAGGCTTTCTCCACTTGGGTGCTCTCTAAAGTTTTGGGCTTATTTCTTCCCCACAGCTATCAATCTTAGTGGAAAGAAGCTTCTCTTTGCCTTCAGTCCCTACAAAAGTTCTGCAATTGGGTCTCTTTGGCTCAATTCACTTGCTTGCCATTGAAACAACCCCTGTGAAAGACAGGGTGAAATATACAAATACACTTCCTCTCTGGCTGGGTGCGGTGGCTCACGCCTGTGATCCTAGCACTTTGGGAGGCCGAGGCGGGTGGATCACCTGAGGTCAGGAGTTTGAGACCACTCTAGCCAACATGGTGAAACCCCGTCTGTACTAAAAATACAAAAATTAGCTGGGTGTGGTGGCACACGCCTGTAGTCCCAGCTACTCCAGAGGCTGAGGCAGGAGAATCACTTGAACCCGGGAGGTGTTCAGCAGTAAGGTTTTCTGACAAGTGACCCTGTCCTCTTTCTTGGACCAAGGCTGGCCTGTGACCCCAGGGCCACCATTCCAGGTACTGGGTAGGCCAGCAACCTCTGAGGTGACTTGTCTTGACAGGATGAGTAGCCTCAAGTAGTTTGTCCCTTGGAGATTGGAATTAAGAATTTCCAAGAGAGGTTTTCAATTTGTAGAAGGAGTAGGGGCTGGAGGGTCCTCAGTGGCCATATGTATAACAAATCCAGGAGGGAGTGGTCAATTCAGCAGAGAACAGGGGGACATGCAAAAGAAGCAGGGAGGTCTTGGGAAAGATCATGCAGTCCAGGAGAGAGAGACAGGGCTGCTGAGAGACAGAGAGACCTCTGATCCCATTGGCAGTCCAGTCTCAAGACCATACATTGAGTTCCTTTTTCTTTATCCTGCAAAACTTTGTAGTTTAAAACACAAACACCCAGTTAAATCTAGCTGATTTATTTACAACTATAGACTGACTTAAAGATAAGCAATAGGCTGGGTGCGGCGGCTCACGCCTGTAATCCCAGCACTTTGGGAGGCTGAGGCGGGCAGATCACCTGAGGTCAGGAGTTCGAGACCAGCTGGCCAACATGGTGAAACCCCATCTCTAGTAAAAATACAAAAATTAGCCAGGTATGGTGGTGGGCACCTGTAATCCCAGCTACTCAGGAGGCTGAGGCAGAAGAATCACTTGAACCCAGGACGCAGAGGTTGCAGTGGGCCAAGGTAGCGCTCTTGCACTCCAGCCTGGGTGGCAGAGCGAGACTCCATTGCAAAAATAAATAAATAAATAAAGATGAGTAATAATATTCCAAGTGAGAGAAGGAAATATTCAGACTGCTTAACTTGTAGCTCACATATATTCATTATTTCTGTACCTTTTTTTTTTTTTTAATTTTGACAGGGTCTCTATCTCTCAGGCTGGAGTGCAGTGGTGGTGAGGTCTCAGCTCACTTCAACTTTCGCCTCCCAGGTTCAGGTGATCTTCCCACCTCAGCCTTCCAAATAGTTGGGACCACAGGCATGCACCACCACAGCGGTTAATTTTTTTGTAGAGATGTGGTTTTGCCACGTTGCCCAGGCTGGTCTCTAACTCCTGGACTCAAGTGATCCTCCCACTTTGTCCTCCCAAGGTGATGGGATTACAGGCATGAGCCACTGTGCCCAGCTGGTACTTTTTTTTATTTTAAGATTATAGTATTATCTGTCTCCCTATCAGCCATTTCATCCTCTCTTCCTTGTCAGGGAACTCTGATTTTGTTCAAGGATATAAGTAACTCAAATATTACATAGGGCCATGTGCAGTGGCTCACATCTGTAGTCCTAGCACTTTGGGGGGCCAAGGCAGGAGGATCGCTTGAGCTCAGAAGTTCGAGGCTGCAGCGAGCTATGATTGTGCCACTGCCTTCCAGCCTGGGCAACAGAGTGAGACCCTGTCTCAAAAAAGAAAAAAAATTACATAAGCAGAGTATGCGACAACAACAACAAAATCATAGAGACCTTGGCCTCTACTCTTAGGCAGATCCCAGTTATCTGAGTCAGCCATGGTGGTCTCATTCTTTTGCCAACAGTTGGTTTAGGAACCAGCATGTAACAGACTCAGTCCTGGCCCATGAGATGAATAGGGAACTCTACTGAGGGATTCAGGGAGAGTGGATCAGACTTCTAAGAAAGAGTCTGGAAGAAATGGCTCCTTTTCCCATCAGAATTTTTCTTTCTTTCTTTCTTTCTTTTTTTAAATTTTAAATGTGGGCCAGGTGCAGTGGCTCACACCTGTAATCCCAGCACTTTGGGAGGCTGAAGGCAGGTGGATCACTTGAAGTCAGGAGTTCGAGAGCAGCCCGGACAACATGGTGAAACCCCATTCCTGCTAAATGCACGCGCACACACACACACACACACACACACAAACACACGAAAAATTAGCTGGGCATGGTGGCATATGCCTGTAATCCCAAAATCCCAACTACTTGGGAGGCTGAGACATGAGAACGGCTTGAAATCAGGAGGCAGAGCTTGCAATGAGCCAATATTTGGCCAATGCACTCCAGCCTGGGTCTTACTCTAGGGAGACTCTGTCTCAAAAAAAAAAAAGAAAAATAAATTCTGAATGTGATGTCTGTTACAGTCCACAGAGGTAAAAGATACAAGTAGCAGGGCTTGTGCCCAAGTTTTAGAGTGACTGTACCTATAGCCTACAGCCAGTAATCTCTGTCTTCTTTATTGTGAGATAATAAAGCCCTCATTATTTACATTCCTTTTAAAATAAAATCCCACAGTATTGTATTGTAATTGATGCAGATATAGCAGGTTATTAAACCACAGCTAGATTAATATTGTCATGAATCACAGGAAATTTTAGAGGTCATCTGTCTAATACAGTTCTACTTTACATCCCTACAGTGGCAAGATCCCAGTTAGAATGTGGAGTTGGCCTCTGTCCCTGTGCTATTTACTGGCTGGGGGCCCTGCACAAGTTATTTAATCTTGCTCAGTCTCACTTTCCTTACATATTAAAAGGAAATATAGTTTGTGGGAACTAAGTGAGATAATGTATCATGGCTGGCATAGAATAGGCACCAAATAAAAGCTAGCTATCATGGTTATTTCCAGATGAAAAAGGCATGGTTTTTGCCTTCAATAATATTACAATTAAGGAGTATGGAAAAGACAAACAGCCATGAAACGCAAAGTAAGACCTGATGAAAACAACTGAGTCAAATCATGGGGGTAAAGAGAACATGTGCTGTAAGAGTTCAGAGGTGAGAAAAGCTTTATTTATTTATTTATTTTTAGAGACAGAGTCTTGCTCTGTCACCCAGGCTGGAGTACAGTGGCACGATTATAGCTCACTGCAGCCTTGACCTCCTGGGCTCAAGGAATCCTCTTGAATAGCTAGGACTACAGGCATGTGCCACCATGCCCGACTAATTAATTTTTTTTTTTCTGTAGAGACAGGTCTTGCTATGTTGCCCCGGCTACTTGTGAATTCCTGGCCTCAAGCAATCCTTCCACCTTGGCCTCCCAAAGCTCTAGGATTATAGGTATGAGCCACTGTGCCCAGCCCAGAGGTGAGAAAAGCTTAATGAGCAAAAGGGCATTTGGGATTATGGCTGATTTTTATGATCTGAATTTTTCAAATTCCCTGCAAAAAATATCTATTGCCTATTTAATCACATAAAAGTTATTAAAATAATGTGCATTCCTCAATAAATAAAGGAAAGAAACAAATCTCCAAATGCCCATTGCAATGTTTCCCTTTGATAGTAGTGAACAACCTGGAAACATCCTAAATGTAGGAATTAAATAAATTGGGCCACATCCATGTGGCTGAATATGTTATACATATACATATGTATGACATATAATATGTCATACAGTTGTTAAACAGCTGGGAATTGTGTACCAATATGGAAAAATGAAAAGAATTGCTTTGTTAGTGGTTAGACGTTGGATGGTTATTGGCTTTCCATCTGAATTTCGAGTTTCCATGATTACTACAATATTGTTTGTGCAATAAAACATTTAATAAAATCAAAGAAAATAAGTGTGAAATTTGACCCGAACAATGGGGCCTTTTGTGTAACATTCTTTGCTCTGGTGGTTGCAGGGGTCTGCCTATTTCTCCACACCCTGGCAGGTCCACAGCACAGATCCTTTGTCACCCTTAAGAAGGTGTGTGTGGAAGGCATGCGGCCTTGGTTGGCCAGGGCTGAGGACACCATCCCCTTCCCCAGTGGGTGGTGGGGGCTGCTTTCAGTGCCTCCTTGTCTGGAAGGGATATTAAGGCAGGAGGCCTGGCTATGGCTTTTTGTTTTTGATATTCTCTTCATTAGATGTTCTATACTGTTTGTAAAATGGATGCTAAACCAGGAGAAAAACAGGTCTACCGTGTTTCCTTGATCATCTGTGAGGGGCTCCGGCACAGGTGCTAGGTAGACAGGTAAAACGCAGCCATTTTCCTCTCACCCTTTCAGGGAAACCCTGCCATGCTTTCCTCCTTAGGAGTTACTTTTGGCAGGCCCGGGTCCCAAAGTCTAAGGGCCTGTGTATTTACTTCCCCTGAAGAGACAAGGGCCTGTAGCCCTCTTTTGGGGTCAGCGTCTGACACTAAACAGAGTCACTCATGGCTGTGACTTCCAGGCAGTGGACACGAGCTCTTCGGACTGCCAAGGCTGGCTCCAGCCACCCAGTTCCGCTTTTCTCTGGGGCCATCTGTAACAGTGCGGGGGGACGTGGGGTGGTCCCTGGGTGTCGCGGCGCAGAGCCCGGTCAGATGCGTGCCATTAGTGGAGACAAGCTCTGCATGGAGCTGGTGGCCTAATGGGGACCACGCTCGCCCTAATGCGAAGCAGCCGCCGCACCGCGGCCGAGCCTCTTCCTACTGGGCATGAGAGCTGACGAGATAGAACGGAAGAGCCACGAAAGGCCCTTTGATTCCAATACGAAACAAATTATTACTCCCGGAATGGAACAAAATAAGCCAGAGAGGAATCTCAAGGCCACCCACCATTCCTCCCTGCGAGGCTGCCGCCGACGGCCCCGGGCCTGCCTATCCTGCGATCTTTGGCGGGGACACGGAGACACGGCACTGAGGGGCTCCGGGCGACTGGGGCGGGGAAGTCGGAGTTCCTGGCCAACGGCCCGCGGGGGCCTGGATCCTTTGTTTGTTGGGGCACCCCAAGGTCAGTGGTCCTCAAACTTGAGTGAGGGAGCCTCCGCATCTCGTGGAGAGCTTGTTACAGGGCGAATTCCTGGGCCCCACCTCCAGAGTTTTTGATTTTGCAGGTGGAGTGGAGGTTGAGAATTTGCATTTTTTCAGGGAATGCTGGTGCTATCGGTCCAGGGAAAACTCTCTGAGAACCAGCTAGTAAATATGGAGATGGAAGCAACTTGGCCTTGAGTCTCCCACTACCACTATCCTGGCATTCAGATGGCTAAGTCCCAGAGAGGTCTGCAGTGGGTAAACTATCTAATACAGCCCTCCCACCCCCCACCTACGAAGTCAACAAGTGATGCATGTGCCTAGCTTCTTTCATCCCCTTTGGAGCCTGTTTTTGATTGGTCACTCCTGTCCTATAGTGAACCAACCAAGTCCCACCCCAAAACTCAGGGACTGGAATTTCCCAGCACCCTGGGCAGGTAAATGGGCAGCTGCCAAAGGCCTGTGAGAAAAAACTGGTAACAGCTTCAGGACTCCAGGCAGCCTCTCTGGGGGATGCTTCTGCTCAAGTTGCCTAGCCTCTAGAGAAGGTTCCTGGCTCTCTGTCACTGGCCTGGGCCAGCAGTCATTCCTGGCAAGAGGAGTTTGGGGGTGAGGGGTAGGGAGTAGGGAGTAGGAAGGGGAGACTGGTGGCTGGGGGGACAGTGGCAACAATTCTTGTTGGGGTAACATCAGAATTCCTGCCTGGCTTCTTGGAAACCATTCAGGGATCTAAAAGCCTGAAAGTGTTTCTTTTTTTGTTTGTTTGTTTTTTAGAGACAAGGTCTTGCTGCTGCCCAGGCTGGAGTGCAGCGGCACAATCATAGCTCCGCAGCCTCATACTACTGGGCTCCATGGATCCTCCCAAGTAGTTGGGATTATAGGCATGAGCTACCAAGCCCGGCCAGTGCCTAATTTTTAAATTCTTTGTAGAGATGGTGGGGGGCGGGGAGGGGGTGGTCTCGTTATGTTGCCCAGGCTGGTCTCAAACTCCTGGCCTCAAGTTATCCTCCCGTTTCTGCCGCTCAAAATGCTGGGATAACAGGCATGAGCCACCGCACCCAGCCATGTGTTTTAGGTGCAGGATGTGTGGGATGAGGGCTTCCCTAGAGTAAACCATTTGTTTTCAAACTTGAGTTTGCATCCGGATCACCTGGAGGCCTTCGTAAGACAGACTGCTGGCTCCACCCTAGAGTTGCTGATTCAGTGGGGCTGAGGTGGGGTTGAGAGTTTGCATTTCTAACAAGGTCCTAGGTGCTGCTGATGATTTGGGTTCCACACTTTGAAAATCACAGCCCTAGACTTCATTTGGGATCTCCAAGCCCTCTCTATAGTTTCAAATGTCATGGTATCTGTCCCCAGCCCCACTCTCTGGACATCCTCCATCAGTCACTGGTCTTTGTGTTGATCACCTTTCTCCGCTTTTGAAAAGGCAGTTTGGTCTTGTCTTGTGCTGCCTGTGCTCTCTGGTTCTGGAAGCAGGAAACAGCTCTCAGGGTGATTCAGCCATGGGAAGAGCAGCATCCCTCATACCCCACCCTCATTCTTGCACCCAGCCAGGCAGGACAGCTCCCTTCTATTTGCTGCCATCCCTCACCCTCTATAATTGCTTGAGTCCTAGCCCTGGGTTAAGCTAAAAAGAATAGACAGCTGAGGAAAGATCCCTTTAATAGGCACCTTAGTATCCATGCAAGGCCAAGCCTAGAGGGGTTGCTGTTGCATTTCTCCCAGTGACAAGATCTCTGAAGTGATCCTTCTTTTTTTACCTTGTGCTTTGCACATCATAGCTATTTATGAACTATTTGTTGATTGACTAATTGCTTAGGGAAAACTATAAGGAAGGGAAACAAAGCAAAATAAAGATATTCTTCAAGGCTGCCATGCACTAGGACAAAGTTTTGTTTGTTTTTTTTGAGGAGTCTTGCTCTGTCACCCAGGCTGGAGTGCAGTGGTGCCATCTCGGCTCACTGCAACCTCCACCTCTTAGGCTCAAGCCATTCTCCTGCTTCAGCCTCCCAAGTAGCTGGGACTACAGGCATGCACCACCATGCCTGGCCATTTTTTTTTTTTTCATTTTTAGTAGAGACTAGGTTTCACCATGTTGACCAGGCTGGTATTGAACTCCTGACCTCAGATGATCTGTCTGCCTCAGTCTCCCAAAATGCTGGGATTATAGGCATGAGCCACTACACCTGGACTAGGACAAAGTTTTCATCAGTGTTTGCCAGCTTGACTGAAGGGGTAGAGTTTATCCTCTTTGGCCTCCAGAAAATGTGTCAGAAGCTCCTGGGTGGGAACCCTGAAGCACAGGCCTGTGGGCAGGGGCAAGCAAGATCAGTGTAATTCGGGTTTTTTTGGGGGGGCTTTGAGACTACCCTGGCAAGCTGGAGACCCTGGAAAAGAAGGGGCTGGTGGTCTATAGGGGCCTGAGGGTCAGCTGAGGCCATGCGGAGCCATCCTATGTTCTGGTGCCTCAGGATTTCCAGAAAGGCAAGTTTTTTACAAAAGGAACTTAACATAACATTTATGTCAAGAAGTTTAGAAAATGTCAAATGTGAATAATCATGGCATTTGAAATTTGGACTAGGGTATGTACAATTTAGATGAAAATAAGCCATGTGCAAACCATTAGATTTTAATAATTTTTCTCTTCATTGGATATTTTGAAGCTATATCTTTAGCAAATGGCTAAATTGGCTGTAGGTTCCCTATTTAGTTATTGCCATGGTTCTTTTTTTGTGGGGGACAGAGTCTCACTCTGTTGCCCAGGCTGGAGTGCAGTGGTGTGATCTCGGCTCACTACAACCTCTGCCCCCCGAGTTCAAGCAATTCTCCTGTCTCAGCCTTCTGAGTATCTGGGACTACAGACATGTGCCACCATGCCCGGCTAATGTTTGTATATTTAGTAGAGACAGGGTTTCACCATGTTGGCTAGGCTGGTCTCAAACTCCTGACCTCAGGTGATCTGCCTGCCTCAGCCTCCCAAAGTGCTGTGATTACAGGCATGAGCCACTGCTCCTGGCTGTGGTTCTTAACCTTAGCTGTACATTGGAATCACCAGCATTGCTTAAAAAAATAATCTCAATACCCTGGCTACACCCAAGACATGGAGGTAAGACACAATATTTTTTTTTTTTTTTTTTTTCGAGATGGAGTCTCCCTCTGTTGCCTAGGCTGGAGTGCAGTGGCGCGATCTCGGCTCACTGCAAGCTCTGCCTCCCGGGTTCATGCCATTCTCCTGCCTCAGCCTCCCAAGTAGCTGGGACTACAGGCGCCCACCACCACACTCGGCTAATTTTTTGTATTTTTAGTAGAGATGGGGTTTCATGGTGTTAGCCACGATGGTCTCGATCTCCTGACCTCGTGATCCACCTGCCTCGGCCTCCCAAAGTGCTGGGATTACAGGCGTGAGCCACCGCGCCCAGCCAAGGCACAATAGGTTTTTAAAGCCCCTGAGGCAATTTTGTAGTGCAGCTAGGATCAAAAATCCTTGAGCTATTGATTGAGTGGTTGGACAGGCTAGACTGAAACAAATGACTTCCTGGGGTGTCTGCTTAGCCTCTCATGAGTGCCATGACTGCCCTCTTCCCACAAGGAGCGACCATCAGAAGCTACCAGCAGACCCTCTTCCTCAGCTCCAGTTGACAGGACTGGGGTGTATCTCCAGGACAGTACCTGACCCAGGATACCAATCAGCTTTCTCACACAGGAAGATTGAATTGACACTCAGAAATTATAGCTGTCGCTGGAGCTCCTCTCTCAAATGGAGCAGAGGAGAGACCTGACCAGAGCAGCAGGAAAAGTTGGTTCTTGCCATCACCTCAGCTCCTGTTGCAGCATAGCCCTTCAGGGAGTCTGGCTACCACCCTGCCTGGGTCTCCAGGGGTCACTCATGAATCCTTATAAAAACACCCCCCACCCCAGCCACCCGTTTGGTTTAAAGCCAGCTCTAGTGGGTTTATGTTACTTGTGACCAAAGAGGCCTGCCGTGTGCACAGACAACAGCCCATCAAAAGCACATAAAAACAAATATGTATTCACTTCCCCCACCACAGTTACACCCAAGCTCTTTCTCATTCCATGTGGTCCCAACGGAAGACTGTTTGGAATCTGCATTTTCTGGAGGCCACCTGGAGAAACCTGTTTTCAATTCAATTGAGAACTGCAGTGATTCCCTAATGTGGCTCCACAGGCTTCTTCAGAATCACCTGGAGGAACTACAGATACACACAGATTGCCAAGCGCCATCTCCAGAGGCAGAAGCTGTTTAGTTTGAAGATGATCTTGAAATCTGTGTTTTAAAAACTTTTTTCCATGAAATTTTGATGTGCAGTTGATTCTACTGGGATCAGGCTGGTTGGGTTAATTTTTTAAAAAATTAAATTCCTCTTTAACTGCATCCTAGATGGAGGTGGTGTTGCTATCAACCTATCATTTCTGGGAGATGGATTTTGGAGGCATTTTGTCTGGGAGATGGATAAGGGCCTAGTCTGTGGATGAACTAAACAGAGCCCAGTGAGGTTCAGGCTCGTTGGAGTACATGTAAACATCAATCAGGCCAAAGGGACTTTTCCAGGTTGGCTGCTTGAGCTGGTCAAATGAACCAGATCATTTACTTTGCCTTCTGAGCTCTGTAGACACAACCAAAAGAATAAAAAAAGTGTGTGTGTGTGTGTGTGTGTGTGTGTGTGTGTGTGTGTAAGGCAGCAAATATACCTTTTACTCTAGAAACAAAAATATCATTTCTGACCCAACAATAGCCGGATCCTTGTGAATGAAGGGTTTGCATATTTTCCTGTTTTAACGGTTCTAGTATAAACAGCCCAAGCCCAGGCCTGATTGTCAGAAGGTCCTGAGCAGCCCAACCAGAATGCTGGAAATGACTCCTTCAGCCCTGAGGACCTGGATCCGGCTTAGTGCCAGGATTTGAGCTTGTGTTTAACAGTAGCAATGGGGTCAGAAGTTGAGGGAGAGGGCAATTGCAGTGGTCCCCAAGACCACAGCTAATGCCAGAACAACAGCAATAGCAGCTGCAGAGCCAAAAGAAGCAGTAGCTATGGTGTATTGATAATTTATCTGTACAGCCCTAGGCTAAGTGTGTCATTTGTTTGAATACTTACAAAAGCTTGATGTGGTAGGCATTATTATTCCAATTTTTAGAATGAGGTTCAGGGAAGTTGAGCAGCTTTTCTGAGGTCACACAGCTTTTAAGGGGAAGACCCAGGATTACATGAAGGCATGTTTGACTCCTAACCATTACAAGACACTGTACACAGTAGCCCAGGTCACAAACATCATCTTGTGTGCCAGTTGGGGATACAGGGCTTTGGTCCTAGAAGCAGGCTAGGACAGCTCTTCAGACACATTGCTGGTTCCTGCCATCTTTCAAGATGTCCCTCTCACCACCCCAGCTACACTGGTCTCCAGCAGAGGGAGATGGCTGGCAGCAGGGGCTAGAAGGCCCTCTTCTAGGTCAAGGCAGTCCCTAATATCTGGGTGGATTTTTTGTGTCCTGAGAATGGGACCATGACTCTCTTTGTTAGGCTAGCAAAAGACTCAACATTGGCCAGGCATAGTGGCTCATGTCTGTAATCCCAACACTTTGGTAGGCTGAGGTGGGTAGATCTCTTGAGGTTAGGAGTTTGAGACCAGCCTGGCCAACATAGTGAAACCTCGTCTCTACTAGAAACACAAAAATTAGCTAGGTGTAGTGGCGGGCGCCTGTAATCCCAGCTACCCGGGAGGATGAGGCAGGAGAATTGCTTGAACCTGGGAGGCAGAAGTTGCAGTGAGCTGAGCTGGTGCCACTGCACTCCAAGCTGGACGACAGAATGAGACTTCATCTCAAAACAAACAAGAAAAGAACAACAACAACAAAAAATTAAAAAGAAAGGCTCAACATTTATTGATCAACTACTGATTATATGATTATATATTAACTGATCCAGACGGATCCAGAGAGTGTGGCTTAAGGAGACTTTCCTGGGCCTAAAACAGATAATTGGTGCTGGTGTATAACAAAATTATGGTTCATCCAAAGGATGGATTATTAAGCAATAATTGAAAATCATTTTTCAAAGAATAAGATATGGAGAAAAACCCTATGGCGAAAGGTTTAAACAAGCAGGATACAAAACTGCAAATTTTATGTATATTTGTTAATTATGGAAATTAGGCTTATTTTAATTGAAATATATAAATAAAAGACTGGAAAGATGCCATCGAAATGTTAACCATGGTTACCTTGTGGGAGGAGGGATGGGATTATTGTCGCGTTGGTGTTTTTTGTGCATTTTAATGTTTTATTTTCCCAATTTTCTTCAGTTTCAATTATCTTTGTGAGGGGAAAAGTGAAAATGTTAAAGTCCTAATACATAGCACTGGAAATGCATAGATATGATGACTGAGTAATTTTTACCCCACCCTGTCTAGAATGGATGCAGCAGGCAGAAGTGTCTCTTCGCCTCACTGCCTAAAGTTTATTTCAAGGGCAAGAATGGGGGCCTCTGGAATCAGTTCTGTCTCGGCAGAACCTGAGCTAGGCCTGTGCCGTGCGGGTAGGGAGCAGCCCCTTCCGGTCGTCGAGGCGCTCTTAATTTGGTTGGAGAGACAAGTGCACTACAAGAAACAGAGGCAGCCAAGCGCCTGGGCCACCATCAAGTAAGGTTGAAAAGGGGAGGGCAGGTAGATCGGGACCCGTGGGCGCCAATCAATGCTATGGTGGCGGAGAGTAAAGGGGACGAACACAGCCTGGGGCCATCCCCGGAGTCCCCCAGCGTCCGCCTGTGGCCGTGCCTGGTTGGCCGCGGATCCCGGCGGGCGCCGCAAAGCGGCGGGATTGCCAGCGCAGAGCTCCGGCTCTCTGCCTTGTCCCTGGGTCCGAGCACCGGAGCCTCTGGTGTCTGCGGGGAGAAGTCTCGGATTGAGAAATACGGGAGGGTCTCGTCAGTGGCTGCAGGTGCGGCAGCCACTCTGGGGACCCAGTGAGAATGGGGTCGCCTGGCTCTGCGCGAACCCCTCACGTGGGTGCAGCTCCTGAGCCGCCGAGGGAGGCGGTGGTAATGTCGCCCAGTGCCAGCAGAGGGCAGCCTCGAGGCCGTGAGCCCGAACGGCGACCTCGCCAAACCGCGGGCTCCCTTCCAGCTCCCGGATTCTGCGGGGTAGAGGCGGCCTTGGAGCCCAGAGACCAGCGACCTCAGTCTGCAGGAGCCCGGCGCAGAGGCCCAAGGGCACCCCCGGGATGTGGTCAAGCTACAGCCCTTAGGCAGCCTCACTCTGCGACGGCAAGGGCTTAGAGGGTGGAGGGGGACCAGATGCCTTAGGAGGGGTTAGAAAGCCAACGCACACAGGGAATTTGTTTTCAAGCAACAGATTCCAAGCATGTGGAAACCTTTTAAATGATGCTGGTGAGAGCTATGATAGTTTTCGCATTCTTGGCGAGGGAAGTCGGAGGCTAGTAGCGGGATGGCTCCTGGGCGCGCGGGAGACAGAGGGACCAGCGATCCTTGCTGGGGGCAGAGGGACTGTGGACCAAGGATCCAGACACACTTAATTGGGGATTCCAGTCCCGACTGTGGCCACTCAACTGGCGTTGAACTTGAGCAACTCACTATACCGCTCTAGCCTCCGACTAATCACTTCTGTAAAATGGGCATTGTGGGCTCCGAGTCTCGTAAGGGCGCTAGGGATTCGAGACAGCAGGAATTTCCTCACTGCTCCAGCAACCCTGGGTTCCTGGGTTTGTAGGTGGGCTGAAAGGATCCTTTCATCGCACGTTTGCCTGGCGTGGCTGCTTTAGAGACCGAGGCCCGCCAGGCTTTGCAACCCAGTTGCGCGTGGTCAGCCATGGCCTTGGAACCGCCGGGATCGCCTCAGCGGCACTCCGGCCAGCTCCCGACTTCCCGCCCTGGGCACTAGGGTCACCCAGCTCCAGAAGATAGTGCTTATCAGCACAGGAATTGAGACCCCACACCCGGCGCAGTGGGTCTCCCAGGAAGCCTGGCGAAGAGCCAAGGCCCGCCGGACCTGAGGTCGCCTGGGGCGCTAAACAGACCCATCTATGAGCACATTCGGCCAACACACCCAAGTTCAACAGTGGGCGGGATCTTTGGCTGGCCTCGATCTCTCTCACAGTGTGTGCAAACGGGTACCCATTAGATTCTTTTTGCTTGTTTCCTCATCTGTAAACTTTGAAAGGAGAGTATTTCCCGGGGTGATTCTGAAAATCATGCCAGAACTGAAAAGGCCTGTGTAAATGCGAGGTGTAATGATGACTTATTAGAAGCAGCCAGCCCTGTACGTGCCTGTAGGATAGATGCTAGAACGTTCTACAAATGTGTGCACATACACATCACGTATGTGTGAAGGTGCACACCTGTCCCTAGACACTTGACAAATGCACACACGTATGCGTGTACCTCTGGCTGAGAGCAAAGGGGCTAATACAGGGCTCATACAGGACATCATCCTGCAGTCTTGTGCGTGCACAGTACACACGCGAGCACGACTGTCTGTGCCTGGAGACACCGTATGGCACCGGAGGAGCTGCTCAGCCGTCGGTGCCACCTGGGAAGTAGGGTTTCGGGTGCTGCTCTGGAGCGCGGGAAAGTCCGGATCCGGGTCTGCTGGTCAGCGCTTCGGCGCCGCCGGGCTCCTTTATCTCTCATCCGCCGGCCGGTGAGCGGCTCCAGTTTCAAGACCCCCGATCCTGCCGGTGAGGGGAGGGAGCGAGAAGGAGTGCGCTCCGGGCCCAAGAGGCTGCAGGGCCCCACTCCCCAGGTCTGTCGTCCTTCCTTTATCTCCTCAGGTCACACCCCCACTTAAAATAAAGAAGGGTGCCTGACTCATTCAGGTCAGGGAAGTCGGCCCCCGGGAGCCTCCTGCCCTCACAAGCCATGGTGAAGGGAGGCGAAGCCAGGGTTTGCCACGGCCTGGGAGAAAATGCGGCTGCAGGGTCTCTTTGGGCTGCAGCGCTGGCCCGGGGCCCCAAGACTGTTAAGGTGTGTGTGGGAGGCGCGCAGTGTGGCTACCGAAGAGCCCTCCATCACCGCACCGGCAGGCCGCCGGGCTCGTCCTCCTCTCATGCTTCCAAGGGTTCTGAGCTGCGCAGCACTCGCATCACCCAGAAGTGTCTGTGGAGAAAACGACCTCAGGTGTAAGCCCAAGGCTGCTGCCTGCAAAGGCAATGCCGTGGAGACTGGGTTCCACAGCGACCTGGGTTTTTAAGTCACCGAAAGCTACAGGGCAGGGTCACAAACACTCTCCCGCCTTCTCTGCAGAACCGTGCGGCTGACAGGAGAGCGTTGCGCAGAAAATTCGAGGCCGGGCGCTGGAGGAGTCTCCGCGGCCCGGAGAAGGCACAGAGGCGCCCCTGAGAGGCGCAGCTGGAACAGGCGATGCACGGGTTCGGATCTGGCCGGCCAACCGAGCCCAGCGGTCGCGAAAACCAGAGTCGCCACAGAGGTTGAGCACGATTCCATTTCTGGGGATCGGGTCCGGTGGGGAGCCACTGTCCCTAACGCCTCCAGAGACTTTAAGTAGGACAATATAATGCTGGTAGGAGCAAGGTGCAAGGAATTTAGCGGCAGAAGCCTTTCGGGGGGGTGGGGAAAGGCAGATCCGTGCCTCGTCTGAGCCTGGGGGTGGGGACAGCCCCTGGCCTTGTAGCCCCTGTTCCGGGGATCAGCTGGGCCCACCTAACCCCCCTACATGGGGTTGAAAGGGGCCAATGGGACGGCCCCGCCGCCCCTCCCTCGGGATTCCACAGGGCCCTGACCCGGCCTTTATCTCTGCACGGTCAGCAGTCGCGGGGGCTTCAGGAAGGAGGACAAAGGCCCGGTGTCACCGCGGGCGGGGGCTCGGTTTCCTGGCTCTCTGCTCACACTCACAGCCTTTAGCGGTTGTTGGGGGAAGATTTTTAAAAATATGTGTCGAATTTCCTTTTTTTCTCTTCTAGAAACAAACAAACAAAAAAGGCAAAAGGCGAATTCCCCTTCACTCCTCGTCCATAGAGATTAAAGTTTCCTGGGATCCTGCCCTTTTTTTTTCTTTGACTGCCTAGAAATACTTGTTCTCCCTTGTACATAGAGGAAAATGCGGGGAAAGGTTTTTTAAAACTCGGTTTCATACTATTATTATTACTAAGGACAACCGGGCAGGCTGAGGTCCCAACGTGGATGATCCGAGTTGGCCTCGCGCCGGGGCTCTGCAGCCACTGCCCTGTGCGCTCAGCACCTCTGGGGGCGATCAGGGCCCCTGCGCTTCCGCCCGCCGCCCGGCAGTCGAGAGCACCCTGTGCCCAGACTGGCCGACTCATTCTCCCCCGAATTTTGTTTAGAGCTGGCAAGGGGGACTTAGCTCGCGCCCCAAGACCTGGGCTTGCAGCGCCGCCAACAGGCCCGGGGACACGAGGCGCTCCAGGCCGGGGTCTTCCCGGCTGCTGGCCCCTCTCGCTCCCCACCCGCTGGCGGCGCCTCGGTCGCCCGCAATTGACCCAACCCGCTTCCTGCGTTTGCCCCTCAGGTTTCCCGTTTCTCCACAAAGGCCTAGGGGAGCCTCGCCCACAGGCTGACCCTGCAACCTCTGGCCCGGTGGCTACCTTCTGCTTTTCTGAAAAAGAAAAGGAAAAAAAAAAAAAAAAAGAAAAAATCAACCAGTCGAGGGAGGCGCGTGAGGACTGGAGGCGCCAGCCGGACAGCCTATGAGTAGGTCCCTGGGTCGGTGCCGCTTCGCGGGTCAGCACGGCCTTTCTCAGAGAAAACCTCCTAAACGTGTGAAGACCGCTTTGGGGGAAGCGAGAGGGAGGTTGGAGGAGCCCCGGGCGGGGTCTCAGCGCCCACCAGCTGTGCCTTCAGGGCTTGGGTGTTCGCTGCAACGGCAACCGCGTGAGCCTCACTCCCACGGCCAAGGGGCTAGGGCAGGGTGGATGCAATCGCGTGCGCCTGGCCCCGGAAGGTGCTCGCAGGGGGTGCCTGTGGCCAGCTGGGTTAGGAAGTCAAATCCTAGAAAGTTATTACTAAAGGTTTTTTTTCCCCCTTCCTTTCTTCTTTCCTTTTTTGCTTCCTTCCTTCCTTTTTTTTTTTTAATAGGGGAAGGGAAAAAACATTATTGAACATCTACTATAAACTGGGCACTTAAAAATTAGAAAATTTAATTATTTTAATAATTCTGATACACGCACGTATTTCTGTTTTATAGAGGAGAACACTGAAATTTGAATGGGTATTTTGCCCAAGGTTACATAGCTGTTAAAGAGGACACCAGGCTCCAACCCAGTTCTTCCTGACTAAACAGGCCAGGTCTTTGCCTCATGCTGCACAGGCCACCTCCGCGAAGTGACAAGATCCCAGAACATGCTTTTCACAGCTCAGCACCAAGCCTGTGCGGCAAACAGCCTGTGCAGCAGCAGTTTCTGTGGTACAGAAACAAACAAAAAAGGCAAAAGGCACAGCTCAGACTGTGCTTCCTTCTTCTCCTGGGAGGCTCTCCCTTACTACTCCTGGGAGGCTCTCCCTTACTACGCAGCTCCCTTGAGCATCAGTGGCAGCTAGGCTCAGCTGCTGTCAAGTCTCCTTTAAAAATTTCGGAGGCCATTTGCCTCACAGATACCTGGAAGACCTCTGGTTGGTCTCTTCTCTTCTTAGGACCTGAGATTCCTCAAATGTAATGTAATTTTGGGTTCCTAGACCCAAGACACTCTTTTTATGACAGCTGGGAGTCCTCTCTCCAGAAAGTGGAAAGTTGCTAAGACTGCTCGGTTTTAAGAATCCTTAATTCCTGGTTGTCCCGAAGGCATGGGGCTCTTAGTCCCATCCTTTCCCCATCTTTTCTATGGGTCCCACAGTCTACTCCAAGAAGTAGGGGCTGCCACACAGTGGTGGTAGGCCTGACGGGCAGGGCCCCAGGGTCACCACCAGGTTAGATCTGCAGAATGGGGACACTGCAGGGATGCTGAGCCTGATCAAGATGTTTCCTGGCCTTAGACCCCCACCCAGAAGCCAGGAGTCTGGTCCGGTGATCCTGTCCATGAAGCCTGGCCCAGACCTTCATAAAGGGAAGAGCTCAGTTGAGAGCAAACTATCTTGGGCCAGACTCAGATTCCTGGCCCATATTCTGCTTGTCTGGCTGCATGAAGCCTGGGTCTGGCCCCAATTTCCACCCGCCGCCAGGGGGCTCCTTGCAGCCCCATCTCCAGCCTTGGCTTCCAGGAAACCCTGGCAAAGGCTGGATGCACCTAACCTCGGATGAAAGGTCCAGGGCCTCTTGCTCATCTAAGCCTCAGATCTGGAGCAGTGAACTATTTACTGATGCAAGCTGGAAACAGGACGTCAATACCCTCTGGAGTAGGGTACAGGACCATCTCCAGAACTCCGTAGGTCCCTTTCCCACAGTCCCTTGGTGCATGTACTTCAATGGCGAAGATTTCTCCAGGTCCCTCTTGAGAACAGGACACCTCCCCCTGCTTTCTCCAAACCAACCCACTTACTCTGACTGGGCAATTTTAGTGAGGTGGAGGTGACTCTAAGAATTTCTGTGTAAATGTGAGGAGAGGGCTCATACTGTCAGCAGTGTGTGAGATGTTTACACCCACCACACACATAATCTTCATGCAAGAACGACTCATTACCCAGGACATTCAGAAATTGGCTGGGTATTTGTATTAAACTCTATTTACATTGTATTTACACACTGGCCAATATATATACACACACTCACATGGCCCAGCCATCTAGGCCAGACTGTATATGCTAAGGCATAATTGCTATATAACTCAAATACTTTTGCCCTCAGGAATTGCTTAAATCAGCTTCTATAATAGAAACTCAAAAGTGCGAAGAGGGAGAGAAGAGAAAGGAAATGAGAGATGAAGAAAGCCTGCCATTGAACTAAACTTTCGGCCCTGGGGAAAATGACCAAACTTAAGAGCTTTGGAGAAATCCCGAGGGCTGGAGTTAGACAGATTTTTCCTGTGGGCATCCATGGGGAAGTGGGGTATGATTTGGCTCCCTTCTCTCACCTCCTTCAATCCCTGTGTAGACCCAGGAAACCCTCACTGATTGCTTCATTTTGTCTTCCTTACTTGGTGAGGCTGCTGCTCTCTTCCCAGCCTTGGGTGCCTTTTGCCTTTCAGTTCTCGGGGAGGAGACAGGCTGGTCCTTCATTGCTGGCCCCGGCCAACTTCTCCGTCTCACTGGAGGTGGGCTGCTACCTGCCCACCAGGGCTTGGTCCTGGAAGCTTCCCTCCCTTGCTTTCTCTGCTTGAGACGGCAGTTGGGGGAGTGCTGACAGCCAGCTTCAGAACAGGGAGCCTCTGCCTGATGAAGCAAAGGCTCTGTCCATATTACTTTATTTTTCAGCAAGCCAGGAATACACACCCACAAATGCACACATCACCAATGAGGTATGAATGCCACACACACTGTGGTCCCAGTAAGCACTTCCTAAGTGTTAGCCATATGATTATTACAATGCCAAAAATATATGCCCACTCTGCAGGCGAATGACAGACACACACACCTCCCACCCTGTCACCAATACACAACTGACACTGTACACACACATTTGCAGCAGATACAGACTACACAATTACTTGCCCATGGGCTAAATTTTCACGCTAGACAAAGCACAAACAGACATGCACACAGCAGGCTGCTTTCTGTTCTGCAACTCCCCTTAGCCAGATAGTGGAGCAGCCGGGCACCAAAGGCACCCAGACACCAGGCCTGACCAGCCTCTAGGGCTTCCTGCTCCAGCTGAGCCTCCCTCTCCATCCTGCTCCTGCCGGTTCCTGGTAAGCTCCAGTCCCAGTCTTGAGGTGATGCCCCCTGAGAATCCCCGTGGCTTGGTCTCCTGCCTTGTAGCCTCTCGCAGGATGCCTGTGGGGGGCGGGGGGCATTCTGAGCAGAAGCCACTTGGGCCCAACTATACATAACAGGATACCACCCTGAGGTTCCTACCGCCTGACCACTGGAGGGCTGAAGTGAGAGGCCTGCAGGCTCATTCCCGTGGCGCAAAACCGCTCCTGGCCCACCAGCCGGCCTGGACCTGCCGCCACATTGCTGGCCAGGCCCCGAGATAGACGGGGGGGGGGCAGTGAGGGCTGGGTGCGGGGTCTAGTCTCAGCTGAGCAGCAGCCCGCAAGAACCGGCGGATCTATCCTATCAGAAGTCGGAAGTCATCTATCCCATCAGAAGAGTGAAAGCCGACCACCCCCTAATCCGCCTGGGAGAACCAGACTGCAACCAGGTCAAACGCCTGTGTGCCTGCGCGGAAGCATGGATCTTAATTCGTTATTTGGGGATCTCAGTAAAGGAAGAGAGAGAAAGAAAAAAGACTAAATTTCTGCAGCCGCGAAGTATGTTCAATCCTTACTGAAACCTCCAAATCTCCTACCCATATCTCAAGGTAAATGAATTCTGACTATTAAAAATAATAAAGCAGTCACTTCTCACATTTGTACAGAGGTTAGCAGTTTGCAGCGCATTTCCACAACCAGAATTTTATCTATTAATGTTTGGAACAAACTCTTGGCTGTTATAGTTGACTCAAAATCGAAAAGTTTGAGAACAATAATAAAAACACAGCCAGCCCATACACCTAGTACAACTGTGTATGAGGTAGAATACAAACTTGAATAGGTACAAAAATAAACCAAGTCCTACCTACAGTCGCGCCTTGTGAACGAACCACGGCAGAAAAAGTCTTTCTGCTGACGTTAAACAGCCGCAACGGGCCAGTGATGACACAGAAAACAAACAATCCCAGGAAAACAAAGCAGCAGCGACAGCCACAAACGCCTGCCACCCCGGTTGCTCTCAATCTTTGTTTAACTCATTCTGAAAAAGATAAAATTTTGCTGAAAATCTTCCTCTTTTAACTAGCTGCTGAACTAAGGAGCGACAGAAATAAAGAAGTCCGTGTTAAAAGAAGGAACACAAAATTTATTCGGGAATCGACAAGGCAAAAAAC
This sequence comes from Homo sapiens, assembly GCF_000001405.40. Classification (NCBI taxonomy): domain Eukaryota; kingdom Metazoa; phylum Chordata; class Mammalia; order Primates; family Hominidae; genus Homo; species Homo sapiens. The sequence continues at coordinate 138,944,273 of NC_000003.12, forward strand.
AAAAACAAAACAAAAAAACACAACAAAAGTGCTCTAGTTCTCTCTAGAAAATTTGGTCCCCCAAACAACAAGCTACAGTACAACCAGGTCTATGGTTTTCGGGCCGGGCCGGCTCCGGGCCACAAGACCGCCTAGGTCGGCCGCTGCCGGGTTTCACATTTCTCCTTCCCAAGGTGGGAGAAGCAGGAGGTTTGAAAAACAAAAAGCAGGGAGGACGAGCCGTCCCAGCAGCGTGGGCCAGGCAGGCAGTGATCTCCCTGCCTCCAGGACTTGCATCGAAAGATCCGGGGACATTTGTTTTTGATTTTTTTCTTCAGATAGGGAGAGGGTGAAACTTCCCCAATTGGTAGACGAAACCATCTTTTATTGGATATATTCTCCTAACTCTGAACACAGCTTTTTGAAGGCCCAACAAAAACTCTAACGCAAATCTTCCAGAAGAGAAGATGAGGAATACTAAAGCTTTTGATTTTCATATTTGGATTTAGCAAACTCCAAGGCCACAATACTTCCCCGGTTGCCCGGTGAATTTTTTTTCCTTTTTTTTTTTTTAAATACTCTCTTAAAAAGTTCCACCGATCTTTCAAACAAAACATTAGCCAGCCGCCGGGGCCCGGAGGTGCCCGAAGCGACGGGACTGATAGCGGAGGAAACGCAGCCTCCCTCCGCGCCCGCCCGCGGTGTAAACCGAGTACAGGCCGTGGAGCCAGGCTGCCCCGGCTCCCGCTGGGTCCCAACCCCCGCCCCGCCTAGTGGGCCCCGCGGCAAGCGGCTTCTGAACAGCTTCAAGAGGGTTCGCGGAGCAAACACACGTATTGGTCCGTCCCTTTCTCGGGCAGCGCGGTCCCGCCATCAGTCCTGTCCGGCGCGTCTAGCCATGGACTGCACGGCAGTCGGGCGGGGAACGCGGAGAGCGAGCGCACCGACCTGTGAGAGAAGGCCAAGAGGTCTGCGCTGCCGACGCCCGGTCGCACCTCCGCCCCGGGCCCTTTCCGCGGTGAATTTGGGCAGGAGACGCTGGGGCTCCGGAAAGAGACGAGCCCAGTAGAAAGCGCGCAGAGAGGCAGCTTCAGGCCAGGGGAGTGCAAGGTCACAGAGGTCAGGGAGGTGAGCACAGGAGGACATAAACTGAGGGGACAAAGAGGAGCGACAGGAGCTTAGGAAAGCGAAAAAGCACAGAGGGACCCTGGGCGCTGGCTCCAGAGGCGGGCCCAGAGGGTGTGAGGTCAGGCTGGCGGCGGCGTCGTCGGCTGCGACCGGGGCCGGCGTCGCGCGTCCCTGCATCCTCGCATCCGTCTGCACCGGCATGCGGTGGGCTCTCAGAGATCGAGGCGCGAATGCAGCGCGCCGGTCTTGCTGTCGTGGTCCCAGTAAGAGCAATGCATCATGGCGAGCTCGGGCTGCCGGGCACAAGCGAACTGCAGGCCCGGCGCACTGGTGGGCGCGGGCGCCGGGGGCGCGGCGGTGGCTGGGCTGGCAGGGCTGAGCTGGCCCGGCGGCGGCGCGGCGGCCCCGTGGTGCGGTGGGGCAGGCGGCGGTGCGGCGGCCGCGTGCAGATGGTGTGCGTGCGGATGCGGGTGGGGGTGCGGCGGAGGCGGGGGTGCGGCCGGCGGGCCTCCCAGGCCATTGTACGAGTTCACTACGCCGGGGGGCAGCGCCATGCTCTGCACGCGTGTGTACGGCCCGTACGAGGCGGCCGGGCCCGCCAGCCCCTTGACCACAGCGGCCGCGCCAGGGCTACCGGGGCCCGCGGCTGCAGCCGCAGCTGCTGCAGCCGCTGCGGCTGCCGCCATCTGGCAGGAGGCATAGGGCATGGGTGAGGGAGGCTGCGGTAGCGGCCACGAGTTGTTGAGGAAGCCAGACTGCAGGTACTTGGGGGGCGCCAGGTAGCCGTAGCCGTCGGCCCCGGCGCCCGCCACGCCGCACCCGCCTGCGGCGCCTCCGGCCCCGAAGAGCCCCTTGCCGGGCTGGAAGTGCGCGGGCGGCGGCCGGAAGGGCCTCTTCATGCGGCGGCGGCGCCGGTAGTTGCCCTTCTCGAACATGTCTTCGCAGGCCGGGTCCAGCGTCCAGTAGTTGCCCTTGCGCTCGCCGCCGCCCTCGCGCGGCACCTTGATGAAGCACTCGTTGAGGCTGAGGTTGTGGCGGATGCTATTTTGCCAGCCCTTCTTATTCTTCTCGTAGAACGGGAACTTCGCGATGATGTACTGGTAGATGCCGGACAGCGTGAGCCTCTTCTCCGCGCTCTCGCGGATCGCCATGGCGATGAGCGCCACGTACGAGTACGGGGGCTTCTGCGCCGGGTCCGGCTTCTCCGGGGCTGTCCCGCCGCCACCCCCACCGCCCTTGCCTGGGCTCGGCGGCGGCCCTTCTGGCTCCTTGACTGTGCGACCGGTCTCTGGGGCCAGCAGGGCCCCCGCCGCGTCCTCGGGCTCGGGGTAGCTGGCCATCATGACAAAGCCGGCGCGCCGCGGCCGGGCCGCCTCTGCTCTCCGCTCCAGGCGCTGGCGCGGCAAAGAGTTGGGGCGCACGAGTCCGCTTACGGCCAAGTCTCAAACTTCTGGAGACTGCGGATGCCGCCCGCGCTTGCTTGCTGGAGGCCTGTCGCTGCTCTCCCCTCTCCTTCCCCTTCCCCTAGGGAGCGGCCGGCGGGAGTGGAGCTCAGCCTCTGGCCATGGGGAGTCCGCCCAACAGAGAGGGGCTCCGGCCTCGCCGCCCCTCCCCGCTCAGGCCAGTCCCCGCCTTGGTGGGTTTTCTTTTCTGCGCTCTTCCCCTCCCCCCGCCCCCCGGTTTCCCGAAGCACGACCCGCGTCTCTGGCGGAGCTGCCTCCTGGAGTCCCTAGTGCGCCAGGAGCCTCGCTCTGTTCTGATTCGTATGGGCTCCACCGAGTTCCGCTTGCGTCAGGCGCCTTCGCCCCTATAGCGGGGCGGCCAGCCGCGCACGGGCGAGTTCATCTCCAAGTCACTTTTTGTAAACGCCCCGCACAGCCTGGACCGGCCTGCCCCCGCCCAGCGAGCCTCAGGGGCCCAGCCGACAGCCAGGCTCACGCGCCCTTGAAATCTGCCGGTACTCGCTCTGCGGGCTGGGCTGGGAGATGACGAGGACCCCGGTGGGGTCTGCCCGCACCCGGCCAAAGCCCAGGAAGCTCGGGCCCCAGCGAGGAAAGGCGCTCCAAGCCTCCTCGCGGCTTTCAGGTGAAAGAAAACGACTCCTTTGCTCTGCCGTTTGCTGCCGTCTTGAGGCTGAACTTCTAGCTCGGGGCTGGGGAGGGGCGAGACGGCGAGGGGGCTGGACGGGGTAGGGTGGGGAGAGCTGCTCTGAGGCTTTGGGAAAGTCAGCCCAGAAACGGGTGTGACTGTACGAAGAAGCCTCGGCCTGGCCTGTCCCTCGCGCTCTCAGAGTGACTGGGCTGGAATGGGGCAGGGGAGAGGATCTCTGGAAATAGTCGTCAGGGGCGCCGCCTGAATCACCTCTGCCTCTCCCTGCGTTACCAGTGGATCTAGGAACCAGGAATCCGTGTACTAATCCTACGGGGTTGGAGTGAAGGTTGGATGTGTGCTTTAACAGCACCAAGTAGATGCCCCTCAGCTATTGCACTAACACAGGCGGGGCTGTTGCCCGGGACTTTGCGGGACTGTGTATGTGTGTGCACAGGGGTCACATATGGAAGTCATGGAGAGGAGCTGTCCTTGAGATGGGTGAGATACCAGGTGCATGTGTGCTGCTCAGAAACACAGGTATGCACATGTACAAGGTGTGAGATTTGTATTTACGAGGTAAAACACACTTATACTGATAGTTATGTAATATGTTCATCAAGTATTAGAGTAAATGTAGCTGGTGGATATAGCATCTTCTCTTTTTCTCCTTTCTTACTTCTTTCCTTCCCCCCTTTCTTCCTTTCTTTCACAATTCTTCGATGCCTCTTTCCCTCCCAGTGTATGTATTTTGCCACAGACTGGGAAGACAAACATCAGGCTGAGGGAGGGACTTGTTCAAATCTCTCTCCTGATGAGACATTTGTTCTGATCTTTCTCCAAAGAATCAGGAGTTAGTTGTCACCTACCTTAAGCAGAATTCTGATGGGAATCCAATTATTTCAGCATGTACAGAGATTGTTTCAGGGAAAATCAGGTGTGCCTTTTAACAGTGTGCTCCTTAACAGTGCCTTTTAACTTGGCCTAAACAAAAAGTCTGCAGTCATAAAGTATGAGAGAGATGGCCAGTGTTTTGAATCCTCAAGCCCCAAACTCCTTGGTGCTGAGGAGGGGGGCAAGGCCACCTTATGGAGGAAGGTGGACTGAATGGATGTCATATAGCTGTGCATTAGTGATTGGCATGTCTGGAGTGGCTGACTCAATGCCTGTCACTGCCTCTTCCTCCCAGGCTGTTTAGACTCTGAGGGTTCTCCTGAAGCCCAAGGAGCCTTCAGCGGCCTGTGGTTCCAGCATCCACAGGCCATCTACAAGTGTTGTCTGCTGCTCACTCAGGCCTCTGATCTGCATTCTGAGATGAAAGGGAGGGAGGACAAGGGTGGTAGGGCTCTTTGGAATTCAGCATCTTGAAGATGACACCAGAGAGGTCAGCAGGGCAGCCCTTGCCTGGTCACAAGGATGAGAGGGAGCAAGGCTATCCCCAAAGTAGCTTGGTTTTTTTTATGGGCGGTCTCCCACTGCACCCAACAGACATGGGGGAAGCAGCACTTCCGCAGAATCCCTGCTGCTGCTTTCTGAGCAGGAGTGCAGATGTTTTTCTTCTTCCTTACCCCCATCCTTGCCCAAGCTTTGGGTGGGAGTGGTGAGTCCGGTTTGGGGCTGCTGCAGATTGGCCTCAGTGCCTATCCTCCCCCAGCCAGGGCCTGGGCAGGGGGAAAAACAGCTGGGTCTGGCCCCATCCTGGTGGGGGCTCCTCTCTCCTTTTCTCTCCTTTTTTTTTTTCTTGACCACCCAGGCTGGCTCTCTGCGTCTCTCTGTCTTTCTTTCTTCTTCTCACAGGCATTTCCGCTGCTCAGCCCTGCAGCAGCCAGGTGTAACAGCATTGTTGTGTGTGTCATCACTTCCCTGAATTCCACACTCGGCTCCCTTTTCAGCCTTTAAAGAGCCTGTGTGTGTATGCATGTGCGTGTGTGTGTGTGTGTGTGTGTGTGTAGGGGTTGGGGGCAAATGAAGGAGTTCCTCTGAAGGATTTTCAGAATAGAAAGGAGTTCTGCTCTGAAAATACTGATTTCTGACTGTCCCGTAGAGGAACAGAATCCCCAGCCCTGGTGAAGAAGAGGATGCCTGATGCGTGCACCCTGGGAAGGGCTGGAATCGGTCTCCCCAAGATGTGCCTTCACATGGCTGTCCGGCATTCGAAGGCTCAGAAAACAGGCAAGAAAATGCGGGCGGGAAAGCTGGCAGAATGATTACTTTCAGGTCCCCTCCAGGCTTCTGCGGAAAAGCCAGGGGCTTCGGGCTGGAGATAGAGGAATCTAGGGAGAGAACAGAATCCTCTCCTTGCCGGCCCAGCCAGAGGTGGGTGAACCGGGCGCTCCAGGAAACGGTGCGGGGCGCCCTGATTTACTTCTCAACCTTCGGAGGTAGGCTGGTTGCTGGCGAGGTCGGGATCCTCTCTGAACAGGGCATACTGTGCCTAGGTTTTGTGGACGCCAGGGCCGGTTCCTTTTCTCCCCGCGGCATTGGGGCGACGCAGGGCCCCCGGCTTAGTGACCTTGGGGCGGCGCTCACCTCCAAAGGCCAGGGTGGTGGGCTGGGCAGAACTCACTGCCTCTTTGCCCCAGTTTTCCAGGGTCCCGCAGCTGCAATTCAGCAGCCACCGGCGCCTCCTGACCGTGGTCCCACCGTAGCGCCGCCTGCGGATACGGTTCCAGTGAACCGCCGATTGAGCGCAGTCTCAGCTCCCGCGCCTCCTCGCAGCCTGGCCCCGCGCCTCGGAGGTCCCGACAGCCGGCGCGAGCAATCTACACGGCTCTGATACAGACGCTTTTCTCCCCAGGGCCGGGAATCCTGCAACAGCGGCAGAAGCCGCCCGCGCCTCGGGCTTCCGGCGGCCCAGCTCTACTAGGGAAGCGTCGCGGCTGCTCTGAGGCAGGCAGCGCTTCGCTAGAACCACTCAGCTCGTCCCGCGCCGCCGCCGGCTGCCTGAACCAGGTTCCGCTGTCCCCTTTCCTAGCGGGACCCCGAAACACCCGGCGGCTTCCCGCTCCTGAGCGGGAGAGAATAGAGCTTGCTGCAACCCTCTGCTTGGAGGGATGGCCTCTGCGGTGCTTGGCTAGCAAAGGGAAGCTTCACTGTGTCTATTAGTACATCCCCATACACTCCACGCCTCAACAACTGTCAGCACTCACTCCCTCCCGGCCCCTCACAGGGCCCTTTGCACCCACACCTCAGGGACTCGGTGTCCCTCCACTCAGGTCACGTTACTCCATCCACTTCTCTCTCCTTCTCCCTCTGTCAACTCCAAATCCCCTCTAGTTCTCCCTCCCCTCCTACTTCTCTCACACTCACCAGCTACACGTACTAATTCAGATTTTGCACATGTTGGTGGAAAACATGTCAAGCCAATGTGCAGACCCTAAGGCTTTTCACACGCTGCTCACTTTCGCATCTCACGGTGCAGAAGGACCAATGGGCTCCAGGTTTACAAGCCTGACTCCGAGAAGCCTGTTGATTCTCTGATGTCCTTGGCCTGTGATTCGGGTGACTGGGCTGCCACCTGGGTGTTTTCATGATGGGACTGCCGCACAGACCACAGAGAAGCTCAGGTACTGAGCACGTTCCAGATACACTTTAACATGCACAGGCCACTCACACAGGCTTTATCTCTGTCTCGAAACTCTGCTGAGTTTGCTGCTCAGACCAACAAGGTGCAGCAGCAGACACCCACATAGCACCAGGTCTGAAGCCAGTGGGTATTAGTCTGCCTGGTTGGGATTAGCAAAGTCAGTTACTCACATATGTGCTTGGGAGAGAATAGGGGAGTGGAGAGAGAGAGAGAGATATTGAGGAAGAGGAAAGAGAAGCGACCTCCTACTCTGGGAAGAACTCACACATGAGAGCTGTTTCCTGTTGTTAAGTGTCTCACTGAGCTCCCCTCTTTCTCCCCCAGGAAGGGCTTGAGAGGCAGTAGACCAGAGCTCTGGGCTCCTCTTTACCTTGCTGATGTTGGGGTATGAGTCCTCCAACACCATTTTGTCCCAAGGAGTATGTGCCCCATCGTCAATCAGGCAGAATGCAGGGCAGTTGTCGGCCTTTTTCATGGTGGAGGCCAACTGGGAAAAAGGCAGAAGGGTCTGGGTCCTGGGCCAAGTGAGGCCCTCTTCCCTCCAAAGACCCGTGGGATGCTCTCAGAGGCGGATTCTAGGGTGGTGGGAGCTGCTGACAAGTTTCCTCTGATATCCCTCATGACATCTATGGCCCAAAGCCATTTTGTTCAGCTCTGAACAGTGAGTGCCTTGCCAGTAGGCCTCAGGCTTGCTGGGGAACATGATGTGTTCTTAAAAGTTGCCTTGTTGCCTTTCTCCACACCCAGACTGTAAGCGCTGATGGGCAGAGACTCTGCCCTCCACTTCTCACTCAGTGCTCCCCACCAGGATGGGCTTAATGCCTTTTAATAGAATTAGAAAATGGTTCTGCTGGACAGAATTGGGAAATGCCACTTTCCTTATAATGAAGTTATAATGAAGTTAGAATTTCCAAGAAAGGGACTGTAGCTGAGGAAAAGCGGTTTGATCATTGACAGCCAGCTCAGGATCTGAGAGTTCTTTGCCATTTGGGGTTATTATAGCTGCATGGCCATGGTGCTGAACCTTAGGCAAGGGCAAGGACACCTCCCTAGTTCCCAGTCATGGTGAGGACCTGTCTGAAACATTCAAACTAGACTTTACTGGAAACAGAGAAGTCTCTGCATTCAGGGCAGCTGGCTTGCAAGGTAAGGCCTGCAGTCTCCACCCGCACGCTAACCCATGAGGGGATGCCAGAGAGAGCCCTTCCCCCTTGGTCCTCATTCCTGGCTCAATTTTCTCCCACAAAGCGGGCACTTTCTAAAGATGATAGGCAACTGCCATGGAGGAAGGCAGTTTTAGATGCCTAGCTGGCACAAAGTCCAGAGGAAGGGAGGGAGAAGGGCTGAGTTTTGTATTACTGTTCTACCTTTGGAGATTTTCCTCATGCCAAGATAGGGTGTGTGTGTGTGTGTGTGTGTATGTGTGTGTGTATGTGTGCACTATAACTTTATGAAACACTTTTTTTTTTTTTGAGACAGGGTCTCACTCTGTTGCCCAAGCTGGAGTGCAGTGGTGCAATCTTGGCTTACCGCAGTCTCCACCTCCCAGGCTCAAGTGATCCTCCCATCTCAGCCTCAGCCTCCCAAGTAGCTGGGACTATGGGTGTGAGCCAACACACTCAGCTAATTTTTTTTTTTTTTTTTTGGTATTTTTGGTAGAGACAGGGTTTTACCATGTGGGCCCAACTGGTCTTGAGCTCCTGAGCTCAGGGTGATTTGCCTGCTTCAACTTCCCAAAGTGTTGGGATTACAGGTGTGAGCCACCATGCCCAGTCAGTTTTTTATTTTTTATTTAAACAGTTTTGGGGGAACAGGTGGTTTTTGCTTACATGGATAAGTTCTTTAATGGTAATTTCTGAGATTTTGGTGCACTTGTCACCCGAGCATTGTACACGGTACCCAGTGTGTAATCTTTTATCCCTCATCCCCCTCCTACGCTTCCCCCCCCGAGTCCCCATTATATAATTCTTTTTTTCTTCTTTTTGAGACAGAGTCTCACTCTGTTGCCCAGGCTGGAGTGCAGTGGCATGAACTTGGCTTACTGCAGCCTCCTGAGTTCAAGTGATTCTCCTGCCTGAACCTCCTGTGTAGCTGGGACTACAGGCATGCACCACCATGCCCAGCTAATTTTTGTATTTTTTGTAGAGATGGGGTTTCACCATGTTGGCCAGGCTAGTCTTGAACTCCTAACCTCAAGTGATCTGCCTATTTTGGCCTCCCAAAGTGTTGGGATTACAGGCGTGCGCCACTGCGCCTGGTCCATTATGTCATTCTTATGCCTTTGCATCTTCATAGCTTAGCTCCCACTTATAAATGAAAACACAGGATATTTGGTTTTCCATACTTGAGTTACTTCACTTAGTATAATGGTCTCCAGCTCCATCCAGGTTGCTGTGAATGCCATTATTTTGTTCCTTTTTATGGCTGAGTAGTATTCCATGGTGTATATATATCACATTTTCTTTATCCACTCATTGGTTGATGGGCATTTAGCCTTGTTCCATATTTTTGTATGCAGTATAACTTACAGATGGTAAACAATATACAGCTTGATGTATTCTGACATGTAATGCAGTATGTAACCACCACCTGGATCAAGATATGGAGCATTTCTGGCACTTCAGAAGGTTCCTTCATATCTTTTTCCAATCAATATTGCCTCAAAAGGGAAACCATATTTGGATTTCTATCACCATAAATAACCTTTGCCTGCCTTGAGCCTCGTATAAATGGAGCATATAGCATGTATGCCTTTATGTCTAGTTTTTTCTGTGCAACATATTTTTAATATTCACTGGTCTTGTTGCATGTGTCAGACATTTATTTCTTTTTATTGCTGTGTAATATTCTAGTATTTGCTTATCCATCCATATGTTGAGGGACATTTGTTTCCAGTTTTTGGATATCATAAATAAAGCTGCTGTGCACATTGTTGTACATGTCTTTTTGTGAAGGGTATTTTACTACTCTTGAGTGAACTGTAGGAGTAGGCATATATTTAGTTTCAATAGATTCAGTCAAACAGTTTCCAAAGTGATAAAACCAAATACAGTGATATACAGATAGACAGACATACTTTAACAGGGCCTTTCCCTTATAGATAGCATTCTCTAAAAACCACTATTTAGCTGCACTTGTTATTACTGTTGTTATAAATGGAAAAAACAGCTTTTTTGTTTTTTGGTTTTTGTTGCACAAGGTCTCACTCTGTCACCCAGGCTGGAGTGCAGTGGCGTGATCGTGGCTCACTGCAGCCTTGACCTCCTGGGCTCCGCCTCCTGAATAGCTGGGACTACAGGTGCTCACTGCCGTACCCAACTAATTTATGTATTTTTTGTAGAGATAGGGTTTCGCTGTGTTGCCCAGGCTGGTCTCGAACTCCTGGGTTCAGACAGTCCTCCCATCTCAGCCTCCCAAAATACTGGGATTACAGGCATGAGCTACCACACCTGGCCAAAAAAATAGCCATCCTTTATTAAGCAGTTATTTTGTGCCAGGAACATTACATGCATTATCTCATTTCATTTTTATGAGAAACCTAAGGGATTGGTACTATTCCCATTTTACACTTGAGGAACCTGAGGCTCAGAGAGGGTGAGTAACTTGCCAAAGGCCCCTGGCTGATAAGTGACCACTTGACTGTGGGCTCTGAATTTCACTTCCGTACATGTACCTCTGTTTGTTCCCGTGAGGTCAGGAAGTTCTCCCTTCCATCTGAGCAAATCTAGCTGCCGGGTAAGAGACTCATTTCCTATCAACCTGTAGTCCTCTCTGCATACCTTCTCACACCTAGATTTGAGATCTGTGTACACACCCATATGCACACAGTTTCTCTCCCACAGCCACGCACACTCACTGTGAAGAAGAAGAGGATGGGGGCCAATTTAGTGAAGACTTCAGAGCTTGCCAAGTCCCGGGCTCAGCAACCTAATGGGATCCCTCTCGGAATTTGCAGAAGATTGGACTAAGATTGGACTAGGGACCAGCCTGTTTCTGGATGCTACAGAGGATAATTCAGAGGCTTTCCTTCCCTGGAAAGAGATGGGAATTTGGTCCTCCTCCCAGCATGCTGAGCCAAGCCCATGGTGGGCTTCAGAGGCTGATGCCTAGGGCATCCCTCTGCAAGGTTTGTCGACAGATGTTGCAGTTTGCCTTGGAAGGTGGTGAGTGGGGAGGATGAGTGTGGTCTGAGCAGGGAGAGAGCAGGAAGTCTGGGGAACTGCCCCTCTAGGCACAGTGCTTGACTAGGCCCTGCATGGAGTGGGCACTGCAGGAGGGAGAACCAGCAGCCTCCTCCTCGGGGCCATAGGTTACCAAATTTCCAAGTCTCCAAGCCCCTAAGCTTGACTGAGAGGAGTGTTGCTACTCTGTGGGTAGAGGCCATATGTGGGTTTTCTATGCTTTGCAGGTGGCCCCTCCTCAGGCCCCTTTCTAGACTAATTGAGGTCTTGCTGGGCTCTGGGTTTGTAATTGGGGGTAATTGCTGACAGGCTGTTGGGGTGGTACAAGCAGGTTTTTGTTGGGGAAGCAGTAGTCAGGATTTGGGGGCTTTGGGTGGGGACAGTCCAGGATCCCGATGTTCCCTATTCCAGGAAGCTCTTGTCCCTGGCCGTTTGCTTGGAGGCAGTACTCCTGAGGACCAGGGACTCATAGCATATCTGAACAGGAAGGGACCTCCTCGTGCAGGTGCTGGGAACTCAGATCCAGAGGCACACGGAAGGAGGTAGTGCAGCTGCAGCAGAGGTCCTGATGCCTGGCACTGTCATCTATGCACACCGCTGACAGGCTGAGAGGCACTGCCGTTGGGTGGCTAACAGACCTCTGTTCCAATTCCTACTGATATCAGCCTTGGAAATGATGGACGCTCGCCTTGCTTCAGAGTTTTAAATTTTTTAAAATCATTTTTTGAGTAGGCAATGTATTCACATGGACCAAAATTTAAAAATATAGAAGGCTTGCAGTGAAAAGTTTCTCTCCCACTTCTGTCCCCCAAGTCACCCTTCTCACAGGCAGCCAGTGACCCTGGTTTCACATATATCCTTCCAGACATAGTTTATGCACATACAAGCATACCCACATACATTCTTCTGCACTCCCTCAATTTTTGCCTATGGCAGCATTGAATGCACAGTGTTCTGCACCTTAGATCTTTCCACATCAATGCATTCTCTTTTTAGAGCTGCATGCTATCTATGTTGTTTCTGATCCTTTGCTTTTACAAGCAATACAGTACTGTATAAACTTGCATATATCTCATTTTGTAGGTATGTATATATATATTTATAAAAAGATTTCTGAAAGTGTAAGATTGGGTAATGGATATATGCACCTATAACTTTGATAGATTATGCCAAATTCCTTATAGATTGAGCCAGAATACACTCTTGCCAACAGTGTGTGGCATTCCTGTTTCCTCATAGCCACACTAACACAAATCTTTTTTTTTTTTTTTTTTGAGATGGAGTCTCACTCTGTCACCAAGCTGGAGTGTAGTGGTGCGATCTTGGCTCACTACAACCTCTGACTCCCTAGTTCAAATGATTCTCCTGCCTCAGCTTCCCGAGTAGCTGGGATTACAGCCACATGCCACCATACCCAGCTAATTTTTTTTTTTTTTTTGAGACGGAGTCTCGGTCTGTGGCCCAGGCTGAAGTTCAATCTCGGCTCACTGGAAGCTCCGCCTCTCAGGTTCACGCCATTCTCCTGCCTCAGCCTCCCGAGTAGCTGGGACTACAGGCGCCCACCACCAGCCCGGCTAATTTTTTGTATTTTTTTAGTAGAGACGGGGTTTCACCATGTTAGCCAGGATGGTCTTGATCTCCTGACCTCATGATCCGCCCACCTCAGCCTCCCAAAGTGCTGGGATTACAGGCATGAGCCAGTGCGCTTGGCTGACTTACAATGCACTCCAGCCTGGGCGACAGAGCGAGACTCCATCTCAAAAAAAAAAAAAAAAAAGAAAGAAAGAAATCTTACAGATATAATTGAGGACCCTGGCTTCTTCGATTCCTCTCTGTCCTTTTCCCTCTTGAGGTGATCACCATGGTAAATTTGGTGCTTAAGATTCCCATACCTGTTTTTGCACTTGTACTATGTGTGTGTACCCATTCTTAGGCAATACTTCATATAGTTTTGTATTTCCTAACTTTATATAAATGGTATCCTGCTGTTGCAGAAAGACACGTGCTTGCTTTTTCATTCAACCTATGTTTGTGAAAAAGTTCCTGGTTGCCACACAAACACAAGCTCCATTCATTTTCCCTGTGTTGCACCATTCCATTGTATGAATACATCGTGGTTTATTTATCCATGTTCCTGTTAAGAGACATCGGGTTATTTCCTATTCTTTACTATTACCAATAGTCTTGCTATGGATATTCTTAGGCATGTCTGCTAGTGCTCATGTGCTACAGTTTACCAAGAAGTGGGGCCGCTGGATGAAAGGTCACAGGGATTTTCAACTTCACCAGTTACTGTTGAGCAGAGCCTCATCTTCTACATCTGTGAAAAAGAGAGTGATGCCTATACCTCAGGGAGTCCATGCCCATAAGTGGGATGGTGGAGTGGGAACAAAGGTGGGCTCAGGTTTCAGCAGGTCTCAACTTAAATCCTGGCTCTGTGATTTATTTGCTATGTGACTTTGGGCCCAATATCCAGCCTTTCTTTGCCTCATTTCCCTCATCTGCAAAATGGTGATGATAGTATCTATGTTGCAGGGTTCCTGAGAGATAAATGAGATATTGTATGAAAAGATTTAGTATAGGGTCTGGGACAGAGGAAACACAAAAAGACCCTAACAATGATTAGTAATGTATTCATAGTATTAATATTATGAATATGTTAATTTGTTCTTATTAACATTGTTATATTGTACCTTTGATCTCTTTTTAACCTGTTATTGTGGCACATTTTGAACTTACAAAATGGGAGAGAGAATAGTACACTGAACCCCCATCCACTTCCTTCTATAGCCCCATCCATTTCCTCACCCCTCCCCCACTGGATTATTTTGAAGCCAGGCACAGACATCATATCTATTACTTCATTTGTAAATAGTTTACATTCCTAAAATATAAATACTTAAAAAAACCCCAAAACTACTGTAGCTATCATATTATCATCATACCTAAAAACAGAGTGATTTTTTAGTGTAGTGAATCCTCAGCTCATGGTATTCAATGCTCACATTTTCTCAACTGTCTCAAAGAGATTTTACAGTTGGTTTGCTTGAATCAATATGCAAACAAGATCTATACTATACACGACATTTGGTTAATATGTCTCGTGTCACTTTTAATCTATAGATATCTCTCATTGTTTTCTTTTTTTCCTTCTTGCAATATATCTTTTAAAGACACTGGGCCACTTGTCCTATAGAGTTTCTCACAACCTGGATTTTGCTGACCGCATCCCTGTGACATCCTTTAACATGCTCCTCTGTCCTCTTTATTTCCTGTACATTGGTAGATCTAGAAGCTTGGTTAGATTCAAGTTTGCTGTTCTGGCAAGAACACTTCCTAGATAGTGTTGTGTAGTTCCATCAGAACACTAGTGCCTGGGTTGTTTGTATTTTGATTTTTAACAGTCATTGATGATCACCACCTAGAGCCATTATTCATTAGGGTTTGCAAAACAGTGATATTTTAATTCTAGCATTCCATCTTCAGGAATTAACAAAACTCTTCCATAAAGGAAAATTTTTCCTTATCAACCATTTGATTGCCCTTAGGTCGGGCCCATGAAGGACAGGCAGGATGAATGATGGATTCTTCTTATATCTGATGATAATGATGATGGAACTCCAGGGGTCATTTAGGAAATAGCTGAATTTGTGGGCTCTTAAACGATATTAGGCAATGTCTTCCACCCAGAAGAAGAAAAGAAGAAAAGAAAGAATGAATGACAAAGCACCAACTCCCCACCACGTCATTTGTTTCTTCATACATTTGTTGAACCCCTTTTCTGTGCAATGACTGTTATGGGTGGGGAAGTAGAGCGGAGCAATGCATGATTTCTGCCCACAGGAAGCCCCAGGTGACAGGTACAAGCCTCTCCACAACTCTCTCAGCCCAAGGCACAGGTGCTACAGGAGGGAAGAGGAAGAAAGGAGGGATTTCAAGCTGGGCAATATGGGAAGGCCTTGTTGGTAAGGGCCAAGTCTCCTAGGAGAGGCCACAGTAGGGCTGAGCTGGCCACCATGCCATTGCAGGTGCTGGGGACCAGAGGATAGACTGTCATTGCTTTAATCAAGGGAAAATTTCAGCTGCTTACCTGACAGGTGCCCAGGTATGTGCCAAGTGCTCTGGCAAGCATAAGAAAAAATATAGGGTAGTTTCTGCCCTTGAAGAGTTTTCTTTAGTCTGGTTTGGAAGAAAACACACATATGGCCCACAGAGATCATTAAGCATTGGCTGTAATTTAACAAATATTCCTTAAGTGTTTACTGTAGCCAGAAGCAGGGCTCTGAAGGGGAGTTGGGCCTGGCCCCTACCCTCAGCAGGCCATTTGGTCATCTCAGCATATCCACGTTCTGGGTGCTCTGTCCCTGCACACCCCTCTTTTCACACTGAACCAGGTGCAGCCTTGGCCATGTGGGCCTTCAGGTTGCCCCACTGGGCATGGTGAAGGGGAGTTGCCCATTAGTGTCTTCTCAGCTGCTTGCTGTGCATCCTTCAAGTCTGCTCAAGGGTCGCCTCCTCTTAGAGGACTTGGAGGTCTTCTTGGCCCAATCCTATATATCAGTAGGCTGGGCTTGGTGTTTGAGCTCCTATGGCACCTTGTCTGTGCTTGCTTTTTTTTTTTTTTTTGAGACAGAGTCTAGCTCTCTTGCCCAGGCTGGAGTGCAGTGGCATGATCTCGGCTCACTGCAACCTCCCCCTCCCGGGTTCAAGCGATTCTCCTGCTTCAGCCTCTTGAGTAGCTGGGATTACAGGTGCCGGCCACCACACCCAGCTAATTTTGTGCTTGCTTTTATCTCAGCAGATATTACTTTATGCTGTAATTTATTTGTTAATTTGTCTATCTCCCGCCACTAGACAGAACTCCCTGAGAGCAGGGCTGTGTTCTGATTCATTTTGGTTTAAGTAGTGCCTGGTGTGTAATACCTCTGACAGAAAATGTTTGTTGAGCGAATGCCGGGGACTTCTCATTTAGAGCTTCTTTCTTTTAGATCAAGATTTAGTCTGGTAAGGGATTAGATATGCAATTATTATTAGTTATTGTGGAAACTTGGGGTGGGGAAGAATCTAGGACAAATGTTAGGGGTCCTCGTATGTGTTCATGGATAGTGAGGCAGTAGCATGAAGAGGCGGGAAATTCAGGATGGGAGAGGGCTGCAGGACAAAGACTGCGGGCAGTCCGGCCGGGTTCCTGGGTGGAGGAAGGAAGGCACGTTTCCCGGTGTTGTTCCAGGCCTGACGGGTGTTCAGGGTGTAGGACTCAGGGTGTAGGACGAGCGTGGCGCGTCCCTCCGGACCGGAAGCGGGGCTCACCCCAGCGACGGGGGGCTTCCTCACTTTCGTACCGCGCTCCTTCCCCGCAGAGGCCCGCCGGAAGCGGCAGCCGGCGATGGGGACCAGGGCCCGGGACAGGCGGGTGATGTCTTTCCTGGAGGCAGCGATGCAGGAAGCCCGCGGGGAGCCCCGGCTTCGCCGCTCGGGGTTCAGGTGCACGGGCACAGACGCGCAAGCCCAGAGCAGCTCCTGAGAGCTGGGGTCCTGCACACTGGTCACCTCGCCTTCCTCCTGTCTTCCTGATGCCCGATGGCTCTCCCACGCTGCAAGCTCCCATTGTCACTTTCAGCCAAGTCCTGGCCAAGTCCAGTAAAACCAAATGTTTTACTGATATTTCTCCATTTTTCCTGCCTGGAAGGGGACTTCTTTTTCTTTTTTCTTTTTTGAGACAGGGTCTCCCTCTGTTGCCCAGGCTGGCGTGCAGTTGTGTGATCATGGCTCACCGCAGCCTTGGCCTCCTGGGCTCAGGTGATCCTCTGACCCCAGCCTCAGCTTCCGGGATAGTTGAGACTACAGGCATGCACCATTACACCTGGCTAATTTTTTGTATTTTTTTTGTAGAGACTGGGTTTTGCCATGTTGCTCAGGCTGGTCGCGAACTCCTAGGCTCAAGGGATCCACCCACTTTGGCCCCCCAACATGCCTGGGAGGGGATTTCTGTTAGGATCCCACTAGATTTTTTTTTTTTTTTTTTTTTTTTTTTTTTTTTTTTAGCTCTGAGGGCTTTGTAGCAGGATGCTTGCAAACTTTAAACTATATCTGCCTTCTGGGAGGAGGAAGCTTCTACAACGTAAGTGGGTTTACTTGAGATTGACTATCTCCCAAGGACTGCCTTTAGCGCCACCCCCTGGTTGGTAGAAGTTGTCATTCATGCATTTGAGTGAACGTGTGTATCCAGGGCACCTCCTCTTTATACGCCCCGTGCTGGGCGTGAGGATTTGGAGAAGGGGAAGGTCTTGTTCTTGCCCTTGGGGAGGTACAGTTTAGTGGGGAGTTGGATAAGTAAACAGACAAAAGCAGTTTACTTTGATAAATACTGTGATGGGGGAAGGTTGAGGCTGTGGAAACATGGGAAGTCTTCCTGGAGGAGGTGATACTGGGGCTGCGTCCTGAGGGATGCGTAGGAGCCAAAGAAGGTGTGGGGAAGGCATTCCAGTAAGAGGAAGCATGTGTGTGAAGGCCCAGACCTGAGGTTCCTTCCCTCACAGGGAGAGCACCTGTGGCTGGGGTTGGCAGTACCCAGTGTAGGAGAGGTGTGTCAGGCAGCGGGTCATGAGCTCGGACAGGCTGACAAGGTCTATATCACTGAGGGCCTAGGGTGCCTCCTTGAGGGGCTTGGACTTTACCTTGAGAACATGAGGGGTGTAAAATGGGAGTGAAAGAGAGGTTTTATATGTTAAGAAGATGAAGGTGGCTGCAGTGTGGAGGATGGAGGGAGGGTGCTAAACCTGAAGCAGAGTCCAGGTGAGAGAAGATGGGCCTGCAGTAAGGAAGGGGCAGGCAGATGGAGACAAGGGTCCACCTGGAGAGACATTTAGGAGATGGGATCTATGAGTCTTGACGGCTGATTAGGTGTGAGGGTGAGGGAGGATTGAGCACCTCCCAGTTTTCTGACTTGGTCTACTAGGCATAGGTTGTGGCTACCCTGAGACGAGGAAGGCTCGAGGCACAGGTTTCTTGGGAACATGATGATCTCTGTGTGGAACACATTGCATTTGAGTGCCTGAGGGACATCCAGGGGGAAATGTCTTGGAGGCAGTTGGACATGCGGGTCTGGACTCAGGAGGGAGGTTTGGGAGTTCTTAGTCTACAGATGAGACAAGATGAAGTCACTCAAGGAGGGTGTGGAGAGACAGAGAGGAGGAGAACATTAAAGAAAAGAGATACGTAGAGTTGGGGGAAACTAAAATGATGGAGCAGGAGTAGCTGAAGAAGCAGAGGTGGCCAAGTGTGTAGTGCCACGGAAGCCTTGGGAAGATAGTGGTTAGGGTCCACTCAGAACCCTCTCCAAGACCCACCTTCTCTGGCTTCCCAGGAGTTGGGTGCTTTGCCCCCCTATGTGGTGATTGGTACAGAGAGACTCCGTCTCTGTGATGGTGAAAATTTAGGTGATACACTGTAGACTAGTTGCTTGTCAAAGATGGGAGTCTACTTATGTGCTTTAAATGCTCTTAGTTATAATTATTCTTACTAGTTGTCAGTTACTTTACAAACATTATCTCATTCAACCTTCAAACAACTCTTTTCAGATAGATATTATTTTCTCACTTTACAAATGAGGAAATTGTGGCTCAGAGAGGTTAAGTGTCTTCCCCAAGACCACATAGCTAGTTAGAGATGGAGCTGGGATGTGGAGTCAAGTATTCTTGCTTTACATGCCTCAAGTTTTGTTTGTTTTTTTTAAATGCCTTATGCATTTTTTCTTTAGTGCACATTCAGCAGTGGCTGCCTCCTGCATTGGCATCTGGGCCTGGCCTGCTTGCCCACACCCTCCAAGCCTCCAGGCCATGGGGACTTCAGAAGAGGCCTGTATCCCAGATTAGCCCCAAAGACAACATGCTCCTTAAGAAGAAAGAGGAGGCCCAGGCACAGCCAAGGCCTGTGATGGGAAGGGCTTCCCGGGAATCAGTGGGGAACTTCCTCCTGGGAAAGCCATGAGAGGGGCAGTTCCTCTCCTGGGCCAGGCGTCAGGGAGTCAGGGCCCCAGCTGTTCCTGCCCAGCCGCCTGCAGCCCTGAGCACCCACCGGAGACAGGAGGCCCTGCCTGCTCACTGCCCATTGTCCCAGCACCACAGTGCCGCTTCCCATGCGCCTCCTGTTTACACAGGAAGCCCTGCTCTGGGATGCCACCTCCCTCTCCTGACGGCTGGCCCCAAGCTTGAATTCCTCACAGGCAGCTTCAGTGAGCGAGGGCTAGAGTAAGTTATCACTGCTCAGTGACTTTAAAAATTAGTAAAGCAGAGTGGGTAAAAGCATGGTCTTGCAGTGTGACTGCCTTGGATCTGAACTTGGCCACTCATTAACTGAAGCACTTTGGGTATTCATGCCAACGGTATGAACGCAGATTCCTCCTCTGTAAGATGAGGAGTATTATGCCTACCTATCTCACAGGTTTTTCGTAAGGATAAACAAAATATGGAAGTAAAGTGCTTGGAACATAGTATATGCTCAATAAATTACACATCTCACAGTTGTTATTTACCTCTTATGTTTAGTTGCACCCAATTTTAGCTGCACTCCAAATGCTGGTGATAGTTTAAACTATGACCTCCAAATTCTGTGACACTCCTCCCATTGAGAGGCGGGGCCAATGCCCACTTCCCTTGAATCTGGGTGGGCTTATAACTACCTTGACCAATGTGGTACAACAGGAGTGACACTGTATTAATTCCAGACTTTGTTTTGGTTGCTAGAACATTTATACTTGGAGCCTGGAGCCACCGTATAAGAATCTAACTACTCAAATTTGGCAGGCAATGAGGATTGTTCTTCTTGAAGCATGACCAGAGGGGTGGGAGTAGTTTTTTCCAGTTCAATAAAATTTGTTGAATGGGATTTTGAAATAGTAGGCTGAATGCAAACTGGAATTCCCTCCCTTACCAACAAAAGATGGCAAAAATTAAAAAGATAAAATAATAAGCACAAAGTTGCACTTAAATTATGAAGGAATATTCTTGTTAGAACGGAAATGGTGAAATGTTCCTGAAATAAATAAGTAAATGGAAAGTGACAGCCATAAGCTGAAGGGCTTCTGAGTTGCATGCCCAAAACATGTGCAGAATTGTCTCAGAAGAGGCATACACAATCAAGAATCACCAATCAATAAACATTTGTCAAGCACTTATGTGCTAAGCCTTTGTCACTATTATCTGTATATTTTTACAGTCAATGCTTGTTTAGAGTTACTCAGATGTTTGCTCACTCATTCCTTCCTTCAGAGTTCAATTTCCTTCTTACTGCAGTACAGCGTTCATAGTGCTTTCTTCAAAGGTCTGTGAGTAGTAAGTCTTTGATTAAAATTTTTAAATTTCATTCTTCCTCTTCACTGATAATATCGCAGAGTATAGAGCACTGAAGTTGACAGTTATTTTTCCTCAGCATGCTGGAAGATACTTGGAATATCCCATTATTTTCTAGCTCTGTGGTCACTATTGAGAAGTCTGTGGTAAGTCTAATTTTTCCTTTGTAGGTGATGTAGCTCTTGTCTCTAGTGGATTTTAAGATTTTGTTTTGATATTCTGCAATTTTACTATGATGTGTCTAGGCATGGAATTATTTATATTTAATCTGCTTGGGGATTGGATTATTCTTCCTTGGGAGGATTTATCTTTTTCACTGTTATTGAAAATTCTTTTTTTCCCCAATAAGCCTTTTGCACTCATAAATTGAAAATTCTTGATGGTTTTATCTTTTAGTATTACCACTTTCTAATTCTGTTTGCTCCTTCCTATTACAAATTTGATGATCCTTATTATTTCCTCTTCCATTTCTCTTATCTTTCATATTTCCCATTGCTTTATCTTTCTGTGCATGCTTATGGATGATTTCCTTATATATATTTTCTAATTCATGAATTCTCTTTTTAGCTCCATCTAATCACAATTTTATCTATTCATTAACATTATAATTGTGATGACTATATATTTTTTCATTTCCAGAGTTTTATTTGGTTTTTAAAAAAACCTGCCTAGTGTTTCATTATGATTTCTATTTCTTCTCTCTTTTTTTTTTGAGACAGAGTCTTTCTCTATCACTCAGGCTGGAGTGCAGTGGTGCGATCTCAGCTTACTGCAACCTCCACTTCCGAAGTTCAAGTGATTCTTGTGCCTCAGCTTCCCAAGTAACTGGGATTACAGGTGTGCACCACCATGCCTGGCTAATTTTTGTATTTTTAGTAGAGATGGGGTTTCGCCATGTTGACAAGGCTGGTCTCAAACTCCTGGTCTCAAGTGATCTGTCTGCCTCAGCCTCCTGAAGTCCTGAGATTACAGGCGTGAGCCACTGTGCCCGGCCTTCTTTTTCCCTTTAATCATTTTAAACATATGTATTTTATAGTCTTTCAGAATGTTCAACTATCAGAAACTCTTGCATTGTCCTTTCTCTTATTTGTTGTGTCTGCAAACTCTTGTTCATGACAAACTTTTCTTGAAACAGTTTGCGATTTTCTTTTTTGAGACAGTCTCACTCTGTCGCCCAGGCTGGAGTGCAGTGATGCAATCTTGGCTCACTGAAAGCTCCGCCTCCCCCGGGGTTCACACCATTCTCCTGCCTCAGCCTCCCAAGTAGCTGGGACTACAGGAGCCCGCCACCACGCTCGGCTAATTTTTTGTATTTTTAGTAGAGATAGGGTTTCACCGTGTTAGCCAGGATGGCCTCGATCTCCCGACCTCGTGATCCACCTGCCTTGGATTCCCAAAGTGCTGGGATTACAGGCGTAAGCCACCATGCCTGGCTCAGTTTGCCATTTTCATTGATGATTTCTTTCCCTGTGAGAATGTCGTGCTGCCCGAATTGTAAGAATGGCCCTACAGAGAGGTTTTATTTGGTTTTACCAGGTGCCCTGGAGTTTTAACCAGCCTGGGATCTGTTTTTTGTTTATTTGTTAATTTTTTGAGTAGAGATTACTGTACAATGTGGATGGTATAAATCCAACTCCAAACCATCCCCTGGTGCAAACTTAGTGCTTCTCATGGAAGACCAGGAAAAGACAAGTCCTATTGTTATGTCTCTGCACTGGTGGGGAAGTTTTTCTAGTCCTTTTAAGGGTGCAGCCTTTCAAAAGTCCTTACTTTATGCAGAATTCTTACTCTTACCTTACCCTGAGTGATCCTAACACCTGTATCTTGTTCCTGTGGAAAGGTTAGAACTGAAGCTTCTCATCTTTGGTGGGTATTTTCCAATTTATAACCTCCCTATCCCCATCTAGGGTTTCTTCTGTGCCAGCTCATGTGCCACTCTTCTGGTTTTCATTTCCCTCCACTTCTAGTATCTAGGAAATGGAAAAAAAAAGAACATTTTTATTAGTTATTTTATAATCTAGAATTTTTATAAATTTGTAATGGGAGACTCTTTTTGTTTAAAAAAAAGAGCTTCAGGTCGCAATGAACCTTTCTAAACCTTTTGCATATGTTCTCTCATATTATTCTCATGAGAACCCCACAACACAAACATTTTTAAATCAACTTCCTTTCATGCATTTAGATATTGAGGCTTGGCAAGTTTAAATCTTGTCCCAGATGAGACAGGGAGGAAATGGCCTTGTCCAGATGTGAATCCAGGTTTCTCTGATTCCACTTAATGTAGCATTTAGGAAATTATTGATAACAGCATCCCCACACCTTTTCTTTTAAAAATTTTCAGACATTACATTTCTAATCACCCAGATTCTAATTATCATTTTGCCATATTTTCTTTATTATATATCTATCCATTTACCCATCCTTCTATTTATTTGTCTATCTTGTTTTGTGATGTATTTCAATATAAGTTGCAGATGGTAGTCTACTATACTCCTAAACAGTTTAGTGTCCATATCATTAACTACAGTTAAATATTTCTTTAAAGTTTCTTTCCCTGGGTACAAATGAACTAATCTCAACTCTACCATTCCATGAGTTTTGACTAAAGCATACACCTGTGTAATGTAAATCTCTGTCAAGGTATAGAATATTGTCATCTCTGCAGGCAGTTTGCTCCTGTCCCCTCCTGGGCAATCCCTGCACCTGCTCAGAAGCAACCACTCTTTTGATACACACACACACACACACACACACACACACACACACACACACACATATTATATACATACTGCCGGGCGCGGTGGCTCACGCCTGTAATCCCAGCACTTTGGGAGGCCGAGGCGGGCTGATCACAAGGTCAGGAGATCGAGACCATCCTGGCTAACACAGTGAAACCTCATCTCTACTAAAAATACAAAAAATTAGCCAGGCGTGGTGGCGGGCACCTGTAGTCCCAGCTACTCGGGAGGTTGAGGCAGGAGAATGGCGTGAACTCGGGAGGCGGAGCTTGCAGTGAGCCGAGATCACGCCACTGCACTCCAGCCTGGGCGATAGAGCGAGACTCCGTCTCAAAAAAAAAAAACACATACATATATAATATATAATATATAAACATATATATAATATATGTATGTATGTAATATATATGTATATATATATAAATATATATATAATATTATATGTATGAATTTTTGAAATGGAGTCTCTCTCTGTCACACAGGCTGGAGTGCAGTGGCACGATCTCGGCTCACTGCAACTTCCGCCTTCTGGGTTCAAGCGATTCTCCTGCCTCAGTCAGCCTCCTGAGTAGCTGGGATTACAGGCATGCACCACCATGCCCAGCTAATTTTTGTATTTTTAGTAGAGACGAGGTTTCACCATGTTGGCCAGGCTGGTCTTGAACTCCTGACCTCAGGTGATCCACCTGCCTCGGCCTCCCAAAATATTGGGATTACAGGCGTGAGCCACTGTGCCTGGTCACTCTTTTGATATTTTCCCCCATAGACTAGTTTTGCCTATTCTAGAAATTCATATAGATAGATTTTTGCCAGGTATACTCTCTTGGATATGGTTTCTTTCTTTCAGCATAATGATTTTGAGATTAATTCATGTTGTGTGTGTATCTGTAGTTTGTTTTTATTGCTGAGTGGTATTCCATTGTTGGGCTATAACACAGTTAGTTTATCCATTCTCCTATTGTTAGATGTCTGAGTTGTATTCAGTTTTTTGATACATATTACTAATTAAAGCTACTATAAACATTTTTATAAAGAACATTAATAGTTTTTATTACATTGGAACGAAGAGAGTAGCACAGCAGCCAGATTGCAGTTAGTTGAGGGATTTGAGAAAGTGCAGAGAGCGAACACAGACAAGTTTCTTAAGATGACTAGATGAAAAGTGGGGAGAGAAAGAGTAGTAGCTGGAGGGGTGTTTAGGGATTTTATATATGCATATATATAACATATACATATAATATACATATTTAATGAGAATAAACTGAACATGTTTATGGAAGGAGAGGGAGAGGAGGGAGGGGACAAGAATCTTGGCCTCTGTGGGCAGCCTATGGCTGCCTTCCCCTTGGACCTCTGTCTCAGACCCTGGCAGAACCTGAGGTCCCTGCAGCTGTTCCCTTGTTTCTACTGGCAGAGTCCTGGTCCTGAATCTTTTCCTCTGCCAGTTTGATGTCTAGGTTGGGATTAGCCATTCTGACAATAGAAGAGAGAGCAGAATTCTTTCTTCGCTCTCTGCTCAGGCTGTTGATGCTCTAGAGAGGACAGCAAACATCCACTGTGAGAGATGGGGTTGTGGCTTCCCCTGGGTGGTGGGTAAGAACCTGCTCAGAATAATTGGGCCACCACTCATGGTGATGATTACATGGACCTCACCATGGGAGAAGCTCTGAGAATCCTTTCAGGGTTAAGGAAATTGACTTGGGAAACTGGCTAGTTACTCCCTTGAGGGCAGCAGTTGCTGGTTTGAGCTGTTAGGCCAGAGATCATTTGCTGACAAACATGTACAGCAAGTCAGGAGCAGAGGCCAGCCCATGGATTTGCTGCTGTCCAAGTTGGGTTCTTAAAATTATTTGTTGAATCAATGAAAGTCTGATGTTTAAAATAATTTGGGCTTGATTGGGTGCAGGCAGGCAGAATTGACCTGTGAATCCTTGTGAGTCTTCTTTTTTAGGAGACAGGTTCTTACTCTGTACCCCATGCTGGAGTGCAGTGGTGCAATCTCGAAATCCTGGGCTCACGCAATCCTCCCATCTCAGCCTCCCAAGTAGCTAGGACTACAGGTGTGTACCACTATGTCCAGATAATTTTACTTATTTTTTTTGTAGAGATGGGGTCTTGCTATGTTGCCCAGGCTGGTCTTGAACTCTCAGCCTCAAACATTCCTCCTGCCTTGGCTTCCTAAAGCATTGGGATTACAGGTGTGAGCCACAGTGCCTAGCCTGATTATCTTCTAACTATCCCTTTCTAAGTGAGGTCAGGCTTGTTATGCAGTGCCTTTCTGACTAGACTCTCAATAAGGATTTTTGTTGCTTTAAAACTCTTTATTTATTGATTTATATTACACACACATATTTTCCTTTTAAAAATTAACTTTTCTGGTATAATTTTCATACAATAAAATGTTCCTGTTTTAAGTTTACATGTCAGCAAGGTTTGACACATTTAAACACCCATGTGATGAACACCTTGCTCAAGATAGAACACTTTCATCACCCCCGAAAGTTCTTTTTTTTTTGAGATGGAGTCTTGCTCTGTTGCCCAGGCTGGAGTGCAGTGGCGCGATCTCGGGTCACTGCAAGCTCCACCTCCTGGGTTCACGCCTTTCTCCTGCCTCAGCCTCCCGAGTAGCTGGGACTA
Source organism: Homo sapiens (assembly GCF_000001405.40). NCBI lineage: Eukaryota > Metazoa > Chordata > Mammalia > Primates > Hominidae > Homo > Homo sapiens. Next base: position 138,969,960 of record NC_000003.12, read on the forward strand.
CAGGCGCCCGCCACCATGCCACGTCCTAGTCAGTCCCTCACTCTACTTCAGCCCCAGAAAACCACTGATTTGCTTTCTGTCACTATAGATTAGATTTGTCTTTCTAGAATTTCACGAGTGGAATTGTCCTGTATGTTGTCTTTTGTATCTGGCTTCTTTGGCACAGCACAGTATTCTGTATATTCATCCATGTTGTTGAGCACATCCATAGTTCATTCCTGTTGATTTTCAGGTAGTATTCCATTGGATACATATATCCAATGTACTGAATGGGTAATATCAACACATGGTTCAAAATTTTAAAAATACATGAGTCTTGCCCACCCCATTTCCTAACCACTTGGTTTTTCCTCACAAGCATCATATATTATCAGCTTCTTGTGATTCCTTCTATGCAGTTTGAATTAGATATGTATGTTGGATCTTCCTCCAGTACTTTAGAAAATATATCTAATTTTGCATGTGTTTCAATATAATCCTAGAAGTGGACTTGCTGGATTAAAGGATTAATGAACATGTGATTTTGGCAGATATTGCCTAATTGCCCCCCTTAGAGGTAAAACAGGTCTCCCCAACTGAAAATTATTTTTTTTGAAAAACTTCAAAATAGAGAAAAGTTGAAAGGATAGGATAATGAACACTTCCATAATATAGTCTTTTGATGGTGATGAAAGTTGACTCTTTTGGAGAGGATAGAGACATTTAAGTCTGCGGAAAAAGGTAAACCAGTAAAATAGTCACTTTGCACACACAAGGTTTTCAACTCCACGCTGAAACTCCAGTGAACCTGCTTTCAGTCACATGGTCTGAAAGCATGGGACCTGTTGCTGTCATTTGCCTCTTAGCACGCAGATGGGGTTTGGGGTTTAGGATGTTTGTGTTCAGAGCAGCTTATTGGGTTCCTGACCTGTGCTGAACAGGGCAAAGACTCTAGCCCTGGATGTGGGTCTGAGGAGGAGCTCAGCCCTTGGGTGCCCTGATGCTCTCAGGGGGAGTGACTAGATTGGCATGGACACGAGGTACGTGTGTGCGTGTGTGTGTGTGTGAGTGTGTGTGTGTATGTGTGAGAACAATCCATTTCCAAATAACAGCTGGTGTGGGCTTTGAAATATGCCAACCTGATGCTCTTTTCCAGTGGTTTCTTGAGGGGACAGCAAACTCCTTATCTTGGCCTATAAAGCCTAAGTAGTCTGTCCCTGCAGCCTTTTCTGAGGAGCTCTCCCTGGTTCCTGCACTCTAGCCACACGGGTGTTTCAGCTCCTGTCATTCTCCTTCCTCCCTCAGGCTGTTCTCTGCAACTGGAAACACTCTCTCATGCCCACCCCACCTTCAGCACCCTGGCTTCAGGACTCAACTCAAACGACACTTCCCTGGGAGGCCTTCCCTGAGCCCCACATGGGAAGGAGCCTTCTGGCACAGTTCTCCTACAGTGTTTGCATGATTTTTACTTATATATTTCTCTGATTTCACCCTTTGTGTCTGTTTCTCCTCTTACCCCATAAATGTCATACGAGCAAGAATCCTATCTGTTTTGTGCACTGTTATATCCTGTGTTCTGACAGAGATTGACACATAGTAGGTGCTCAATTAATGTTTGTGAAGTTAACGCATGAGGCATTTTGATAGCAAAAGCATGTACCTTGTAGTCAGAATTGGGAGTGAATTCTCTTTCTGCCTCTTAGAAAGTTACCTAACCTCTTTAAGCTGCAGTTTCCCCATCTGAAAAACGGGTATAATAATACTGCCTCCTGGAGCTGCTGCGTGCATGTGGAAAGTGCTGGGCAAAAAGCAGGTGACTGAGTCCTGGTAACTATCAGAGTATCATTTTTGATGTGAAGCCAGTGGACACACTTGTTCATGGGCAGCTTGTGCTGCTGGTGACTGGTGACAGCTGGCCTCACTGTCTGGGGTCAGGCTGGGCCAGTGTTCCCCTGCCTCAGGAGGTAAGGGTGATGCTGGAGCTGGCGGTTGAGGAGGTCATTGTGCCATTTTGGCAGCTACCACCAAAACCTTGAAGGGAAGACAGCCCTGTAGCACCTCCAGTCACTGACCTCTGCCAGGGTAGTGGAAGGAAGCAGCAGGGAGCCATGGGAACAGGGGAGGGCAGGGAGCCAGGTGGTCCCGGGAAACCGCAGTCTCGGCTGGCGGGCAGGAAGGGAACTGATGAGAATGTCAGGGCTCTGGAGGGGATAGGGTTTCTGCCGCCTCCAGCTGCCCTAAGCTGCCTCTGCTGTTTTCCAGAGGGACCCAATTACCACCCTCTTTTGGAGCTAGGGCCAGCAGAGATCCCAAGGAGATAGGAGGTGGCTCCCAGCAGGGCAGGAGGGGCCTTTAAAGCTCTCTCAACCATACACCTGTTCTTGATCATCTGGGATTTGGGGAAAATATTAGGACTTCTGAACATGGTCCCTCAGGTCTTCATGGAACCTCAGGCTTTCAAAGTGTTCTCATAAGTGCCAACTCATTTCATCTTTTTCACAGCTTGGGAGTTGCTGGGATAGGTTTTATTGGCTTCTTTGCATAGTGACCCTGCCATCCAGAGACAGGAGAAGCCAGCTGGCTACAGTCACCAGGTGAGTAAGTAATCCAGGACTTCTGTTTCTATATAGCCTCTTCCTCGTACCACTTGATCAACCAATCAACATACAACAAGGCTCTTGCCCTTGCCACAGGCCCCACCATGCCTTGTTGTATCCCACCAAGCTTTTTCATTTTTTCTTTTTTTTTTTGAGACAAGGTCTCTCTCTGTCACCCAGGCTGGAGTACACTGGCACAATCATAGCTCACGGTAACCTTAAATGCCCGAGATCAAGAGATCTTCCTGCCTCAGCCTCCTGAATAGCTAGGCCTACAGGTGTGCACCACCACACCCAACTGATTTTTATTTTAAATGTTTTGTAGAGATGAGGATCTTGCTATGTTGCCCAGGCTGGTCTTGAACTCCTTGAGCTCAAGCTATTCTCTCTCCCACCTTGGCCTCCCAAAGTGCTGGAATGCAGGCTTGAGCTACCACACCCAGCCCACCCCACCAAGCTATCATCCTTCGTTTACATTACCTGCTTGGCTTTTGAAAGTATTTGAGTAGCAGCCCCTATCGAGCATGCTGCATGTGCCCAGCTTTGTCTTGGGTGTTGTGGAGGGCACAGGGGAAGATGGAGTGTTCTCTGCCCCCAGGTGTGGATGGCCAGACATGCCTGCCGAGAGAGCAACCCGCAATGCTGGGTCCACCATCGAGAGGCCATGTGATGCCAGGCCTGAGGCTGCTGAGTGGGGACCTGAGTCAGGCTTTTGTGGGGGATTTGGTTAGGCTGAGTGAAAGGAGAGCCTTCCAGTAGGGAGCCCACAATAGCAAGTGTGGGGAGAAAAGAAGGCAATTAGGGTTTCATGGGCTGGAGAGAAGGCCTTTCTGCATAGAGTGGAGGGAAGTTTAGAGGTTAAATGGCTTTGAATCCATTCATACTGTTTACTGAGGACCTTTTTGTGTCAGACACCAGCTAGGCAACCTACACACTGTATCTAATTTCGTCCTTATTACAGCCACGGAGGTATTTGTCTTATTTTACAGCTGTGCAAGTATAAATATAGACATGAAATATTTTGAAGTTGAATGACTTGCTCAAGCCCAGTCTGACTCCAAAACCCATGTTTTTCCCATACAGAAAGCTCCTGGGGGAAGGTAAGTTTTGGGTACATATGAAGCAGATGAGAGTATAAGCCTTAGGAGGAATTGGAGATGGTAGGAACTGTATAGGCAAAGGCAGGTGGCAGGACCAAGGTGTTGATGCGAGGTGGAGGTTTGATTGATGCAGAACTTCCTGCTCAGGTCCCATTACTTTGTCAAGGGCCTTGCTGGGCCCACTCAAGGGCTGAGCAGCTGTCTGATCTGCCCATCTTTCCCAGCACGCCAAACTCCTCCAGCTGGCCCCATGTGCTGCCTTTCTGCCACGCTAGCCTTTTCAGGCTCTTTTCTGGCTCCCCACCTCATCTTTTGCTGTTTCTCCCACCTGAATGTCATCATCCTCCTATCCTCATTATCCCCTATCCTCTCTACTTATCCAAATCCTGCCTTTTCCTTTTCTTTTTTTTTTTTTTGAGACAGGGTCTCACTGTGTTGCCCAAGTGGGAGTGCAGTGGCACGATCATGGCTCACTACAGCCTTGACCTCCAGGGCTCAGGCCATCCTCCAGCCTTAGCCCCCCAACTAGCTGGGACCATAGTTGTGTACTACCATGTCTGGCTATTTTTTTTTTTTTTTTTTTTTTTTGTAGAAATGAGGTCTCACTATGTTTCCCGGGCTGGTCTTGAACTCCTGGACTCAAACAATCCTTTGGCCTTGGCCTTCCAAAGTGCTAGGATTACTGGTGTGAGCTACCACACCTGGCCTAAATCCCGCCCACTTCTTTATAGTTCCCTGGACATTTTTGCTCCTCCTGAAAGCCCTTCTTGACTATTCCAGTTGCCCTGGTTCTTCGTTGAGGATGCGTAGGCCTCTTTCTAAAGTCCACCTTATCTCCCCAGTTTATAAGCTCTCCATGTTCAGGCAGGGGACACAATATTACCCACTCTCCACAAGCTCCACAAGCATTATGGGCAGTGGTAGGCCACTGATGGGGGCATTTCCTATGGGCTGGGCAAGGGGCCAAGCCCTTCACACACATTTCCTGATTTCACCCCGGCAGCAAACCCTATGATATAGCAATGAGTCAACTATTAACTTTTAAAGATGAAGCAACTAGAGACTCAGAGAGAGGCTGAGTAGCCTGCCTGGATGTGGAGACCATCCTTGACTTGATCTGACTCTGGAGCCCACTCTCTTGACCGCTCTTCTTGCCTGGAGCACCCATGAAGCCGGCGTAAGTTTTGGATCTGGACTAGCCCAGGTATAGAGCTGGCTCAAACGAGGCTCCTGCTCACAGGTACACATGGTAAGAGATGTGAGGGCCCAGTGAGATGGCTGGCCTCTTCGCAGATGCCTTGCAGCACACCCCCTTCTCTTTTTCTGTTATTTCTTTTGTTTGCTGGTAATGGTGTGTGTGCTTCTGTAAACTCAGCCCTGTCTTTCATTAATTTCCACTAGGAAGGGAAGCCAAGGTGGCCACAGTTTGAGGAGGTGCCCATTTTCTGGAGGTCAAAATAAGCCCAACTTGGGTGATGCAGGGAGCCTGGGGATGCTTCACCAACTCCAGCTGTCCACAGCTCAGGGATCCTGGTCCCACTGAGGCCTTGAGTCTCCCATCCTCCTGCCTAGGCAGGATGAGCCAGCCTGGAGGCAGGCGGCAGGACAGGAATGCAGCCTTCTCTCCAGCTCTTGACAGGGCATCTCTGGGAGGCCCCCCGGCTCCTTCAGACCACAGCTCTGCTGGGGAAGCCAGGGATTAGGGGCCTAATTCCGCCGAGAATCCTGTTTTTCTTAGCCTCACACAGATTGCTTTTTAGGAAAGACCTCTCATCCAATTAGCTTGAGTCAACAGCTCCATTTATTTGGACACGTCATGTTATGAAATGGGCTGCTGCTGGTGTGTTTTTGTACCGCATATCTGGGCTGCCCCTCCAGGATGGCATCAGGAGCAAGGCGCTGCAGGCCGTCCAGGCCGGCAAGAGCTCAGCCTGAGAGCAGCTCCAGAAGAGGCCGGAAGGGAGGCCACAGGTTGGCCAGCCAGGCGGAGACCTGTACACTCTCAGATTTCATAACAAGAAAGTGACCCACTGAGTGTCCACATATCCAGCTTCCTCTCCCATTGGTGTTTTTGAATAAAAATAAAGGGATTAGGGGCCCTTGACCAAAACTCCTTCCTTTCTTCCCCATCAGAATCAAAAGAGACTTCTACAAGGGGCTTTTGATGGTGACAAACCCTTTACCACATCTATAGTACTCAGGACTTTTTGAGAAAAAAATCAGTAATAGTTACTATTTATTTTTTTCTTTTCTCAGACTTCTTAGGGATGAAAATTGCTATTTAATGGTGAGCATTTGCTATGTAAACTGTGCTAAGCACATGATATGATAAATCACACACACACACACACACACACACACACACACACACACACACACACGGTTTCTTCTCTCTCTCTCCCCCATACCCGCTATCCTTATCTGCCTGGTGAAAGTGGAAGTCCCCCCATTCAATCCCCTCCTTACTGTCTCCAGCCCCTCTCAACATTGGTATATGTTTGTTCAGATTATTTTCTGTGCATTTATATTCATGTATATCATATATTATTTCTAATCCTAAAAGCAGTCATTCAAGGAAGATATTAATATTCCCATTTTGCAGATGAGAAAACTGAGGCAAAGAAAGGCTAAGTAACTTGTCCAAGGTCTCATAGCCAGCAAGGAGGAGAGCTGGGTTGAAATCAGGCCTGAGTGACTACAGAGACTGCTGGGCAAGCCTTGTCCCTCTGGCACTACCTTGACCACAGCAGGTTCCAGACTTTGGCATTTTTTTTTTGAGACAGGATCTCACTCTGTCACCCAGGATGGAGTGCAGTGGTGCGAGCATAGCTCACTGCAGCCTTTATCTCCCAGGCTCAAGCGATCCTATCATCTCAACCTCTCAAGTCTTGGGACTACAGGTATGCAACACCATGGCTGGCTAATTTTTTTTACTGGTCTTAATGAATTGTAGTGCATTTCTTACTTGTGTCTCCTTCTTGCCACCTCTCCATGTTGTTACGATTTTTGCCAAATCGGTCAGTCAGGGTGGGCACTCAATACAGTTGGGCCACATGGAAGTCATCCTCTGCTCTGCTGCCTCTGCCCTGCTCCCTGACCTGGAATCACAGCCAACCTAACAGCTTTAGTTAGACCACTTTCTGCTTTCTGCATCCAGAGCCAAATGCAAATAACTGCCAGCAAGGGTGGCATTGCCACCACTCCCCTAGATTGTGACTGGTCAACGTGCACATACCCCAAGCCACTGAGCATTTGGGGCTGAACGTTCATCTCTTCTTGGCCAAATAGGATATTGTTGTGAAGAGCAAAAATGTTTTCCTCTTTATAATGGGCCAGGAGCTGCTGTTCGGTCAGGAGCTGCTGCTGCTGCTGCTGCTGTGTGTGTGTGTGCGTGCGTGTGTGTGTGTGTGTGTGTGTGTGTGTGTGCACGTGCGCGCATGCACAAAAGACTAAAATTAATTCTCATAATTGTTGTAGGGTGGAAAAGTGGAGAACTAGGAGAGGCAGGAGTAAAAGACATTGCTGGATGCATTGAGAAAACAAATGTCAGTGCTAGGCCTGGAAGCTTCTTAAAAAGGTAATGGGACCTTTTTTCCTGTTGAACTTTCAAACCTTCTGACCCTGTAATTTCTGCCCTGGAGTTTATCAGGGACACCAGGGGCCAGGAGTGTAGCACGACTAAAGTTACTGGGACAAAGCTGGAGGCAGGTCAGCGCTCCACAGGGGAGTCCCAAGGGCCTGCAGGCAGCCACTGCCACCAAGAACTTCTAAGGCCAAGAAAGGGAAGCCTCGAAACCAAACATCCCTGCAAAGTCCCCGGCAAATGTGTTCCTCATCAAGGCAGATACAAACAAAGTTTATTAAAAAGCCTTCCAAAGGGACATTCCAAATCACCAGCAGGCCTCCTCGAGGTGAATGTCCATTCTCCTGTGAACTCTTGTTTCAGCCTTGTTGGAGCTTTTCAAACACCGAGTCACCAATGTATCCAGGAAGGAAAATAAACAGGGGGCTCAGGGTGACCCAGCGCTTAGTACAAGTCTGCACTTTCTGACACCACAGCCAGTGGGGTTGATAGGAATGACCTGGGAATCGAGTACAAACAGGGCAGTGAAGCCTCTGGCCCTTTTGGGGGGGTGCCCCTCTTTGTGTCCTAATGGCAGCCCATCAGGCAGAGGAAGGGCCCCTGTGGTTGCAAAAATGGCGGGTTGGTACCATGGAGCAAGCTCTGGAGTGGGAAAGTCATGCGTCTTCTGCATTCTGGGAGGAGGAAAGGGCCCTGCCTCGAGCTAACTGAAAATTTCCTCATCTGTAAAATTGGTGGTTTTCCCAATAGATGGAAGTAGAGTTGCTCTGGTTGGAGTGGAGGTTGCAGGCATCAAAGCCTGGCTTCACATGTTTCCCAAAGCATGTAGGAATATGCCAACCTGATGCTCTTTTCCAGTGGTTTCTTGAGGGGACAGCAAACTCCTTATCCTTATCCTTGTGGATCCCTAGGGCCCTGTGGAGCACAGTTTAATACTACCCATTCCAGAGTTTAAACTAAGATTCTATAATTTTAAAATAATCTAAGTATGACAAATGGACCAATAAGCAAGTTGTGAACCAGAATTACTACAAGGGGTAGGAATAGCTCTGTCTTTAGAGTCAGACAGGCCTAAGTTGCTACTGCCTACTGTGTCACAACTTCATGCTTAAACTTCCAGAACCTCATGAAGACGGGGTCATTACTGCCTCATGCCATTGGTGTGAGCATCTGTGCTAAAGTCTAAATCATCAGTAAAGACTGACACAGAGTCAATACTTAATAAGTGGTAGCTCATTTGACTCAGCAATCCCATTGCTGGGTATATATCCAAAAGAACATAAATTGTTCTACCATAAAGGCACATACACGCATATGTTCATTGCAGCACCATTCACAATAGCAAAGACATAGAATCAACCTAAATGCCCATCAGTGGCTGACTGGATAAAGAAAATGTGATACATATACACCATGGAATACTACACAGCCTTAAGAAAGAATGAGATCATGTCCTTTGCAGGAACATGAATGAAGCTGGAGACCATCATCTTTAGCAAACTAATGCAGGAACAGAAAACCAAATACTGCATGCTCTCACTTATAAGTGGGAGAAAAATGATGAGAACTCATGGACACAAAGAGGGGAACAACAGACATTGGGGCCCACTTGAGGGTGGAGGGTAGAAGGAGGGAGAAGAAAAAAATAGCTGTTGGGTATGACACTTAGTACGTGGGTGATGAAATAATATGTACAACAAACCCCCGTGACATAAGTTTACCTATATAACAGACCTGCATATGTACCCTTGAACCTAAAATAAAAGTTAAAAAAAGTAATAATTATTATATTTTTATTGTTGGATATGCCCTATGACACTAGCCTGTTCAACATTTTGGGGAGTCAAAGGGGTGACTAGAGAATAGAGGAGAGGAGGGAGAAGAGAGGGTACTCATGGGAGGAAGGAGGAACTTTGCTGTTGATAAAAATCACACCCATAACAATTTATTGAGAGTGTCTATGAGCTGGTACTGTGTATGGAGATTATAGCAAGTCCCTCTTGCAACACTCCCACACTGCTGGCTACTGTGTTCCTTTTCTTTTTTCTTTTTTTTTTTTTGAGATGGAGTCTTGCTTTGTTGCCCAGGCTATAGTGCAGTGGTGCAGTTTCGGCTCATTGAAACCTCCGCCTCCTGGGTTCAAGAGATTCTCCTACCTCAGCCTCCTGAGTAGCTGGGACTACAGGTGCGTGCCACCATGCCCGGCTAATTTTTTGTATTTTTAGCAGAGATGGGGTTTCACCGTGTTAACCAGGATGGTCTCGATCTCCTGACCTTGTGATCCGCCCGCCTTGGCCTCCCAAAGTGCTGGGATTAAAGGCATGAGCCACGGCGCCTGGCCCTGTGTTCCTTTTCTTACAGGGTGAAAACTGAAGCTCAGAAAGCCTTGGCAATTGTCCAAATCTCCAGGCCTGTAAGAGGACCTAGGACTCAGCTGTCTGATGTCAAAGTCTAGGCTCTCAGCCCCTAAGGGTCACATGTCCCCAAATCTGAGGTGAAGAGTGCCCTCCTTCTGAGCCAAAGATGGCCTCGATCTGGAGATCCACATCTTGTGCTGGGGGGAGCCTGCTACAGCTGCCAGTTGCAGTGCTGGAGAAATCCTTCCTGTCACAGTGTTGTGTACAAAGCCAGGGAATGATTTGGCCAGTTTGGGTGATCCCAGCTTTTCTGGTTCTAAGCCCAGATTCTAAACTCTGGCTGCACACTAGCGCCACCTGGGGAGCTTTGAAAAACTCACACCACCCAGGCCACCCAGGCCACCCAGGCCACCCAGGCCACCCAGACCAATGACATCAGCATCTCCTGGTGGGGCCAGAACATTAGTATCTTGTTAAATTCCCTGGTGATTCCAAAGAGCATTCAGGCCTGAGGACCTCTCAGAAAGGAAACAGCTGGTTCTGGAGCTCTCATTCCCTTTCACCGACGGGCTGGGGTGGGGGCTGGGAGTGAAGGAGGAGTTTCGAGGCAGGAATTGTGCATGGGTTAGTAAAAGGGGAGAGATTAAAGACTGACAAAGAATGTGTGGGGTGTGCGACATGGAAGCTCAGACAGATTAAGTACCGGATTCGGAGTGCACACAGGGTCAGTGGCAGAACTGGGAGTCATCACATTGAAGTGGTGCCAAAATGACTGGGATCTTTGTTACTGGGGAGACCCCACGCTCAGTGGTGGAGTTTTCCAAGACCCAGTTCTGCACCTGATTCTCTTCCCAACCCATCTTCTCACTCAATGAACTTTTGAACTTTGTTCACACCCAGGGCTTTCATCACCACCTGACTCTCAAATTTTTGTTTCCAGTCATGGCTGGTCCTTGGACCCTCAAACCCATATATGCAGTGACTCACTTGACATTTCCACTTGGATCATGCCAAGACATCTAGGGCTTCACATGGCCAAGACTAAACTCATGTACTGCCTTTACCCCCAACCTGGTCCTTCTGCAGATTCCCAGGCCTGGGGACCAGGAATCATACTTGACTCCAACACCTCTTCCTCTACCTGTCTTCTTAGCTTTTAGTACCTTTTAAGGACCTGTTCATCTTGGCCTCTTGTCTTCATCTTCATTGCCGCCTCATTAGCCAAGCTACCATCATCTTTGGTAATTAATTCTTTTAATTTTTTACTTTTTGGTAGTTTATTTTTGCTTACATGATTATTTGATTATGTCTGCCTCCCCCACTAGCTTATACACTGTGTAAGGGCAGGGACTAGCTTTTTTTTGTATCCTCAACATCTTACTTGGCCCCTCAGTAAATAGTTGTTGAGTGAATAATCTGTTTTAAACTTTTTATTCATTTTGAGGGCTGTTGATATAATCACTGCTTCATTATGGCTTGCTGCTTTCAGGACGATGAAATCACGAAGCTGAAATCAGAACGATGTGCTTAGATGACTTTGCATTCCATGAAGTCGGGGAGCATAGAGGTTTTGTCTATGGAGGTTGATCAAGGGGGTCTGAGGGAACCACATGATGTGAGCTGAGACATGGACACACGACATGGCAGGTGAGTGCACACACACACTCACAACCATCCTTGGGCAGCCCTTCTCTTACTTCCTTGCTCAACAGACGTTATCTTTATTTGGAGAATCAATTGTGAAATCAATCCCTCACTATTTCTCCAATAATGCAGCTAATAAAAAGAAAAGCTATTTTGATGGTGTCTGGTTTTCAGCTAAAAGGTGGGTCAAAATAGCAATTTTATCAGCTGCCCTTTGAAAGTGCTTCTCTTGGTCACAGCAGTTCACAGGGAGAAACACGATGATTCTGACACCATTCTTGATATTAGCTCCTGCCTGAGGTAACATATTGTGTTACCTCTGAAACAGGGCATCCGTGGGTAGCCAGCAAGGTCAAGTCAAGATTATATCATGCCACCATGTCATCAGAACATGGCTCAGTTCTCCCCTATCACCTGTTCCAGTGAAATACTGGCCAAAATGGTGTGTCTGTGGGATTCTGGCAAAAGTGGGCCATGGGAAGAAGCCCCAGGCCCTGGGCTTTTCATGCCCTTTCTTGAACCTTCTCTTCTTAGACACTTCTCTAAGAAAACTACCCCAGTGTCATAGTGATGACTCTGACTTGTTGTTCCTGCCCTCAAGTAGATGGAAAGGCCCTTGAGGGCAGAAACCAGGAACTTTCCATTCTCCACCAACACCTATCTGGGTCTTCATGGGTTCTTAGGATTTCCCTGGTAGGGGGCAGAGGTATGGCTGTGAAGTAGTTAGAAATTAAGTAATCGAGTCAGAGAGAATAAATCTACTTTCTGTACCTGCCACTTCTTGGCTAAGAACTTTGGGCAAATTACTTAATATTGCTGAGCCTCAGTTTCCTCATCTATAAAACAGGGATCATAATAGTAGTTATTATATGTTACTTGCATAAGGTTTTGTGAGGTGGAGTCAATGAAATAATGCATATAAAGCTTTTAGTTTAGTGCCTGGAAACAGGAAATACATAATAAATGCCAGTTTATGGAATGAATGGAGGGTGGAAGTGCCCTCCTTCCTGGATTGGGGGTCAGGGGAGATGCTGGCATACACTGGAACCCATTGGAGGTGAATTCTCAGCTCTTCTAAGTTCACCACTCCTTTGGATCTGAATTCCAAAAATGGAAAATAGACACCATTGCCCTTTACTGCCATCTTGTTAAGCAAGGCACAGATTTAGAACTCACATATTTTACAGGTTAAATGCCAGCAGAAGACATAAAACAGATTGCAGTGTCCCCAGCCAGCAGCCCCTTATTGCATATATCTTACAGATAAAGTAGTTTTATTTGTTGTCCCTTTTACTAACCCATCTTGTCTAAGTATATTTTTTGGGACTCTGAATCTGTCAAAGAAGTATTTAAAAGGAACTCATCAATTGTTCTTGGCCACCAAAGAGTGAACAAAAGCACAGATGCCTCACTTTCCTAGGCTAAAACCCCAGCCACCCTGCTTTGATGTGCCAACATTCCCTAATGAGGTCACGAAAGCAGCATGTGTTCTCAAGAGCTTCTTGTGCACAGCCAGGCCCCCTGCCACAAGACTGGGAAAGACCCCAGTGATGGAGAAGCCCAGGGCGTGGCCGGGCTCAGAAGAGCTCTGTCGATTTACGGTTACTTCTTAGGCTGCCGTCTTGTGGCAGTTGTTCTGAGATGAGTCTGTCTGTGGGTGATGGGGCTCCCAATATCTCCAAAGATACACTCCCCTGTGATTATGTGCACTTGCTTGATTATGTGTATGTTCCTCTTTGTGTCCATGTACCTGCCTGCATTTGCATATGGGACTCTGGGTCCTAAAATCCAGTTGTAGGAAAAGTGAAACAAATTAAGAGGATCTCAGGATGGGGCCTTCTCCAGGTGGGACATTCAGGCCAGCACTGGGTCGCAGGGGTCCAGGTGATATGTCTGGAGCAGTGTAGTGTCAGGACAATAGTAAAAGCAGCCATGTATTGAGCAATTACTACGTGCCAGATGTGGCCAAATACTTCCTGTATATTATTTCATCTAATTGTAACAATAGCCTTCTGAGCTAAGTGCTGTTATTTCCCAGTTAAATAGATGAAGAAACCAAGAGGAGAGGAGAGGTTAAGGCACTTTCCAAAGTCATGGAGCTAGTATGTAATACAGTTGGGACCCAAAGCTTATGCTCCAAACACCCTTGTGCAGCCCTGGGTGGGACACAGAGCCACAAATACCTGGGAACCTGTCCTGAGTTAGCCACTTGGATTATGAGAGTTTGGCCCAGTCACTTAACCTCTCCCACCCTGTTTCCTTATCTGTGAAATGGAGCTTCCACACAGGGAAATTGTGAGAATTAAATGAGATCACCAATGTATTATATTCAGCACAGCGCCTGGCACAGGTGAGGGCTCAGTAATACAGGTTTCTTTCCCTGGCCCCACCTCTTAGTTTGGGAGGGAAGAAATGGGAGGGTCTATCTCTCTAGTTGGTCCTCCTACTATTTCAGCATTGTCTCCCTCCCCTGGGCTTTACAGAATCCTTTGCACCAGTGTCAGGAGGTCCTTGGTTCCTGAGAGTATGACCCATTTCTCAGTTTAATCATCTTGGCTGCATGGGAAAGGCAGCACTGTCTAGTGTAAAGAGCTCTTGACCAGAATTGAGGCTAACCTTGGTTTTAGTCCAATTCCAATTCTGAGGCTTGGACAACTTCTGTTTCTCTGGGTCTCAGCTTTCCTATCAATAAAATGGAGGATGTGTCCATATACAGGACCAATGTGCATATGTGGTACAGGTGCAGCCACTCCCTGGCTCTGCACCCACTAAAGATGTGATTAATCAATTGCACCATCTTTGTTGGTGATACTGGATGTAGCTGCAGAGCCCTCCCCAACACATGGAGGCAATCACTGCCAACTGGTTAGAGTTGAAATGACTATTAGAACCTCTTGGGTATTCCTGAAACTGTTTGTGGTCTAAGGACCCTTCCATCTCTGTTATTCTGACTCTACCATCTGGGTCTTTACTGCTCTGTGGGACAGTGCAAAGAGCATGGGTCTGAAATGAGGGGAGTTGATTATAGCTCTAGCCACATCTAGCAGTTCTGTGACCTTGGGCAAGTTGTTTACACTCTCTGAGCCCTGTTTTCTAATTTGTAAAAGGGGAGTCCTTACATAGACTCTGACCATTTGCATTGTTGTGAGATCAAAAACATTGTAGCCTCCCTGAAGGCAAGACCTGAGTCCCTGTCATTGTCACACTGTGCTTAGAACAGGGCCTGGCCTGAAGCTGATCCTTCATGAATTTTTGTTCAGTTGAAGTGTGGTAGAATATTAAAGCTGTAAAAATGGAAGGAACTATAACCCAATCAATTACGTCTCTAGAGATGTGGTTTTCAGTCTTTATGGAGCACAGTGCTGCTCTGAGAATCCTTTCAACATGCAGATTCGTGGGCTCCGCTTCAGGGAGCTGATCCAGGATGCCTGGGGTAGGACCCAGATATCCCCAATTTCAGCAGGCTTTCCTGGGAATTCTGTTGAAGGTAATCCAGAAACCACGGTGTGGCAAACAGGGCTGCAGAGTTGGGAGGCCCAGAATGGAAGTTAAAATAAATGGAGAGGCCTCAATTTGTTGCTAGTTGTCCACCAGGAGTTGTATAGAGTGGCATTTTGGAGTTCCCAGAGCCTCTGGACCAGTGAGGGAGTCACCAGGAAGGATGACTGTGCCTGCCCCTCTACTCCTCATTGGCTGCTTCTCTGAGATTTCGGTCCTCAGCGACTGATGCTCTTAGGTTTCTGTGCTCTGACCCTTGTGGCCCACACAGCAAGCAACCAGGTTAGTGGCACTTCCCCTTTCATCCCAAGTAAAATAGGAGTGTTGGGGTGTAGGCTGCCAATGCTGTTCATCCTTAACTATCCTGTGTGGCTCGTGTGCAGCTCTCCCCAACTCCATCCACAAGCTGGAGACAGAGATTTTTTAGGAAGGGCAGCTAGGAGGTCACTGGCCTGGGCTCAGCCAGGGTACTCCAGCTCAGGTGGAGAGTGTGTGTGTGTGAGAGAGAGACACACACAGAGAGAGACGGAGAGAGACAGAGAGTGCTTTCTGGTGATTTTGGCTGTCTACATGGTTCACAAAACGACTGAGTAGAAAGCGAAAAACAAATGTAATGTTTGGGATTTTTTTCCTGCATGTTGATAAACATGGAGATCTTTGCAAACACCCATGTAATAGATGGAAATGGAAATGTTTCATCTTTATGTTTCAGTATGTGATAATGCATCTTGCATATGTAGACAATTGGTAAAAAAAAAACACTCTTTCACAGTGCGAGACTCTGTCTCAAAAAATAAAACACTCTTAATGATGTTATTTTGCTTTACATTCATAATCATTATTGTCATTTTCATCCTCATTACTCAACTTAATTTCATGAATTACTGAGAGAGATTTGGATTTTTGAATTCCCATTAAATATTAAAAATAAATCCAAATTTAAAAAATTTTTCCTCCTTTTCTTTTCCTTTTTTCCCAGGACCTTTCTTCCACAGCCAAGTTCTGTTAACCTCATGGGCTTCTTATGTGATTAAATGAGTTAATATGTGAACTCTGCTTACAATAGTGCCATAATGATGTCCATCCTTCTTTGTTACTACTACTACATGCACAAACCTGTTAACATAAATCCAACTGTAGCAAGCCCCTGAATTATCCCAAACTAATGGGGGAATTATCTGTTCTACAGACATTAAATTCTCAGCCAACTGAACTCTTTTACTTTAAGAGAGGAGACTTGTGCACTTTAGCCACGTGGGATGGAGGCCATGCTGGACTCTGCTGTCTTCAGAAACAGGGCTTGATGGGCACAGCCTAATTTTTCTTTGGTTTTGTGGGGGTCAGAATTTAGAACACCAGCTGGTGGTTGTCAGACCACTGCATGGCCCAGAGCCAGTGCTTCTTGAGTTCTTTTTCTCCGTGTTATTTATGGTGCACCCTTCCCATTCAGAGACTCAATCATTTCCACTTCAGAGAATCTTCTGTACTCTTCCTTCTAAGTCGCTGTACCAAATCCATCACGCCCTAGGGACAAGCAAGACACTGTTAAACTTGTAGGAAAAACAACAGTCAGTATATCCTGGGCCAGAGGGCTGTTTTTCTTTAATCCTAGGCTGTTAATGATGTTCTGGAAAGTGAAGATTGCCATGCAAATACCTTTCAGAGAAATGAACTGTTACCTGGACATTGCATTTTAGTGGGACATGGAAGCCTCTCCTATGCTCAGCCATCCCTGGTTCAGTACCCAGCTGGGTGGGACACTCTAGCTGGCCTCCTTTCTTGGAGTCCCTGCTGCCCTAGCTTGTGCAGCATGTCTCACAAGTGAAACCAGATGGCCAGGGTGGGCAGTGAGGGAGACCCAAAAAAAAGATCCAAAGAAAACTGAGCTCCTGGTCCCACCCACTGCCCCAAAGTGCTTCTGAATCGGTTCATCCATGAACAAACTCTAGAATTCCTTTTATCTCCCAATCACCAAGAATTCGATCCTTTATTTAGTCCTGAAACTCGGAAACTAATCTTTTATTTATCTCTGCTGTAATCCCACTTCAGGCTGTGTGTGGAATACACCACTTGGGAACAAACCTCTAGGATTTCAGAAGGACCCTCAGTCAGGAAAGCATAAGGGCTTACAAGAGAAAGTAAAACCAGGCCCAGGATGTTTTGGTTCCATGTGTGAATTGGAGAAGAATGCAGCTCATTTGGGCTTGTGTGATGGGGAACGAGCCACAGGCAAGCTCCCTAATCACAAAACCACAGGAGAGGGCAGGAAAATGGGGCTGGCATGATGTTAGGCAAGGCAAGCTGGTTGAAACAATTTCCCAGGCTCCCTTGAATGCTAGCTTGGCCCTCAAGCCAGGGCAAAGGATCGTTGACAAAGAATCATTGCTGCTTGGAGTGTGCTGAGCAGCTTCAGATGGCCATCCTTCTGCCGGTTTTGCCCTCCCACCACCGTGGATCATGGCCAATGTGGCAGGCATGTGCTAGCCAAATGCACCCTGGCCACCTCTCCCCATGTGCCCATCCTCAGCAGACTGACTTCCACTTGGGCCCTGAAAGGAGCACCTTGCCTCTGGAGGTCTTCCAGACCACCATCTCTGCTCTCTTTCATTCATTCATTCTTGTATTCAACTAGTATTTCCTGAGTGTCTACTAGGCCCAGGGACCAGGGCTGGGAAAGGGCTATTCAGTGCCGAGCAGGCTATCACAGAGCTCATAGAACCTACGGGGAAAGAAATCAGATGCCAAATAAAGTCATTCAACTAAAATTAGATGGAAGGAGGGGAGGAGCCACATCAGGGTTTTGGGATTTTGGGATAGGGGAACAAACCTTGTGCCAGCAGTCAGAGGCAAGCAAGCTGACCTTAGAAGGATAAGTAGGCATTAGCAGGGTGCAGAGTTGCAGGGCAGGGAGTCTTCCCAGACTCCTTCACTCTGTTTGGCTTTTTGGCTTCTCCATGTTTCCCTCCAATCCTTAGCTTCTGACTCAGGCCTCAGGGCACTTGGCATGCATTCAGGACTCGACTTCTAGAACCTGTCTCTGGGCCCCAGCCCCTGGCACCACTTCCAGAACCAGCCAGCTGGTCTGGCCCTCCCAAACCCCCTCCTGGGGAGGTGGCTTCCCTGTCTCTGTCCTTCTTTCACCAACTCACTCCCATGTGTACCCATACATCATTGATTCACACACCATGTCAGCCCAATTCTATGGAGCTTTCCTGGCACCTGCCAGCCTCACAGGGGCTGCAGCTCGCTTTGTTCATACATGCTCGCCCTCAAAAGTTAGCTCCTTCATTAATGTTCCCTCAATCTGGGCCAGGCACTGCTCTGGACACTGGCGGAGTGGTAAAGGTGAGCCTGAAAGAGGACCAAGACAGCGGGGTCAGGGAAGGCTTCCTGGAAGGGGTGACTCCTGGGAGAGTCCTCAGGCTGAGGATGAGTTAGCCAGGTGCATTGCCCTTCTGTTCACTTCTACTTCTCATACCCTTTCCCATGCCTCTCTACCCTCTATGCCAGCCTGTCCCATTTCTGGGCTTCAGCTTCAAGAGATAGCGCTGAGAGGGCCCTTGGAAGTCTTCCAGTCTGACCTGCCCATCTGACAGATGGGGATAATGAGGTCCCAGGAGGAGAAGGGATTTGCCCAGAGTGAAGCAGCTAAAGGAAGCACGATGGCTAGTTACTTCTATTGTTCCAGGGTCTGTGTGCCTAAGACTTACTTCTTCTCCAGCCAGAAAGCCTTCCTTGGAAGCTGACATCAGTTCTCTCCTCCGTGTGGCCCCCGGCACCCTCCTGACCACTCTTCCTCTCCCTGCCCTTTCACTTGGCATTGCCTCATGGTCTCCAGGGAGGGTTTTGCAGGGAGTCATAATGCCTTTCTGCCCTTGGGCAAGGGAGCCTGGAAGGGACATATATTAGGATACTCAGGGGACTCTCTCTAGGGAGAGTCCCTTTGGGCTCTGTCTCTTAGGGCCTCACTAGAGACAGTGTCTTAGTCCATTCAGGCTACTATAACCTAACACCTGAGACCAGGTGGCTTATAAACAACAGAAATGTATTTCTCACAGTTTTGAATGCTGGGAAGTCTGAGTGTGTTTCCTGCTTCATAGCTGATGCATTCTTGCTGTGTCCTCACAGGGTGGAAGGGGCCAGGGAAGCTCTCTGGAGCCTCATTTATTAAATTAAATTAAATTAATTTATTTGAGATGGAGTCTTGCACTGTCGCCCAGGCTGGAGTGCAGTGGCACGATCTCGGCTCACTGCAAGCTCTGCCTCCCAGGTTCACGCCATTCTCCTGCCTCAGCCTCCCGAGTAGCTGGGACTACAGGCACCTGCCACCATGTCCAGCTAATTTTTTGTATTTTTAGTAGAGACGGGGTTTTGTGTTAGCCAGGATGGTCTCGATCTCCTGACCTTGTGATCCACCCACCTTGGCCTCCCAAATTGCTGGGATTACAGGCGCCCAGTCTGGGAGCCTCATTTATGAGGGCAGTAATCCTATTCAAGAGAGTTGTCCTTGGGATTTTAATATATGAATTTTGGGGGGCACACAAATATTCAGACCATAGCAGACAGTGTAGCTTCGCTGTTAAGAGCTGTGAGACATGCACCCCATTTTAATATCCTGTGAACCTCAGTTTTATCATCTGCACAATGAGGATAAGAATAGGGCTAGCAGCAGCTTGAATGAAATCATGTTTGAGAAGTGCCTGCTGCACAGCAGGTGCCCACCATTAAATGCTGTTATTGCAGTTCTCTGTTCAGCCCTTGCCCATATAGTCATGGCCAGAGGCTGGGGAGGTATGAAAATTTCTGGAATGCTGCATCAAGAGGCCTAGGGTAGGGGGCATAATATGCTGATGGGCCAGGCCTCTAGGGAAATAGAGTTTGATGGATAGGTTGGTAGAGGATAGAGCGGAGTGCCACAGGTTAATAAATGATAATCTTCTGGAATCTTTGCCAATTTGACAGGAAAAGGAAGAAAAATGCCAGTAAATGTCTGAAGACCCTTCCTTCCCCCAACTTTTTTTTTTTTTTCTGAGACAGAGTCTCGCTCTGTCACCCAGGCTGGAGTGCAGTGGCGTGATTTCGGCTCACTGCAACCTCTGCCTCCCAGGTTCAAGCAATTCTCCTGTCTCAGCCTCCCAAGTAGGTGGGGTTACAGGCGTGCACCACCACGCTCGGCTAATTTTTGTATTTTTAGTAGGGACAGGGTTTCACCATGTTGGCCAGGCGGTCTTAAACTCCTGACCTCAGATGATCCACCCTCCTCGGCCTCCCAAAGTGCTGGGATTACAGGCGGGAGCTACCGCTCCCGGCCTGAAGACCCCTTCTAATAAGCATGACATGTACAGATGGTTTTGTTATTCAGTCCTGTCTGTTTGTGGACAGGACATCTGTGTCCATGAAGGCTTAGCTTGCAGGGCTTTGAGCCTGTGATGGCAGCAGAGTCTAGGTCTCAGTCTGATGAATGGATTTAAAAGGAATCCAGCTCAGAAGAGAGTTCCTGTTAGAGCCAGGACTCTGTATGAACAAGGAGAAAAATGATTCTCTGGCTGGATGTTTCTGGGCACACATACCAGCTAATGAACCTGCTCAGAGAAGCATGCTCCCATATACTATCCCACTACAGCAGGGAAAACTAAAGCACAGAGACCTTGATTGACACCCAGTCTCTTAGCAGAGCATCTTGGACAAGAATCTGAGTTTGTGAACTCATGTTTTCTCCCTTTCTTTTTTTTTTTTGAAGTAAAAATTATTTTTATTTGCATTCAAAATTGTGCATTGATATAGACCCACATTTGCATTTTAAACTAGACAATAGTGCTTTCCTGCCCTAATCTTGAAGGTTTCACTTAAATTTGTAATCTGTTTTAAGTGAAGTAATATTTTCTCATAGTAGTTTTACCCTGAGAAATTTTTCCTATTTCAGAACACATTTTGAACTGTGTTATGTTTTGTCTTTAGTGTTCATACCTTTCTTCTTCCAGGACCAGATCCTGTGATTCCGTATCTATAACCTATTCCTTAGCTCCTTTCTTCCTACTTTTTCTCCCTCTCTTTTTGTTTATGGTAAATAATTTGATTTTTATTCTAAAACCACTGAGAAGGCATGATTGTAAGTAGGAAAGTGAGATGATCTGATTTTTTTTTTTCAGATGGAGTCTCGCTCTGTTGCCCAGGCTGGAGTGCAGTGGCGCGATCTTGGCTCACTGCAAGCTCCGCCCCCTGGGTTCACGCCATTCTCCTGCCGCAGCCTCCCGAGTAGCTGGGACTACAGCTCGGCCTCCCAAAGTGCTGGGATTACAAGCGTTAGCCACTGCGCCTGGCTGAGATGATCTGATTTATATTAAAAAAATTAGATTTATTGAGATATAATTAATATACCACAAATTTACCTTTTAAAAGTATACAATTCAGTGATTTTTTAGTTTATTCACAGAGTTGTGTAACCATTACCACCATCTAATTCCAGAATATTTTTATCACCTCAAAAGGAAACCCATAAACATTAGCAGCCACTCCCCATTCCTCCTTTCCCCCAGCTCCTGGCAATCAGAATCTGCTTTCTGTCTCTCTGGATTTGTGTATTCTAGACATTTCATATAAATGTAATCCATTATATGTGGCCTTTTGTCTGGCTTCTTTCACACAGCATAACATTTTTAAGGTTTGTTCATGCTGCAGCATGTATCACTGCTTCACTCCTTTTTACTGCTTAATAATATTCTATTGTCTGGCTATATCACATTTTGTTTATCCATTCATCAGTTGATGGGCATTTGGGTTGTTTCCACTTTTTGGCTGTTATAAATATTTGTGTACTGGTTTTTATGTGGACTTACATTTTGACTTCTTTTGGGTATATACCTAGGAATGAAATTTTTGGGTCGTATGATAACTCTGTTTAACATTTTGAGGAACTTCCAAACTGTTTTCTAACGTGGCTGTACCATTTTACAACTCAACCAGCAATGTGTGAGAGTTACAATTTCTCTATATCCTAACCAAAACTTTTTATTCATTATCTTCTTAGTTTTAGCCATTCTAATGGGTGTGAAGTGGTATCTCGTTATGGTTTGCATTTCTCTAATAACTAAGGATGTTGAACATCTTGTCATGAGCTTATCAGTCATTTGTAGATCTTCTTTGGAGCAACGTCTATTCAAATTCTTTGCCCATTTTGACGTGGGCTGTTTGCTGGTCTCCTCTTTTCTGAAGTGTGTTAGTGGGTAATTATCTGATCTTGTGGGGCACAGGGCATTCCCTGCCTCTTTGTAGTCCAGGGATCACCACAGGGACAGGAACCAGCTTACCAGTTAGGTATTGTCCTCGGGGATTCTCTAACCCCAGATCAGTTTCAGAAACCCTGGGAGTGGTCCAGGGAAAACCAATGTGGAAGGCATTGACTGAGGCCATGGCTAAAAGCCAGGAGCTATTAGACTTGTTCCATAACCTCTATGAGTTGAAATCCAGTTAGTGATTCAGGTACAGAGGCTGTGTAATAACCAGGACAGAGGCAAGCCTTGGAACTCTGGGTGACGGGAAAGTTAGAAGGTACGTCCAGGATGATATCTCAATCCAGGCCTGGGATCCAAGTCCCTTTGGACAGCCAGGTTGGGCCCAGATGGAGCCACATCACCTTTGCTCAGGCTTCTCACCTGCCCTTGCATAGGACAGCTTTCTTCTACCCTACCACTCTGCCTCAGCTGGCATTCTGCCGCCAGGACTTTCCATCCTCTGGTGAGATCCTGGCCAACCTTGAGAGTTAAGATCCTCTTTGTTGTCCCCTCTGACTGCTCAGCTCATGAGGATTTCCCACCTCTGACCTTCTGCTTACTGACCTTCCCCAGTGACCTACCCTTGCCTTCTTAGTAGAGGGCCCTCGGGAGGGAGCAGACACCTAATCCTAGCCAGAACAGGCTCCTGCTTTTCATCATGAACCATGCACAGGTGCTTTTTCCTTCAGGCTGTTCCCCCTGGCCAGGGATGTTCCTCCCTTTCTCTCCTTCTTTCTAGCCCATCCTCATAAGTCCAACTCAGTTCCCCTCCCTGGCATTTCCTGACCTCTGCAGACCACTGTGACATCTATGGCTGAATTGTATCCCCCTCCTAAGTTTGTATGTTGAGCCCCTAACCCCCAATGTGATGGTATTTAGAGAGAGGGACTTTGCGAAATAATCAGGTTTAGATGAGGTCATGAGTGTAGGGCCATTATGATAGGATTCGTGCCCTCATAAGAAGAGATAGTAGAGAGCTTGCATGCTCTCTCTCCCAGCTACGTGAGGACATAGTGAAAGGGCAGCTGTCTACAAGCCAGAAAGAGTACCCTCATCAGAAACCAACCATGTTGGCACCTTGATCTCGAACTTTTTATAATGATTTTAGCCTCCTGAACTGTGAGAAAATAAATTTCTGTGGTTTAAGACATCCAGTATGGTATTGGACGACTAAGACAGTGACCTTTTCATCATCTTCCTGAGCTTCCACTGTATGCGTGGACAAATGCATGTGCATGTATGCATTCACACACACACAAACATAGACACATACACACACAGACACAAAAGCACACACATGCATATACACCTGGTTCTATTCTGTAGCACAATGTTCCCCAGATTCTAGTCTTCCCAGCCAGTACTACCTTCACCGATTTTTCATATCCAGGCATTATTTGTACTTACTGTATTTGTGTTTTTAAAATGTTTACTTGATACATTTTGTTCCATTGACTTTTTTCACATGCTGCCTCTTTCAACCTTATCCAAAGCAATAATATGTAGTGCAAAAAGGGATTTGATGTGATCAGTTTTCTGATAGACATTACAATACAAAAGCATTAGGTTTGTTCTTCTAAAAACCTAAAATCATCTTTGCCATTGCCACCAGTGGCATCAGTTCCACACGTTGGAAAGCACTGCTGCAGCGTTATTCTTTTGCCACTTCATGCCTTTCTATTAAGTTTATAGCCTCCTGGGTGTGATGGCGCACACCTGTAATCCCAGCACTTTGGGAGGCTGATGCAGGAGGATCACTTGGGGCCAGGAGTTCAAGACTAGCTTGGGCAATATAGTGAGATTCCATCTCTACAAAAATGAAAATAAAAACATAAAAATTAGCCAGGAGTGGTGGCATGTGCCTTCTTTTGAGAAATGACTATTCATGTCCTTTGCCCACTTTTTAATGAGATTGTTTTATTCTTACTGTTGAGTTGTTTGAATTCCTTTTATATTCTGGGTATTAGTTCCTTATTGGATAAATAGTTTGCAAATTTTTCTCCTATTCTATGGGTTGTCTCTTCAGTTTGTTGATTGTTCCCTTTGCTGTGCAGAAGCTTTTTAGTTTAATGTAGTCCCATAGGATCCAGCTGTTTTCTGAATGTGATGTGCCAGATGTTTCATGGCTAGATTGCTGGAGAGCTGCAGATTTCTCAGCTCTGCAGCAATCCAGCTCTTTAATGTTTCCTCATTAAAGAACCTCATGGTGAAACTGATATGCAGCAATTTTTTATCCCTTCCAGTGTTGCTGGATGAGTGAGATCAAAAGTTAAGAGAAGGACTTGGATGTCTAAGGCTGGGAAAAATTAGATCTGATAACAATTTGTAATGAGTAGGTCACATTTGTCACAATTAGAAAGGAAAATAAAGGTGCACACAACTATTGTTGGGTACTTTGCAGAAGATTCATGAACTCCATTTTATTGTTATAGGGAAGGAGATGCTGGGTTGTATCACCCTTACCTTGCTGAAGGAGTAAAGACTACTCAACCACAATTATTTTACCTTTAAAATGTTCTGACTAGCATCACTTCACAGTATCTACATTTATTGCATTTTAAAACAATGTATTCACAGAAATATAACTTCTGTGAAAGTGCAGGTAGAAAGTACACAGATCATAACTGTATTATTTCGTCTTATGGATCTCCTCAGACTCCCTCAGGCTCATCTGCCCCTAGATGCTTAAACTCTTTCTCTACCTTGCTGTCACTATGGCTATGGGTGACCAAAGTCATTCCATCCTGCATTGTTCCTTGAACTGAGGCCAACCAGACTCACATGTGGGCTGTTTGGATCCTCCTGTCACTTCCAGACTCAGATGAGACACCACATTAAAGTGGAGTCTGTCTTCCCAAGAGGCTGCCTAATGGACCAGATGATGCAGTTGAAAAGTGTGAGGAAATTAATTCTTCATGGGGTAAACTCAGACAAATGGGAGACAGGAAGGAGTTGACAGATACATTCCTTCTCCTTTCTCCCCTTGATGAATGGCTGCAAGGCATGCTTTTCTGTTTGCCTGTTGCTCCACTTCCTTGCCAATACTTGATGTTTCCAGTCTTTATAATTTTAGTCACTTTGGAGGTATGTAGTAATATCACCTTGTGTTATAATTTGCATTTTCCTGGTGAATAATGACATTGAGCATCTTTTCATATAGTTATTGGCCATTTAGATAAATTTCTTTGTTAAGTTGCTGTTGTCAAGTCACTTGACCATTTTTTCTATCGGGTTTCTATCTTTTTCTTATTGTTTTGTGGTTCTTAATATATTCTTGAGACTAGCCCTTTGTCAGTGTAAGTTGCAAATATCTTCTTGCACTTGTCTCTCTCCCCCTCTCTCTCTGTGAGAGAGTCTCCCTCTGTCCCCTAGGGTGGAGTGCAGTGGTGCAATCACAGTTCACTGCAGTCTCAACCTCCCAGGTTCAAACGATCCTTCTACCTCCTGAGTAGCTGGGACTACAGGTGTGTGCCACCATGCCCAGCTAATGTTTAAAGTTTTTTTTTTTTTTTTTTTTTTTTTGTAGAGATGGAGTCTTACTCAGTTGCCCCACTGGTCTCAAACTCCTGGGCTCAAGTGATCCTCCCGCCTTGGCCTCCCAAAGTTCTGGGATTACAGGTGTGAGCCACAATGCCCGGCTTCACTCTCTTATTAAGTGTCCTCTGATGAAAAGAAATCTTAGTTTTAATGTAGTCCAATATATTAACATTTTCCTTTATTTTAGTGCTCTTTTTGGATGTGTCTTGTTTAATAAAATTTTCCTATCCTAGAGTCATGATGATAGTTTCCTGTGTTGTTTTCTAGAGGCTTTATTTTTATACCTTTCACATTTAGATCTACAATTCATCTGAAATTAATTTTTGTGTGGCTTAAGTATAGGGTCAGGATAGATTTTTTCATTTCCCATTTGGATAACACCGACTCAGCAGTTTATTGACTAGACCCTCCTTTCTCCCACTGAATTGCAGTAGTGTTTTCATCATAAATCAGGTGATTGCACATATGTATGTCTGATTATGGACTTCTTATTCTATTCCATTGATCTGTTTGTCAGTTCTTAGGTAAATCAAATAATTCCTTAATTTCTGAAGCATTATAATGAAACTTGAAATCCAGTAAGGTAAATCTTTCAGCTTTATTCTTTTTATTTTGTCCCCTCCTTCCTCTTCAGCTTTATTCTTACTCAAAAGTACCTTGGCAATACTTTTTCTTCTTTTTAAATCAATTTTGGGATATAATTTACATAAAACAAAATGTGTATTTTAATTATACAGTTTGATAAATTTTGACAAATGTACACACACACGGATATCCCATTCCAAGCAGGACATAGGCTATTTCTATTACCCCAAAAAGTAATTCCAATTAATCCCTCCCACCTGCTGAATATAGGCAACTACTGATTTACATTCTGTCATGATAGATGACTTTTACCTGTCCTAGAATTTCATATAAATGGAATAATGTAAATGTGTAGTCTTTTGTGCCTGGCTTCTTTCACTCAGAATAATGTTTGTGAGGTTCATCCATGCTATTGCATGTATCAGTAGTTCATTTCTTTTTATTGCACAGCAGCATCCCATTCTATAAGCGTATCACAATTTGTTTACCCATTTACCTCTTGATGGGCCTTTGGGTTGATGCCAGTTTTAGGTTATTATGGATACTGCTGCGATGAATATTTATGCTCACATACTGTGGAGGTGTGTTTCATTCTGTTGGGTAAATACCTAGTCAGGAGCTGCTGGAGGTGCAACAGTATGTTATTGTGTTCTTAATTTTGCATTTCTTTGATGACTGATGATGTTTAGCATCCTTTCATGTGCTTACTGACCATTTGAATATCTTCTTTGTTCACCTTTTCTGCTTCTTATTTTTATCAGTTTGTCTTTTCATTAATAAGTTGCAAGAGTTTTAAAAATATATATTCTATATACATGTCGTTTGTCAGACACATGTATTGCAAATATTTTCCTCCTAGTCTGTGTATTGCCTTTTAATTTTTTAATGGTGTCTAACAGCAGAAATTTTAAATTTTGATTGTCTAATTCATCAGTTTTTTTCCTTCTATTCATTTTTGATAGTCCTTGCTTTTTGTGTATTAATCTAAGAAGTTTATGCCTATTCTGAGGTCATGAAGATTTTATCTAGAAATTTTATTCTAGAAGTTTCATAGTCTTAGATTTTATGTTTAGGGCTATGATTTATTTTTAGTAAATTTTTTTTGTATGGTATAAAGTGAGGATCATGGTTAATTTTTTTCCCATGTAGATATCCACTGTTCTAGCACCATTTGTTGAGAAGACTATCTTTTCCCCTAAAAATTACCTTAGTACCCTTAAAAAAAAATCCTCTGATTGTGTATATATCTGCGTCTATTTCTTGACTCTTTTTTTCTGTTCCACTGATTTTCTATGTCTGCCTCTACACCAATAACTATGTTTGCTTACTATAGCTCTATAATAAATCTTGAAATTGGATACTGTAAGTACTCCAGCTATGTTCTTTTTCAAATTATTTTTGGATATACTAGGTACCCTGCAATTTATATAAATTTTAGAATCATCTGGGTAATGTATATTAAAACTTACTGGGATTTTGACTTGTACTGTGCTGAGTGTGTAGATCAGTCTGACATGATAGAGAATTGACATCTTAAGGATATTGTTATTCAATCCACAGACATAATAAATCTCTCAATTTATTTAAGACTTTAAAAATTTGTCTCAGCAGTGTTTTGTAGTTTTCAATGAACAGGTTTGCATATGTTGTGTTAAATTTATTTCTAAGTATTTAATATTTTTGATACTATTTGGATGTTAGTTTTCAATTTTGGTATCCAATTGTTCATTGCTAGTGTAAAAGTACAGTTGATTTTTGAATACTGACCTTCTAACCTGAAATCTTGCTAAACTTACTTATTATATCTAGAAGTTTTTCTGTTGATTCATTAGGATTTCCTACATATTTGATCATGTCATCTGTGAAGAAGACAGTTTTCTTCCTCCCTCCCAATCTGTATGGCTTTTACATGTATTTCTTTTTCTTGCTTTATTGCCCTTGCTAGGACCTCTAGTATAATGCTGAATAAAATTGTTGAGAACTTCATTTGCCTTGTTCCCAATCTCAGGGGGAAAACACCCAGTCTATCATTCATTATGAGCCTATCTGCAGGTTTTTCATAGATGACCTTTATCAGGCTGAGGAAGTTCCCCTGTATTCCTAGTTTCCTTAGAGTTTTAAAAATCACAAATGGATATTGAATTTTGTTAATTTTTTTTTTCTGAATCTGTTGTGGAAATCATATGGTCTGTTTGTCTATTGATATAGTAAATTCTATGTATTAAGTTTTAAATGATAAGCCATGCCTGCATTGCTCAGATAAATGCCAATTGGTTGTGAAAAATTATCTTTTTTCTTTTAAATTTAATAGTAATTGATCTTTCTGTTATTAATTTCAAGTTTAATTTTGTCAGAGAACATACTTTGATTGGTTTTAATTTCTTTAAAGTTATTGAGACTTGTCTTATGCCTGGAATATGGTCTATCTTCGTGAATGTTGCAGGTGCATTTGAAAATATAGTGTTTTCTGCCCCTGGGTGCAGTTATCTATAAATGCCAAACAGGTCACGTTGATTGATAATGTTTTTCTACTTTTCTAAATTCTTACTGTTTTTCTACTTGTTTAATCCATAACTGAGAGAGGAATGTTGAAATCGTCAGCTCCATGGATTTTTCTACTTCTTTCAGTTGTATCAGTTTTTGTGACTCATCTACTTCAAGCTGTGTTATTAGTTGCATACTCAATTTAGGATTATGTCTTCTTAATGAATTAAGTCATATGAAAGCTTCCTCTTTAATCTTGGTGATAGTTCTTGTTCTAAAGTCTATTTTGTCTGATGTTACTATAACTACTTAAAAAATAAAATTTCAAATTAAACTATGAATTATGAGTGCATGAATCATAAGTGTATATCATGATAAATTATCACAAAGTGAACACACACGTCTGGTGAACACCCAGATCGATATAAAACATTGCTAGCATTTTCCTGATGATTAAAGAGGCTGAATATATGTTTGTAATTTATATAGTTTCTTTTTTCCAATTTTTTGAGACAACTATAGATTTACATGCAGCTGTAAGAAACAATACAAAGAGCTCTTGTAAGCTTTTCATCCAATTTTCATCAATAGTAAAATTTTGCATAACTCTAGCACAATATACTAACTCGGGAGTTGACATTGATAACTTACCTGTTTTATTTAAATTTCACTAGTTTTTCATGCACTCGTGTGTGTGTATGTGTGTGCACACATTTAGTTCTGTGTAGTTCTTTTATGTGTAGAATCGTCTGATCGCCATTGCAGTAAAGATACAGGACAGCTCCATCACAAGTACCGTTTGTGATACCCAGCTCTCTCCTCTCCATTGTGCCCAAGAGTGGAAGTAGAAAACCACTACTCTATCCTTCTCGCTACAATTTTGTCATTTCGAAAATGTTATACAAATGGAATTATATAGTATGTAACTTTTTCAGATTTTGCCTCTTACTTGGACTTTGTGAACAATCTACACTTAATATAATTGTTGATTTGATTTTAAACCTATCATATTGGTATTTATTTTATTTTTTCCCATCAGTTCTTTGTTCCTTTTCTCCTCTTTTTCTGCCTTTATTTGAATAGTTGTGTAATTTTTAGAATTTCATTTTTATCTTCTGTTGACTTATTAGCTACAGCTCTGCTTTAGTTTTTGGTGATTGCTTTAGACGTTACAATATGCACCTTTAACTTATCAGTCTTCCCTCAAATAGTATTGTACTAGCTTACACCAGCACACTTCCATTTTACCTCATGTTCTTCGAGTTATTGTTGTCATAGTTTACTTCTATGTATGTTACAGTCTTTAGAATATGCTCTGGCTATTTTTGCTATATAAAGTCATTTATCTTTTAAAGAAATTAAAAGTGAGAAAAATATCTTTTTATGCTTATCCATAATTTACCTTTTCTGGTCTTCAATTCTTTGTGTAGATCTAGGTTTCCATATGGTATCATTTTCCTTTCAACTGAATAATTTGCATTAGTATTCTTTATAGTGCACATTGACTTACGAAAAATACTCTTGCCTTTTCTTTTCTTGGAAAAGTTTATTTTGCCTTCATGTAGGATATTTTTACTGTATTTAGAAATACAGTTTGACAGTTTTTATTTCTTTCAGCACTTGAAAGATGTCATTACATTGTTTGTATTGTTACTGATAAGAAAACTGTTACATTTAAACTGTTATATTTCTTATCTCTTTCTTTCTTTCTATTTAATGTGTCTTTCTTTTCCTCTGGGTACTTTTTTTTTTTTTTGAGATGGAATTTCACTCTTATTGCCCAGGCTGGAGTGCAATGGCACGATCTCGGCTCACTGCAACCTCCGCCTCCCGGGTTCAAGCGATTCTCCTGACTCAGCCTCCCAAGTAGCTGGGATTACAGGCATGCACTGCCACACCCGGCTTATTTTGTATTTTTAGTAGAGACAAAGTTTCTCCATGTTGGTCAGGCTGTTGGTCAGGCTGGTCTCAAACTCCCGACCTCAGGTGATCCGCCTGCCTGGGCCTCCCAAAGTGCTGGGATTACAGGCGTGAGCCACCGTGCCTGGCCTCCTTTGGGTACTTTTATTTATTTATTTATTTAATTTTTTTTGAGACGGAGTCTTGCTCTGTTGCCCAGGCTGGAGTGCAGTGGCTCGATCTCGGCTCACTGCAAGCTCCGCCTCCCAGGTTCACGCCATTCTCCTGCCTCAGCCTCCTGAGTGGCTGGGACTACAGGCGTCCGCCACCACGCCTGGCTAATTTTTTTGTATTTTTAGTAGAGACGTGGTTTCACCGTGTTAGCCAGGATGGTCTCGATCTCCTGACCTCGTGATCCACCCGCCTCAGCCTCCCAAGTGCTGGGATTACAGGCTTGAGCCACCGCGCCTGGCCGTCTCCTCTGGGTACTTTTAAAGATTTCATCTTTATCACTGGTTTTCAGTAAATTGGCTATCTGCTTTGATATGTGTGTGTGTGTCTGTGTGTGTGTGTGTGTGTGTGTGTCTGTCTGTCTGTGTTTGTGTCTATGCATGATTACCCTCTTGAGGTTTACTGAACTTCTTATATCTGGAGGTTTATAGCTTTCACTGAACTTCAAAATCGCCCCTGCCTCCCATTCTTTCCCTCCTGAGATTATAATTACATGTATGGTAGATTGCTTGATATTATTGAAAAAGCTACTTATTTATTCACCTGTGTGCTTTAGTTTTGATAGATTTGATTTGAAGTCTTACATTCTCTTAGTTTTTTTCTTCTGCAGTATTTAATACCATCCAATAAAGTTTTCATTTCATATATTATATTTTTTATCTCTAGAAGTTCCATTAGGTTCTTTTTTTATATCTTTAATTCTGTCCTTATTATGCTTAGGTTGTCTTTAAAATCCTGGGACATACTGAGCATCTTTATAATAGCTGTTAGTGTTCTTGCCTGCTAGTTTTATCATTTCTGTTAATCTACACCACTTTCTATCAACTATTTTTTGTTTTATTTTTGACAAATAATAATTGTATATATTTATGGGGGTACAACATGATGTTTTAATATATGTTTACACTGTAGGATTAAATCAAGCTAATTAACAAATTCATCACCTCACATACTTATTTTTTTTGTGGTGAAAACATTAAAAACCTACTCTTTCAGCAATTTTGAAAAATACATTGCATTTTTATTTATTATAGTCACCTTTCTGTGCAATTGATCACTAAAGCTTATTCCTCTTGTCTAACTGAAACTTTGTACCCTTTGATCAACATCTTTCTTTTTGCCATCCACCCTCCTCCTCCAGCCTCTGGTAATCATTGTTCTACTCTACTTCTACGAGTTCAACTGTTCTAGATTCTGCACGTAAGTGGAATCTTATGGTATTTGTCCTTCTGGGCCTGGCTTATTTCACTTATCACAATGTCCTTCAGGTTCTTAATGTCACAAATGACAGAATCTCCTTCTTCTTTAAGGCTGAATAGTATTCCATTGTGTATATATACCACATTTTCTTTATCCATTTATATGATGATAAACACATAGGTTGGCTCCATATCTTAGCTACTCATAATAATGCTACAGTGAACATGGGAGTGCAGATACAAAACTGTTTATACACAAGCAGAGGAATGAAATTGGATCCTTATTTCACACCACATAAAAAAATTAACTTGGCTGGGCATGGTGTCTCATGCCTGTAATCCCAGCACTTTGGGAGGCTGAGGTGAGTGGATTGCTTGAGCTCAGGAGTTCAAGACCAGCCTGGGCAACAGAGTGAAACCTTGTCTCTACAAAAAATATGAAAATTAGCTGGGCATGGTGGCTTGCATCTGTAATCTCAGCTACTTGGGAGGCTGAGGTGGTAGGATTGCTTGACCCCAGGAGGCAGAGGTTGCAGTGAGCTGAGATTGCATCACTGCACCCCAGCCTGGGTGACAGAGTGAGACTCCATCTCAAAAAAAAAAAAAAAAAAAAAAAAAAAGATTGGGAAGTAAATTTGGCATAGAAAATATGATTAGATTTTTTAATAAAAGAAAAAAATCAACTCAAAATAGGTTAAAGACTTAAATATAAGACCCCAGATTGTAAAACGGCTAGAAGAAAACAGGGGGGGAAGCTCCATGACATTGGTGTAGGCAAAGATTTCTTGGATATGACCGCCAAAGCACAGGCAAGAAAAGCAAAAATAAACAAATGGGATTGAATCAAACTAAAAAGCTTCTGCACAGCAAAGGAAACAAGAGAATGAGGAGACAACCCACAGATTAGGAGAAAAGATGTGCAAACCACACATCTGATAAAGGGCTAATATAAAAAAAATAAAGAACTTTATCAACTATTTTTACTCCTGTTTATGGGTCACATTTTGCTGCACATTCATATATTTAATAATCTTTAATTTGATGCTAGTCATTGTGATGGTTGTATTTTTGAGTGTCTTGATTTTATTGCCTTCTTTTAAAGAGTTTTCTTACTCAATTTTGAAAGTGTTATTCTGGACACACAAGTCCTTTATTAGATATTTGCGTTGTGAATATATGTTTTTTTTCCATCTGTGGCTTATCTTTTCATTTTAACAGTGTCTTTGGAGAACAAAAGTTCTTCATTTGGATGAGGCCCGTCATCACATTATTTCTTTAAGGATTGTGCTTTCGGTGTCATATTTAAGAAATCTGAGGCTAGGTGCTGTGGCTCATGCCTGTAATCCCAGCATTTTGGAAGGCAGGAGGATCACTTGAGCCCAGGAGTTCAAGACAAGCCTGGGCAACCGAGCAAGACTCCTTCTCCACAAAAAATTAAAAAAATTATTTGGGTATCGTGGTTTGTGCCTGTAGTCCCTGCCACTTGGGAGGCTTAGGTGAGAGGACTGCTTAAGCCTAGGAGTTCAAAGCTGTTGTGAGCTATGATTGTGCCATTACACTCCAACCTGGGTGATAGAGAGAGACCTGGTATCTAAAAAAAACCCCCCAAAACAAAAAAGAAATAAAAATAAATCTGAGGCCAGGTGCGGTAGCTCACTCCTGTAATTCCAGCACTTTTGGAGGCTGTGTCAGGAGGACTGCTTGAGGCCAGGAGTTTGAAACCAGCCTGGGCAACATAGTGAGACTCCATCTCTAAAAAAAAAATTTTTTTTAAATTTAGGTGGGTGTGGGAGTGCGCACCTGTAGTCCCAGTTACTTGGGAGGCTGAGGCAAAGGATCTCTTGAGCCCACTCATTGTGCCACTGCACTCCATCCAGGGTGACAGAATGAGACCCTGTCTCCAATAAATAAACAAATAAAGAAATAAATAAAGAACAAATATCACAATCATATGATGGATACTGGAATCTTTAGAAGAAATTTACTACACATATTTATGTCATCTCGAAAATAAAGTTGAGAAAAAAACTGGAGAATATGAGGTAGTTATGTAAATTTAATTGTCCAGAAAACAACATAAACATTGCTTATTTATATCTATACATATATATATGTATATGTAGCTTTCATATATTGACTAGAATGATATCCATCAACTTTGTGTCATGATGTGAATCCCCTGGGAATGGGGGAGAAGAGTGGGGATCAAAGGATATGACAACATTATCTGTAATATTTCCTTTCCTTTATAGTTAAAAAGACATTAAGGAAATAATACTAAGAAATAACGACTGCCAATTCAGGGTGATGGACTCAAGAGCATGAAAAAAACTCTCAAAAATAAATTAGACCAAATGTCCATGCGGTGAAGGTGAGTGAGTACCCCTGAGAGGAAATCAAGATGAAGCCCACACTGCCCTGAAATTCAGGAATACCCATTGGTTAAAGTACATAGAATATGTCATTGTACAAGATGCTGCTGGAATGAAAGTGTCACAACTTCCTACTTTCCCTCATTAAATATTGCTTTCACTAATTTTTAAATTGTTTTTTCGTTTTCTTTTTTTTTTTTTTGAGATGGAGTCTCACTCTGTTGCCCAGGCTGGAGTGCAATGGCACGATCTCGGCTCATTGCAACCTCTGCCTCTCAGGTTCAAGCACTCCTCCTGCCTCATCCCTGCTAGTAGCTGGGATTACAGGCACACGCCACCATGCCCGGCTAATTTTCGTATTTTTAGTAGAGACGGAGTTTCGCCATGTTGGCCAGGCTAGTCTCGAACTCCTGACTGCAGGTGATCCACACGCCTCGGCCTCCCAAAGTGCTGGGATTACAGGCGTGAGCCATCGCGCCCGGCCCTTAAATTCTTATTTGCAGAAACACTTCCAAAAGGTCCAGTGCATTCATTACATTTGAATGTTGTTTGTTTACTATCTAATCTAATATGCATTTATCTTGATTGTCCAGGTCCAGGAAAAGGAGTTAAGGAGAGCAAGTGGAAAATAAAATCAGTGGTCAGAAGCACCTCAGAGGATGTTGGGAGAAATCGTATAGGTAAATTCCTAACTGCAAAAAGAAGGAAAGACAATGATCTGGATTGGAGAGAACGGATAGGTGTATGGAAGTGATAAAAAAAAAGGGGGGAATTTTAAAGAAAACTGAAGGGAGCTTTAAGCAAGAGTAGGGGTGAAACTGAGGATACAGTTGGCTGAAGGTGACAAAGGCAGAAGTAACAGCTCCTGCAGCAAAGGCAAGGGATCTGAAAATCCATGACTGGTTATGTGTGGTCTACTCTTCTTGGTAAAGGTGCTTACCAGAATCTGCTTTTCTTTTTTCATGTCCTTGCCTGCCACTTACCAAGGAATTCTGCCAAAAAACCAACCAGCCAGCCAGCCAACCAACCAACCCACCCAAACAACAGTAATCCAACTGCCCGCTGTCGATGAATGAAGATGCTGCATTTCCGGGCTGTGGCAAGTCCTCACAGTGAGTCTTGGAGGATCCACAAGAACCCGCAGCCGGTGGCAAGGGATTGTGGGAAGCAGTTCATTCCTGGAACAGTCGTCTGCGGGCCTTGCACGGAGGGCGTTTCGGGAGCGGCGGGTGCGCGTGGGGACCTGGACTCCCCACGCGCGGAGAGGGAGGTAGAGGTTGGAGAGGTGAGCTGGGGACAGGCTCCAGAAGGCGGAATTCCGGGTCGAAGAAGGGGCCTGGAGAGTGTCCCTCTGAACTGGGGTTGGGGGCCAGAGCACAGGGTTCTGGGATGGGGCCCTCCCGGTAGGGGCTGAACATACTTCTGGCGGAGGAGTAGAGCCCAGCGGCTGAGCCGGCTGCGGAGTCCATCTGGAGCTCCGGAAACTCGGGGTCCGCGTCCTCCTCGTAGGCCTCTTCCTGGGCGGCGATCTCTGGGACAGATGCGCAGAAGACTTCCTGCTCAACGACGACGTCCTCCCTGAGAGCGCCCAGGAAAACGTCCACTTCCAGCCCAGCAGACGAGTCGTCCTGCGCTCCTGAGCGTTCGTCGACAGAGCTCAGGAGGACCTCTGGGATCAGGATGAGGGTGTGTCCATCGAGAGACACTCGCAGGATCGACGTTGGCGGGAGCTCCAGCACCAGGTCGACGTCGTCCAGGGGCACACGCAGGGCACAGCCCGCGGCCAGGACCACTATGGAGGTGAGCGCGCCCACGGCCGGGGTACCCGCCGGGTCTTCCAGGCTGGGCGCCACGCGGGGTTCGGGGCCCGCGGGCTCCTCCAATCGGAGGCGCTTGGCAGGGCCGGGTCCTCCTGGCTGCTGTCCCCACCAGGGCGCAGGGAAGGCGCTGGGGCTGCGGGGCCGGCTGCCCATAGCCTCGACGGCGCTCTTGGGCCTAGCAGAGGACGTAGGGAGCGCGGGCAGCGAAGTCCTTTTTGAGGTAACAGGTGTCGGTGCTAGGCGAGGCGGGTTGGGGCGGAAGGGGCGAAGGACCGCGCGGCGCGGGGAGAGTCCTGGGAGCTCCAGGGGCGCCTCCCGGAGACCGCAGTCCGTGCTGCTGAGAGAGCCTCGCGCGATGGAATCTTGGGCCTTCCTGGCGCAGACCCGGATGCACGTCCGATGACTAATAACGTGGGACGTCAGGTGACCTCGGCGCACCAGGATGTGTCAATATAGGCCCCGCCTCCCGACAGTGCTCTGCGGTAGGCGTGGCCTAGAGATGATTGGATCAATTAGAACAAGAGCGAGGTGCGGAGGTGGGGAGGTGGGGAGGTGGAGGGGTGTCTTTGTGTCTGTAGGGGAAGGTTCCTTGGATGTGCTCGTGGGACCCAATGGCGGTAATTGCTTTTATCTTGGTTAAGAAAAGAAAAGCCAAAACACAATTTCAAAAACTGCTTGCTTACTTTTATAAGTAGCTTACGTCTCAATGTCTCTTCTAAGATTTTCCAGGAATATATGAAAAAGAGCTTTAACTCATACTCACTGCTCTTTCCCCACCCTTCCTACGTGGTTCTAAAAAGTTCTTTCATTTCTGATAGAAAGTAGAAATGAAAATTTTGCTTTGATAAGTAAACTTTAATTTTTGTGGGTACATAGTAGGTATATATATTTATGGGTTATATGAGATACTTTGATACAGGCCTGCAATACGTAGTAATCACATCATGGTAAATGGGGTATCCATCCTCTCAAGCATTTATCCTTTGTGTTACAAACAATCCAATTATACTCTTTTAGTTATTTTAAATTGTACAATTAAATTATTATTGACTATAGTCACCCGGTTCTGCTATCGGATACTAGATTTTAATTCATTTTTTCTATTTTTTTGTACCTATTAACCATTTCTATTTGCCCCCACCCTCACTACCCTTCCCAGCTTCTGGTAACCATCCTTCTACTCTCTCCATATGTTCAATTGTTTTAATTTTTAGCTGCCATAAATAAGTGAGAACACGAGAAGTTTGTTTTTTTGTGCCTGACTTATTCCACTTAACATAATGACCTCCAGTTCCATCCATGTTGTTGCTAATGACAGGATCTCATTCTTTTTTATGGCTGAATAGTACTCCATTGTGTATATGTACCACATTTTCTTTATCCATTCATCTGTTGATGGATAGTTTGGTTGCTTCCAAATCTTGGCTATTGTGAATAAAACTCCAATAAACATGGGAGCACAGATATGTCTTCAATATTCTGCTTTTCTTTCTTTTGATTATGTACGTGGCAGTGAGATTGCTGGATCATATGGTAGCTCTATTTTTAGATTTTTGCAGAACCTCCAAACTGTTCTCCGTAGTGGTTTTTACGAGTTTACATTCCCACCAACAGTGTACGAGGGTTCCCTTTACTCCAAATCCTTGCCAGCATTTGTTATTTCCTGTCTTTTGGATAAAAGCCATTTTAACTGGGGTAAGATATCTCACTGTAGTTTTGATTTGCATTTGTCTGATGATCAGTGATGTTGAGCACCTTTTCACATAGCTGCTTGCTATTTGTATGTCTTCTTTTGAGAAATATTTATTCAGTTATTTTGCCCATTTTTATATTGGATTATTAGATTTTTTTTCCTTTAGAGTTGTTTGAGCTTCTTATGTATTCTGGCTATGAATCCCTTGTCAGATGAGTAGTTTGCAGATAATTTCTTTCATTCTCTTCTGTTTGTTGATGTTTCCTTTGCTGTGTAGAAGCTTTTTAACTTGATGTGATCCCATTTGTCCACTTTTGCTTTAGTTACCTGTGCTTGTGGATTATTACTCAAGAAATCTTTACCCAGATCAAAGTCCTGGAGAGTTTCCCCAATGTTTTGTTATAGTAGTTTTATATTTTGAGGGTTTTTTTTTTTTTTTGACAGAGTTTTGCCCTTGTTGCCCAGGCTGGAGTGCAATGGCGCGATCTCGGCTCACTGCAACCTCCGCCTCAGGGGTTCAAGCGATTCTCCTGCCTCTGCCTCCTTAGTAGCTGGGATTACAGGTGTCAGCCACCATGCCTGGCTAATTTTTTTTTGTATTTTTAGTAGAGATGGGGTTTCACCATGTTGGCCAGGCTGACCTCGAACTCCTGACCTCAGGTGATCCACCCGCCTTGGCCTCCCAAATCCTCTGCTGGGATTACAAGCATGAGCCACTGCACCCGGCCATATTTTGAGGTCTTAAATTTAAATATTTAATTCATTTTTATTGATTTTTGTATATGGTGAGAGATGGGGTCTAGTTTCAGTCTTACGCATATGGATATCCAGTTTTCCCAGCTCCATCAATTGAAAATCAGGATATTGAAGAGATATCTGCTCTCCCATGTTTGTTGGAGTATTATTCACAATAGCCAAGATTTGGAAGCAACCTAAGTATCCGTCAACAGAGGAACGGATAGAGAAAGTGTGGTACATATACACAATGGAGTACTATTCAGCCATAAAAAGGAATTAGATCTTGTCATTAGCAGCACTGAGTAGAGATAGAATGTGTTGGCCAGGGGTGGTGGCTCACACCTGCAATCCTAGCATTTTGGGTGGTCAAGGTAGGCAGATTACTTGAACAATTTAAAAAATTATTATTAAAAAAGAGATATAATGTGTTTGCCATATTTTTCTGCTGTTCTATTTCATCTGTTGTGTTTTTTCTTTTTTTCTTTTTTTTTTTTTGAGATGCAGTCTCGCTCTTTTGCTCAGCCTGGAGTGCAGTGGTGCAGTGGTGTGATCTTGGCTCACTGCAACCTCTGGGTCCTGGGTTCAAGTGATTCTCATGCCTCAGCCTCCTGAGTAGTTGAGATTATAGGCGTGTGGGATTATAGCCATGCCTGGCTAATTTTTGTATTTTTAGTAGAAATGGGGTTTCACCATGTTGGCCAGGCTGGTCTTAAACTCCTGACCTCAAGTGATTTGCTCACCTCGGCCTCCAAAAGGGCTGGGATTACAGGTGTGAGCCACTGCTCCTCGCCCCCGTGTATGTTCTTAGCAGCTTTGTTGAAAATGAGTTCACTGTAGATGTATGGATTTGTTTCTGGGTTCTCTATTCTGTTCCATTGGTCTATGTGTCTGTTTTTATGCCAATACATGCTGTTTTGGTTGCCATAGCTTTGTAGTATAATTTGAAATCAGGTAATGTGATTCTTCCAGTTTTATTCTTTTTGCTCAGGTTAGCGTTGGCTTTCTGGGTCTTTTGTGGTTTCATAAAAATTTTAGGATTTTAAAAAAAATTTCTGTGAAGAATGCCATTGGCATTTTGATAGGCATTGAATTGAATCTGTAGATTGCTTTGGGTAGTATGGACATTTTTAACAATATTGAGTCTTCCAATTCATAAACATGGAGTATTTTTCCACTCTTTTGTGTCCTCTTCAATTTCTTTCATCAATGTTTTATAGTTTTCATTGTAGAGATGCTTCACTTCTTTGGTTCAGTTAATTCCTAAGTATTTAATTTTATTTGTGGCTATTGTAAATGGGATTACTTTTTTGATTTTTTCTTCAGATTGTTCATTGTTGGCATTTAGAAATGCTACTGATTTTTGTATGTTGATTTTATATCCTGCAACTTTACTGAATTTGTTTATCAGTAGTAATAGTTTTTGTGTGGGGTCTTTAGGTTTTTCCAAACATAAGATCATATAATCTGCAAACAAGGATAATTTGACTTTTTCTTTTCCAATGTGGATGCCTGTTATTTCTTTCTGTTGTCTGATTGCTCTAGCTAGGACTTCCAGTATTATGTTGAGTAACAGTGGTGAATGTGGGCATCCTCGTCTTGTTTCAGCTCTTAGAGAAAAGGCTTTCAGTTTTTCCCCATTCAGTATGATACTAGCTGTGGGTCTGTCACATATGGCTTTTATTGTGTTGAAGTGTGTTCCTTCTATACCCAGTTTTTGAGAAGTTTTTAATCATAAAGGAATGTTGACTTTTATTATATGCTTTTATAGCATGAATTGAAATGATATGGTTTTTATCTTTCATTCTGTTAGTATGATGTATCACATTGATTGATTTGCATATGTTGAACCATCCTTGCATCCCTGGGATAAATCCTAGTCGATCATGATGAATGATCTTTTAAATATAATGTTGAATTTGGTTTGCTAGTATTTTGTTGAGGATTTTTTGCATCAATATTCATCAGAGATATTGGCCTGTAGTTTTCTTTTTTTGAAGTGTCTTTGGCTTTGGTATCAGGTTAATACTGGCCTCATAGAATGCATTTGGCAGTATTCTCTCCTTCTGTATTCTTTGGAATAGTTTGAGTGTGACTGGTATTAGTTATTCCTTAAATGTTTGGTAAAATTCAGCTGTGAAGCCATTGGCTCTCAGACTTTTTTTTTTTTTTTTTTTTACTGGGAGACTGTTTATGATGGCTTCCCTGTCATTACTTGTTATTGGTCTGTTCAGGTTTTGGATTTCTTCATGGTTTCATCTTAGTAGGTTGTATGTACCTAGGAATTTATAATTTCCTCTGGATTTTCCAATTTATTGGTCTATAGTTGCTCATGATAGCCTCACTAATGGTCCTTTGAATTTCTGCAGTATCAGTTGTAATGTCTCCTTTTTCATCTTTGATTTTATTTATTTGGTTCTTCTCTTTTTCTTTTTTTGAGATGGAGTCTCACTCTGTCACCCAGGCTGGAGTGCAGTGGCACGATCTCGGCTCATTGCAACCTCCGCCTCCTGGGTTCAAGTGATTCTCCTGCTTCAGCCTCCTGGGTACTGCTGGGACTACAGGCGTGTGCCACCATGCCCGGCTAATTTCTTGTATTTTTAGTAGAGATGGGGTTTCACCGTGCTAGCCAGGATGGTCTCGATCTCCTGACCTCGTGATCCATCCATCTTGGCCTCCCAAAGTGCTGGGATTACAGGTGTGAGCCACTGTGCCAGCTGGTTCTTCTCATTCTTAGTTAGTCTGGCTAAAGGTTTATTAATTTCTTTTATCTTTTTTAAAAGCCAGCTTTTCATTTTGTTGATCTTTTGTATTTTTTTTTTCATTTCAATGTCATTTAGTTGTGTTCTGATTTTTATTTCCTTTCTTCTACTAATTTTCAGTTTGGTTTGCTCTTGCTTTTGTAGTTCTTTAGGATGCACTTGCTGGTCGCAGTGGCTCGTGCCTGTAATCCTAGCACTTTGGGAGGCTGGGGTGGGTGGATCACCTGAGGTCAGGAGTTTGAGACCAGCCTGGCCAACATGGTGAAACCGTGTCTCTACTAAAAATACAAAAATTAGCTGGGCCTGGTGGCATGTGCCTGTAATCCTGCTATTTGGGAGGCTGAGACAGGAGAATCACTTGAACCTGGGAGGCAGATGTTGCAGTGAGCTGAGACCGTGCCATTGCACTCCAGCCTGGGCAACAAGAGCAAAATTATGTCTCAAAAAAAAAAAAAGATGTACTGTTAGGTTAATTATTTGAAGTTGTTCTTTTTTGATGTATGCACATATAGCTATGAATTTCCCTCTTAGCACTGCTTTTGCTGTATCCCATAGGTTTTTGTATGTTGTGTTTCCATTATAATTTGTTCGAAGAAAATTTTCAATCTCCTTCTTTTTTCATTGACCTACTAGTCATTGAGGAGCATGTTGTTTAAT
Source organism: Homo sapiens (assembly GCF_000001405.40). Taxonomy (NCBI): domain Eukaryota; kingdom Metazoa; phylum Chordata; class Mammalia; order Primates; family Hominidae; genus Homo; species Homo sapiens. The sequence continues at coordinate 139,011,963 of NC_000003.12, forward strand.
TTCCACATGTTTGTATAGTTTCCAAAATTATTCTTGTTATTGATTTCTAGTTTTATTCCATGTGGTCAGAGAAGATGCTTGGTATTATTTCAACTTTTATGGAATGTGTTTAGACTTGTTTTGTGACCTAACATACAGTTTATCCTTGAGAATGATCCACATGTTGAGGAGAGGAATATGTATTCTGTAGCCCTTGGATGAAATGCTCTGTAAATATCTATTAGATCCATGTATTCTATAGTGGAGATTAAGCCCGATGTTTCTTTGATGATTTTCTGACTGGAAGATCTGTCCTATGCTGAAAGTGGGGGGTTGAAATCTCCAGCTATTATTGTATTGAGGTTTCTCTGTGTCTTTAGCTCTAATAATATTTGCTTTATGTATCTGGGTACCCCATTGTTGAGTGCATATATATTTAAAATTGTCATATCCTTTTGCTGAATTGACCCCTTTATCATTATATAGTGACTTTCTTTATCTCTTCTTACAATTTTTGTCTTGAAATATATTTTGTCTGATATAAATATAGCTACTCCTGCTCTTTCTTTGGTTTCCATTGGCATGGAATATCTTTTTCCATTCCTTCATTTTTAGTCTATGTGTATCTTTATAGGTGAAGTGTGTTTCTTGTAGGCAACAGATTATTGAGTCTTCTTTTATTTTGTTTTATATCCATTCAGCCACTCTGTGTCATTTCATTGGAATGTTTAGTCCATTTACATTCAGGTTATTATTAATTAGTAATGACTTACTCCTGCCATTTTGTTATTTGGTTTCTGGTTGTTTTGTGGTCTTCTCGTCCTTCTTTCCTTCCTTCTGTTTTCCTTTTAGCGAAGATGATTTTCTCTGGTGGTATGATTTAATTTCTTGTTTTTATTTTTTGTTTATTTGTTGTACGTTTTTCGATTTGAGGTTACCCTGAGACTTGCAAATACTATCTGATAATCTGTTATTTTAAATGGATGACAACTTAACACTCATTTCACAGACAACAAGCAAACTAACAAGCAAAAAAAAAAAACTCATAAAAACTTTACATTAACATTGTCCCTCCACTTTCTTTTTATTTTATCTCTTTGTTGATGTCTTGAAAAGTTGTTATAATTTTTATTTTTGATGGATTCATCATTTATTCTTTCTACTTAAGAATAGTTTACACACCACAATTACAGTGTTATAATATTCTGTGCACTTACTATTGAGTTTTGTATAAGAAATTACCATGGGCTGGGCGTGGTGGCTTACGCCTGTAATCCCAGCACTTTGGGAGGCCGAGGTGGACAGATCACGAGGTCAGGAGGTCGAGACCATCCTGGCTAACACGGTGAAACCCCATCTCTACTAAAAATACAAAAAATTAGCCGGGCATGGTGGCACGCGCCTGTAGTCCCAGCTATTTGGGAGGTTGAGGCAGGAGAATGGCTTGAACCTGGGAGGCAGAGCTTGCAGTGAGCAGAGATGGTGCCACTGCACTCCAGCCTGGGCAATGGAGTGAGACTCTGTCTCAAAAAAAAAAAAAAAAAGAAATTACCAGATAATTTCTTACTGTTCATTGATGTTCTTTTTTTTTTTTTTTTTTTTTTTTTTTTTTTTTTTTTTCCCAGATTGAAGAACTCCCTTTAGCATTTCTTGTAGGACAGGCCTGGTGTGGATGAAATTTCACAGCTTTGGTTTTTCTTTTCTTTTCTTTTTTTTTTTTTTGAGATGGAGTCTCACTCTGTTGCTCAGGCTGGAGTGCAGTGGCACAGTCTCAGCTCACTGCAGCCTCTGCCTCCCGGGTTCAAGTGATTCTCCTGACTCAGCCTCCCGAGTAGCTGGGATTACAGGTGCCCACCACCACACCCAGCTAATTTTTGTATTTTTAGTAGAGACATGTTGGACAGGCTGGTCTCAAACTCCTAACCTCAAGTGATCCGCCTGCCTTGGCCTCCCAAAGTGCTGGGATTACAGGCGTGAGCCACCACACCTAGCCAGCTTTGTTTTTTCTAGGAAAGTCTTTCTCCTTCATGGTTGAAAGATATTTTCACCAGATATACTATTCTAGGGTAAGTTTTTTTTTTCATTCAGTACTTTAAATTTGTCATGCCACTCTCTCTCAGCCTTTAAGATTTCCACTGAAAAGTCTGCTGCTGGAGCTACATTATATGTTATTTGTTTCTTTTCTCTTCCTGCTTTTAGGACACACACACATACACACATACACACACCCAGACACACACACATACACATATATTTTTTAGACGGGGTCTTGCTTTGTCACTTAGGCTGGAGTGTAGTGGCACAATCATGGCTCATGGCTCGCTGCAGCCTTGAACTGCTGGGCTCAAGTGATCCTCCTGCCTCGGTCTCCCAAAATGCTGAGATTACACATATGAGCCACTGCACCTGGCCGGGATTCTTTCTTTACCCTTGATCTTTGGGAGTTTGATTATTAAATGCCTTGTGGTATTTGACAGACATCCTTGCAGTTTAAGATGACACTTTTAAAATAAATTATCTCCTAATGATGACTTGAGCCCTTCCACTCAACAGGAGAATCAGCAGAACCTGTAGGATCTTATTTGGAATTGACATTCTCTATTGTAATTTTGTTCCTATTTATTTTTAAATTTTCTTTTTGTTTCACTGGAAAGGAAAGATGATGCTCAGTTTTAAACATTAAAAGTGTACAAGTTGCGTTGTTACAATAAAACTAAATGTGTACACACACACACAATTTTAAGTTCTTAATTGAAAAATAACAATTGTAATAATTATGGGGTAAAATGCGGTGTTTTCATAAGTGTATAGATTGTGGAATGATTAAATCAAGCTAATCAACATACCCATCATCCACATACCCTTTTTTTTTTTTTTTGGTGAGAACATTTAAAGTCTCTTTTAGGAATTTTGAAGTATATAATATGTAATTGTTTACTCTAGTCATCATGCTGTAAGATAGATCTCAAAAACTTTTTCCTCCTGTCTGACTGAAACTTTGTACCCTCTGACCAACATGTCCCCATTCCCCCCACACCCCTCCCACCTCTGGTAAAGCGCATTATACTCTCTACCTCTATGAGTTTGACTTTTTAGAATTTCACATATAGGTGAAATAATTGTTTTTTTGCTTATTTTAAAAAGATGGCATTATTAATTGAAAAATTCCAAGTCAAAACAGTTGTTTCCCACCAATACGTTGCTGCTATTATTCCACTGTCTTCTGGATTCATTTTTTGCTGCTGAGAAGCCAGTTGTCTAATTGCCTTGTCATTGTAGTGGCCTTCTCTTTTTGCGTATTAAAAAATCTCTTTGACTTTGGTGTTTTGTAGACTTTACAATAATCTTAAATGTGTTTTTATTTTTATTTATCATTTTTGAAAGTTGTTATGCTTCCTTAATGAGGGCACTATACTATGCCCAGAACTATGTATGTTCTTAGAAATATCCTTGTTTTTTCCTCTCTTGGGCACTGAAAGCCTTGCCACCTGTATCTGCCATAGGATCATAAAGATTAATGTACTCATGCCTTTTACACTTGTTCATGGTGGGAATCTGTTCATCTCCCATATCCCAGATTGAAATAATAAAATTCTCAATACATGGCATTACTACCTCCTACCTTTCTCCATTTGTGTTCTTTGATTTTGGATTATGAGCTTAGAATCCCTTTAGGATATCTCCAAGAAGATTTTTAACCCTGGGTATAGGGTATATTCTTTTCAGAGAATGTGAGGAGAGAGTTAGTTTAATTTTTGCCAGGCTCACCGTCTATTAGGGAACATCTTAAACTAAACTCTCAGCTTTTCCTCCTAAAGCAGATTGTGTTTTATTCTACTTGGAGCCAAGACTGATAAATGCAGAGCTGGGACTTTTTTCAGGGCTGCCCACTGGATTTTCTTTTTTCTTTTTCTTTTTCTTTTCTTTTCTTTTTTTTTTTTTGAGTCGGAGTCTCGCTCTGTCGCCCAGGCTGGAGTGCAGTGGCGCGATCTCGGCTCACTGCAAGCTCCGCCTCCCGGGTTCACGCCATTCTCCTGCCTCAGCCTCCCGAGTAGCTGGGACTACAGGCGCCCGCTACCTCGCCCGGCTAATTTCTTGTATTTTTAGTAGAGACGGGGTTTCACCGCGTTAGCCAGGATGGTCTCGATCTCCTGACCTCGTGATCTGCCCACCTCGGCCTCCCAAAGTGCTGGGATTACAGGCGTGAGCCACCGTGCCCGGCGACCACTGCATTTTTCTTTTCCCCATAAATGGGCCATTAAAACCAAAACTCTAGGTAACCATGGATTGTTAGGTACTCTCAAGGAAACTTTTCCTTTAGCACTCACTGGATTCTACCTCTCTGGATTCGTGATTTGTCATCATTTTTGGCTTTGGAGAATTTCTCTTACATTTTGTAAGCTGTGCTTTGACTTTAAAAATATTAAAATAATTTTCTCCATCACTTTCACGAGTGTTGTTTAGAGGATTTTTGGGACTGTTTAGTTTGCATATTGCTGAAGATGGATGTCCTTTGTTACTTCTAGTGCAGGGTATCAGTCTCTTGCAATAGAAGACACAGTTTTGGAAACAGGGCTAACCGTTTCTCTTCAGAATGACCAGATAATTAGGTTGGGTCTTGTGACTGATTAACTGCTTTGTTATAGGGGGAGGACAGAGAGATAATTGAGTTGTGGTGGCAATTGTGGGCAAGATGGTAGTACAGGGGAATTCCATCTACTGAAGGCAGAGAGCATTGCTAGGAAATATTAAACCGTATTACCTACAGATACCTACTTTCAAAAGAAAGATACAAGCTTCCAGGGATCAGAAATGGAGTAGAAAACCCAATCTCTGACTGAGTAGCTGATATTTTGATGACTCATGGTACTGGGACTAAACTATATAATGGCAACTGGGATTTCTGCTCCTTTGAGGGGGCTAAAATTTGGCTCACTGCCAATGTTCAAAGGTTGAAGAGGCACTAACCACTGTTGCATGGTTGTGCCTGTAGTTGATCAAGGAAAGACAAACTGAAACTTGGAATGAGCGTCTGTGTAATTGATTACACCTGTGACTTTCCAGAAAGACAAGTTACAAGAGTTCCAAAGCCCCAATTCTGAATGGTGGTCCTGGGAAGACTAGGAAGTGGAAACTATAAAAATTATAAATATGGGATTCAGAAGATGAATTCCCACCCACAGTGTGCCCACTAATGAAAATTACTAAGCACGAGGCAATCTAATGTGATTAAAAACAAATAATGAGAGATTTTACCTGTGGGGAAATTGAATCAATTTAGCTATTAAAGTTAAAAAATTTTCAAAACATAAATGATGGAATACCTTCCATGAACAAACTAGAAGTTTGTGATACCAAGTGGGAAGTTTTGAAGCAAAAATCTTGAGAAATCCTGAAAAAAAAATTCTTTGAAATGAAAACTTTCTTATAGAACTATAAACAGAATAACAAAAAACAAAACAAAACAAACAGAATATTGTAAGCAGTCAACCAGAGTAGTTAATTGGATTAAAGAATAAAGGAAGTTGGGGCCGGGCGTGGTGGCTCACTTTTGGAGGCCGAGGTGGGTGGATCACTTGAGGTCAGGAGTTCAAGACCAGCCTGGCCAACATGGTGAAACCCCATCTCTACCAAAAATACAAAAAATAGCTGGGTGTGATGGCAAGCATCTGTAATCCCAGCTTCTTGGAAGGCTGAGGCAGGAGAATCGTTTGAACTCAGGAGGCAGAGGTTGCAGCGAGCCAAGATCGGGCCACTGTACTCCAGCCTGGGTGACAAAGCGAGACTTCATCTCAAAAAAAAAAAAAAATACAGGAAGTTCGATTTGATAAGGTGTACATACACTCACAAACATACATGTATATTAAGATATCAAGATGTTATGAGCCAGGGGAGATTGATTGAGCAGTGCCATTATATATCTGATTGGATTTCTTCTTTTCTTTCTTTCTTTCTTTTTTTCTTTTTTTTTGGACAGAGTCCTGTTCTGTTGCCCAGGCTGGAGTACAGTGGCACAATCTCAGCTAACTGCAACCTTCGCCTCCTGAGTTCAAGCGATTCTCCCGCCTCAGCCTCCTAAGTAGCTGGGATTACAGGTGTGTGCCACCACGCCCAGCTAATTTTTGTATTTTTGGTAGAGACGGGGTTTCTCCATGTTGGCCAGGCTGGTCTTGAACTCCTGACCTCGGGTGATCCACCCACCTCAGCCTCCCATCTGATTGGATTTCATGGGGATATAGGCAATATTCCAAGAGATGAAACTTAAGATTTTGTGGTATTTCAGGCAAGAAATAGTTTCCAATATTGATAGTTAACTAAATTCTATCAAGCTAAATGAAAATATAGTCTACCCCTAGACACATTACAGTAAACTGTAGAACACCAAAGGCAAATCAACATTTTAAAAAATATACTAAAATTGGCCAGATGTGGTGGATCACACCTGTAATCCCAGCACTTTGGGAGGTCAAAGTGGGTGGATCACTTGAGCCCAGGAGATCCAGACTAGCGTGGGCAACATGGTGAAACCCCGTTCCTACAAAAAATACACTTGAGCCTGGGATGTTGAAGCTTCAGTGAGCCGTGATTGCACCACTGCACTCCAGCTTGGGCGACAGAGTGAACCCTGTCTTAAAGTCTTTCTCTCTCTACACACACACGCACACACACACACACACACACACACACACGAACAGCCAAATTACATATAAAAGGACTAACAACTTGATTGACAGAAGACATCCTGCAACAACAAAAAATGGCAAAACAACGGGCTAATATCTTTAAAGTACTGTAGTTAAATATCATTTTAAAATTAAGAATGAAGGTGTAATTAAAACATTTACAGTCAATTCTAAGAAAGTTTATCACACAAAAACATGCTCAGACTTACAGAAGCAAGATAGTTTATCACACGTAAGACACAGTGGAAAGAAATATTAAAGGATATTCTTCACAAAAAGAAAACTGAAGCTACAGTGAAGGAGTGGAATGTAAGAATAAAAATGTAGGAAATAATTGGTAAGGCATAGTGGTAGATCTGAATAGTTATTGATGTTTTTAAATAAAATAAAACCAGCTTGTTGACATCAGCTTTACCAGTAATCTTTTATCTCCTATATAAAAATATGAGGCAACTACAGTAATAAACTAACATTTTAAAAGTTAGAAGTTTGGTTTACATGAGAAAAAACTCAGGGTAGATTTTAAAAGGTATAAAATAATGTGGAATAGCAGGAATGCAAACACTTTCCATTGGGTGAAATCACCAGATTAACAAATTAAAAAAAAATACATAACACAATGCATGCTGAAAACATCTGATAAAATTCAACACAAATTTTCATTTAGAATTAGAAGACTAGAAGAAAACTTCAGCAGGATAAGGGGTTCCTAGGAAGAAGCAACATACAGTCTTGTATAGTAAGCATACTATTTGGCAGTTTCCTTGGAGAGCAGTTGGAAAAACCCCAAGAAAAGCCATGGCTAAGTCTTCCAAAATTCATGGGAAAAAAATGCAAGGTAACTAACAACGTAAGAGATCTGGTGATTTCTTGGTTTGGGGAGAAACGGGAGTGGCAGTATGATGCTGGAGAAAGACTGGAATTTGAGAGAAACAACTGATGCAAAACGAGGGAGAATGAAGGGATCTGAATATGACCTTGTAAAGAAGCCCAGAAATCTGGACACATTTTCTGGTATCCTTGCGCAGATTTTCTATTTAAAGATGAGGTCTAGAATATACCTTTTCTTGCTGACGTCTTCATCTCCTACTATCGGTAGTGTGCAGCGAAAAAGCAATTGTCCGAACACGCGGTGCCCAATTTCCAGGTTGTTGGATACTCAATGTGAGAGATTCCCGCAATCCTAGAGGGCCTCCAGCAGAGCGGCCAGGATTGTTGTGTGTACGTGGGGGTGGGGGTCTATGCCTGGAACAGGCGTCTCCGGGCCTTGCACGGAGGGCGTTCCGGGAGCGGCGAGCGCGCGTGGGGACCTGGACTCCCCACGCACGGAGAGGGAGGTAGAGGTTGGAGAGGTGAGCTGGGGACAGGCTCCAGAAGGCGGAATTCCAGGTCAAAGATGGGGCGTGGAGAACGTCTCTCTGAACTGGGGTTGGGGGCCAGAGCACAGGGTTCTGGGATGGGGCCCTCCCGGTAGGGGATGAACATACTTCTAGAGGAGGGGTAGAGCCCAGCGGCTGAGCCGGTTGGGGAGTCCATCCGGAGCTCCGGGAACTCGGGGTCCGCGTCCTCCTCGTAGGCCTCTTCCTGGGCGGCGATCTCTGGGACAGATGCGCAGAATTCCAGCTCGACGACGACGTCCTCCCTGACAGCGCCCAGGAAAACGTCCACTTCCAGCCCGGCAGACGAGTCGTGCTGCGCTCCTGAGCGTTCGTCGACGGAGCTCAGGAGGACCTCTGGGATCAGGATGAGGGTGTGTCCACCGAGAGACACTCGCAGGATCGACGTTGGTGCGGGCTCCAGCACCAGGTCGACGTCGTCCAGGGGCACACGCAGGGCACAGCCCGCGGCCAGGACCACTATGGAGGTGAGCGCGTCCACGGCCGGGTCCCCCGCCGGGTCTTCCAGGCTGGGTGCCGCGCGGGGTTCGGGGCCCGCGGGCTCCTCCAATCGGAGGCGCTTGGCAGGGCCGGGTCCTCCTGGCTGCTGTCCCCACCAGGGAGCAGGGAAGGCGCTGGGGCTGCGGGGCCGGCTGACCATCGCCTCGACGGCGCTGTGGACGGCGCTCCTGGGCCTAGCAGCGGACGTGGGGAGCGCGGCGGTGAAGTCCTCTTTGAAGTAACAGATGTCGGTGGTAGGGGAGGCTGGTTGGGACGAGCGGGGCGCAGGACCGCGCGACGCGGGGCGAGTCCTCGGAGCTCCCGGGGCGCCTCCTGGGGGACCGTAGTCTGGGCTGCTGGTGGTGCCTCGCCGGCCACCGGGCTCAGCTTAGCTCGTTGGACCCTTGGGCCTTCCTGATGCAGACCCGGATGCGCACTGCAAAGCCAATTATGTTGTAAATGACGGCAGCGGAACCGAAGTCGCAAAATGTCACGCAATGCTCCGCCCCCTGGAGGACCCGCTCTAGAGGCGGAGGTATCCGTGCTGTCCAGTATCCGTGGCTATAATTGGTCGGACACGCTGGGGAAATACTCTTACAGGCCTCTAGGGGGCAGAATGATCAGTATAACTTATTCAGAAAAAATGATAACAACTGTAATAGAATTTCAAAGATGGCTCGCCTTTAGAACTCATGTTTTCTTGTGATTTCAGGGATTCTAGAGAAAAGACCACTCAGATCTCTCCGACCCATCCAAATGCTACATACAATTCCTTTAATGCTACTAAATTATTTCATTTTAGGAGTATTCAGAAAATACAGATTTCTACTTGGGAAAATTGATTTTAAAATTCTGAGTGAAGCTGGGAGTGGTGGCTCACGCTTGTAATCCCAGCACTTTGGGAGGCTGAGGAAGGCTGATCGCTTGAGCCCAGGAGTTCAAGACCACTCTGGGCAACATGGTGAGACTCGGTCCCTATGAAAAATTTAAAAATTCAAAAATTAGCCTGGCGTGGTGGTGCGTACCTGTGGTCCCAGCTATTTGGGAGGCTGAGATGGCAAGATCGATGGAGCCCGGGAGGTCAAAGCTGGAGTGAACCGTGGTGGTGCCACTGCACTCCAGCCTGGGCAACAGAGTGAGACCCTGTCTAAAAAAAAAAAAAAAAAAAGTGAAACATTTGTGAATAGTTTCATCCTGAAAGTTAAAAAGTTATAAAATTATTAATCATATTAAAATTTAAAACAATATTAATAAAATTATTTTTTTTTCTTTTTTTTTTTTTTTTTGAGACAGAGTCTCGCTCTGTCGCCCAGGCTGGAGTGCAGTGGCGCGATCTCGGCTCACTGCAAGCTCCACCTCCTGAGTTCACGCCATTCTCCTGCCTCAGCCTCCCGAATAGCTGGGACTACAGGCGCCCACCACCGCGCCCGGCTAATTTTTTTTGTATTTTTAGTAGAGACGGGGTTTCACCGTGTTAGCCAGGATGGTCTCGATCTCCTGACCGCGTGATCTGCCCGCCTCAGCCTCCCAAAGTGCTGGGATTACAGGCGTGAGCTACCGCGCCTGGCCGTATAAAATTAATTTTTAAATTGAACACTTATATTTCCATGATTCTTGAATTTTTTTTTTTTTTTTGACAGAGTCTGACTCTGTCTCCCAGGCTGGAGTGCAGTGGTGCAATCTCAGCTCACTGCAGTCTTGGCCTCCCAGGCTCTGGTGATCCTCCCACCTCAGCCTCCGGAGTAGCTGGGACTACAGGCCTGTGCCACCATACTGGCTATTTTTTTTTGTATTTTTAGTAGAGGCAGGGTTTTGCCATGTTGCCTAGGCTGGTCTTGAACTCTTGGGCTCAAGCGATCCTCCCTCATCGGCCTCTCAAAGTGCTGGGATTACAGGTGTGAGTCACTGCATCTGACCTGAGCTTTTTTTTTTGAGACGGAGTCTCACTCTGTCGCCTAGGTTTGAGTTAAGTGGCACGATCTTGGCTCACTGCAACTTCCGCCTCCCGGGTTCAAGCCATTATCCTGCCTCAGCCTCCCGAGTAGCTGGCAGTACAGGCACTTGCCACCACGCCTGGCTAATTTTTGTATTTTTAGTAGAGACGAGGTTTCATCATGTTGGCCAGTGTAGTGTCAAACTCCTGACCTCAAGTGATCCGCCTGCCTCGGCCTCCTAAAGTGCTGGGTGCTGCGGTTACACCGTGCCCAGCCCTGAGTTTTTTTTTTTTTTTTTTTTGAGACAAAGTCTTGCTCTTGTCCCCCAGGCTGGAGTGCAATGGCGCGATCTCAGCTCACTGCAACCTCCGCCTCCCGGGTTCAAGTGATTTTCCTGCCTCAGCCTCCCAAGTAGCTGGGATTACAGGGACTTACCACCATGCCCGTCTAATTTTTGTATTTTTAATAGAGAGGGGGTTTCACCTTGTTGGCCAGGCTGGTTTCGAACTCCTGACCTCAGGTGATCCACCCGCCTCGGCCTCCCAAAGTGCTGGGATTACAGGCGTGAGCCACCATGCCCTGCCAGTCCTGAGTATTTTAAAAACGATCTTCTTCATTCTTCACAACACCTGAGGCTCAGTGGTAAAGCAAATTTTTCTTAAAAAAATAATTAAAAAAATTTGTGTGGGTATATAGTAGAGGTATATATTTATAGGGTACATAAGATGTTTTGATACAGAAATGCAGTGTGAATAAGCACATTATAGAAAATGGGGTATCCATCTCCTCAAGCATTTATCCTTTGAGTTACAAACACACCAGTTACACTCTTTAAGTTATCAAATAGTAGGTCTTATTCATTCTTTGTGTTTTTTTTTTGTATGCATTAACCATCCTCACTTCCCTGGTAAAGCAAATTTTTCAAAATCAAATACCCAGGTTGTGTTGGATGTGGGAATCAAATGCACAGATATAGCTGGCTTTAAATCAAAGACTCTTTCCTGACACTTTTATGAGGAAAGTAGGAGTAGATCACTAATTGGTACTGTGTATGCCTTTCAAATTAACAGGTAATACCCCTTTCCCCATTCTTTTTTCAAAATGGCTTTCCCTGCTTACATTCACGTGAGCAGAGTATGTTTCCATTTCACTAAATCTTTGCAAGCATTTCTTATTGCCACATTCTTAAATCTTTTTCAAGCTATTGTAGTAAAATGCTATTTCATTTTGCATTTCTGATTACCAATAAAGTGAACCATTTTTCCTTTTTTTAAATTATACTTTAAGTTCTAGGGTACATGTGCACAACGTGCAGGTTTGTTACATATGTATACATGCGCCATGTTGGTGTGCTTCACCTATTAACTCGTCATTTACATTAGGTATATCTCCTAATGCTATCCCTCCCCTCTCCTCCCAGCCCTTGACGAGCTCCGGTGTGTGATGTTCCCCTTTCTGTGTCCAAGTGTTCTCATTGTTCAATTCCCACCTATGAGTGAGAACATGTGGTGTTTGGTTTTTCTTTCTTGCGATAGTTTGCTGAAAATGATGGTTTCCAGCTTCATCCATGTCCCTACAAAGGACATGAACTCATCCTTTTTTATGGCTAAAGTGAATCATTTTTTCATATGCTTATTTACTATTCTTGTATCTTCTTATTTGAAATGCTCCTATCTTCTATTTTTTTACTTTTAAAAAACTCAGGTTCACAATATTGTATACCAGTTATTCATCAGATATATGTGTAGCAAATATCTCTGTCATTCTCCCACAGTTTTTGAAGACATTAGCACCTGATTCACTATTATTCCCAGCCGATCTACTTCTGATGTAATTTGTGGTAATTTTAATGTTTTCATAGATTTTTCCCCCTGAAGTCCTAGCCTCTTAGTTCACAATTTTGTTCTGCCTCCTACCTCACTGACTCATACCCTTGACTTTGTTGTTACCCCAAGTTGTAATCCCTTTATAATCACAATTTCAACATTTTATTCTCACAGCACCACCTTCTAACTTTCTAATTCAGTTTTAAAAAATATCCAAATCTATCCATTTTTCATTCTCTCTGGAAAAATCCTTTTATCCTACCATCTTTTAATGGAAACTGATATCATCAGGTTCTCACTTCCCTCTTTACTGGGAACTTAAATTCCACGGACAGCCTTGATAATCATTGTCATATTTATATCTTCAACTTTCTTTCCTGTCTACTGCTTTGCTGGTTAAATCTATCTGCCTACTCAGTGCCCTTACTTGTATGGCTGAATGTGTCTGGAGAAAAACACTCAATCTCTTTGAATAGTCTCACTTTATAATCATGATCACCAACCTCCAGTGGGTTCCTAATGCTGCCAAGTGATCTTACTATATTGCTCTAGTCCATTCATTCTCTCACTCTTCCAGATGAATATTGCTTGCTTTCTCTTTTCTTCTCAAGCCTCCAATACCTAATCTCTTATTTTCACTTTTAAATGATCACCTTACTTTCTTTTCACTGAGACAATAGAAGCAATCTGAAGATATTTTTCAAAATTCCCATAATCACATCGGCCCATATAGTTGCATCGGGACTACATATTCTCTCTTCTTTCCTGTTCCCTTAGATAAATTGTTCATGGTCCTAGCAAAGGCCACCCCCTCCACTTGTGCAGTTGATTTAATCTCATCTTGCCTTCTCAAGAACATTACTTGAGTAATTCTGTCTCTGTCCTGGATCATCAAATTTTAGCTATCTCATCAAATTTTAACTACTGAATCAGTATCTTCAATATATAATTTGAGAGGAAACCTCTTCTGTGTTAAACAAAAACTCTTGACTTGACTTAAACTCCTCCAGTTTCTGCACCAACTTTCTCCTTATATACCCAAACTCTTGAGTTAGTCAACAATACTTACATTCCCCAATTTCCTTCCTCCCATGCTCTCTTGAGCCCATTCTAATCAGACTCCTGTCTGTGCCAGTCATCTATAAACCCTCTTACTAAGGTCACTAATGACCCCTATATTATTACATCCAATGGTTAATTCTCAGTCCTCATCTTGCAATCACTCTCTCCTTTAAACATTTACCCCCCTGGCATCCAAGATCTTTCACTCTCCCAGTCTGTCTTTGGCATCTTCTTATTTTTTCCCCTCATTCTGAAGGTTGGAATATCCCAGGAGCCAGTTCTTGGCCTTTTTTTTCCTGTCAACTTTCACTCTTTTATGTTAAACACCATCTGTATATTGGTGACTCTCAGATATGTGTGTCCCTCCTGTACCTCCCCTATGAACAAACAATTGCATTGTCAGTGTTTTCTCCTGAATATCTGTTAATTTGAAACACATGTAGTTTTCATTTTTATAGGTCAGAATAGTTGAATATTTCTCATTTTATATATTTCAACATAATAATAGGCGGTTCAAACGTTAGGTCCAAATTCGAGCTCTTCGTATTTCCCCAAACCCAATTATCTCCAAGTATTAACCATCACAGTAATCGGTAACTCCATCCTTCCTTTTGCTCAAACCAGAATTTTGGAATTAAGTGTCCTTTCCTTTGGAAAGGAGTGTCTTCCTTTCATGCTCCATAGCCATCCCATCAGGACGTCCTAGATCATGCCACTTCCTACCATCCCTCCAACTACCACCCTACTACCACTTTTATCTCTTGAGTAAATTACTGTAGAAGCCTCCTAAATGGTTTCTTTGCATCTCTCCTTTGTCTCTTTTCCAGCTAATCTCCATACAATAGCTAGAGTTGTTCTGTTAAACCATACGTAAATTATGCCACTCTGCTCAAACACCTCCAATTCCATTCAGGGTAAAAGCCAATGTTTTTATATGGGCCTATAGGTTGTGCTTGGATCTCTCACTCCTATTATCTGTCAGAGTTTATCTTCTATCACTCTGTCCTTTGCTCTCTGGTTTCTATGATTTTCCTAAAAATTGACAGGCATGCTTACAGATTTTGCAATTGTTCTTCTCCTGCCTAGAACACTTTACATCTCTCTGAGTGTTTCCTCACTTCCTTCAGACCATGTTGCCAGCAGCTCAATTTCTGAGGTTTCCCCAGAGCACACTATCTAAGATGGCAATCCCTGACCCTTCTAACTCCCCTCCCTACCTTAATTTAATCCTTAGCACTTATCAGTATTTAACATGTGGTGCATTTTATTCATTTATCTTATTTAATTTAATTTAATTAATTTATTTATTTTTATTATACTTTTAAGTTCTAGGATACATGTGCACAATGTGCAGGTTTGTTACATCTGTATACATGTGCCATGTTGGTGTGCTGCACCCATTAACTCCTCATTTACATGAGATATATCTCCTAATGCTTTCCCTCCCCCCTCCCCCCACTCCACAACAGGCCCCGGTGTGTGATGTTCCCCTTCCTGTGTCCAAGTGTTCTCATTGTTCAATTCCCACCTATGAGTGAGAACATGTGGTGTTTGGTTTTTCGTTGTTGTGATAGTTTGCTGAGAATGATGGTTTCCAGGTTCATCCATGTCCCTACAAAGGACATGAACCCATCCTTTTTATGGCTGCATAGTATTCCATGGTGTATATGTGCCATATTTTCTTAATCCAGTCTATCATTGATGGACATTTGGGTTGGTTCCAAGTCTTTGCTATTGTGAGTAGTGCCGCAATAAACATATGTGTGCATGTGCCTTTATAGCAGCATGTTTTATAATCCTTTGGGTATATACCCAGTAATGGGATCGCTGGGTCAAATGGTATTCCTAGTTCTAGATCCTTGAGGAATCACCACACTGTCTTCCACAATGGTTGAACTAGTTTACAGTCCCACCAACAGTGTAAAAGTGTTCCTATTTCTCTACATCCTCTCCAGCACCTGTTGTTTCCTGACTTTTTAATGATCGCCGTTCTAACTGGTGTGCAATGGTATCTCATTGTGGTTTTGATTTGCATTTCTCTGATGGCCAGTGATGGTGAGCATTTTTTCATGTGTCTGTTGGCTGCATAAATGTCTTCTTTTGAGAAGTGTCTGTTCATATCCTTTGCCCACTTTTGATGGGGTTGTTTTTTTCTCGTAAATTTGTTTGAGTTCTTTGTTGATTGTGGATATTAGCCCTTTGTCAGATGAGTAGATTGCAAATTTTTTCTCCCATTCTGTAGGTTGCCTGTTTGCTTTGATGGTAGTTTCTTTTGCTGTGCAGAAGCTCCTTAGTTTAATTAGATCCCATTTGTCAATTTTGGCTTTTGTTGCCATTGCTTTTGGTGTTTTAGACATGAAGTTCTTGCCCATGCCTATGTCCTGAATGGTATTGCCTAGGTTTTCTTCTAGGGTTTTTATGGTTTTAGGTATAACATTTAAGTCTTTAATCCATCTTGAATTAATTTTTATATAAGGTGTAAGGAAGGGATCCAGTTTCAGCTTTCTACATATGGCTAGCCAGTTTTCCCAGCACCATTTATTAAATAGGGAATCGTTTCCTCATTGCTTGTTTTTGTCAGGTTTGTCAAAGATCAGATGTTTGTAGATGTGTGGTATTATTTCTGAGGCCTCTGTTCTGTTCCATTGGTCTGTATCTCTGTTTTGGGACCAGTACCATGCTGTTTTGGTTACTATAGCCTTGTAGTATAGTTTGACATCAGGTAGCATGATGCCTCCAGCTTTGTTCTTTTGGCTTAGGACTGTCTTGGCAATGCGGGCTTTTTTTGGTTCCATATGAACTTTAAAGTAGTTTTTCCAATTCTGTGAAGAAAGTCATTGGTAGCTTGATGGGGATGGCATTGAATCTATAAATTACCTTGGGCAGTATGGCCATTTTCACGATATTGATTCTTCCTATCCATGAGCATGGAATGTTCTTCCATTTGTTTGTGTCCTCTTTTATTTCGTTGAGCAGTGGTTTGTAGTTCTCTTCGAATAGGTCCTTCACATCCCTTGTAAGCTGGATTCCTAGGTATTTTATTCTCTTTGAAGCAATTGTGAATAGGAGTTCACTCATGATTTGGCTCTCTGTTTGTCTGTTATTGGTGTATAAGAATGCTTATGATTTTTGCACATTGATTTTATATCCTGAGACTTTGCTGAAGTTGCTTATCACTTAAGGAGATTTTGGGCTGAGACAATGGGGTTTTCCAGATATACACTCATGTCATCTGCAAACAGGGACAATTTGACTTCCTCTTTTCCTAATTGAATACCCTTTATTACTTTTTCTTGCCTGATTGCCCTGGCCAGAACTTCCAACACTATGTTGAATAAGAGTGGCGAGAGAGGGCATCCCTGTCCTGTGCCAGTTTTCAAAGGGAATGCTTCCAGTTTTTGTCCATTCAGTATGATATTGGCTGTGGGTTTGTCATAAATAGCTCTTATTATTTTGAGATACACACAACTACATGGAAACTGAACAACTTGCTCCTGCATGACTACTGGGTAAATAACAAAATGAAGGCAGAAAGAAAGATGTTCTTTGAAACCAATGAGAACAAAGACACAACATATCGGAATCTCTCAGATGCATTTAAAGCAAGTGCTTTCTCTTGTGGGCATTTAGTGGTATGAATCCCATCAATACCTAGTTTACTGAGAGTTTTTAGCATGAAGGCTGTTGAATTTTATCGAAGGCCTTTTCTGCATCTATTGAGATAATCATGTGGTTTTTGTCTTTGGTTTTGTTTATGTGATGGATTACATTTATTGATTTGCGTGTGTTGAACCAGCCTTGCATCCCAGGGATGAAGCCCACTTGATCGTGGTAGATAAGCTTTTTGATGTGCTGCTGGATTTGGGTTGCTGTTATTTTATTGAGGATTTTTGCATCGATGTTCATCAGGGAGATTGGTCTAAAATTCTCTTTTTTTTTTGTTGTGTCTCTGCCAGGCTTTGGTATCAGGATGATGCTGGCCTCATAAAATGAGTTAGGGAGGATTCCCTCTTTTTCTATTGATTGGAATAGTTTCAGAAGGAATGGTACCAGCTCCTCTTTGTACCTCTGGTAGAATTCGGCTGGGAATCCGTCTGGTCCTGGACTTTTTTTGGTTGGTAGGCTATTAATTATTGCCTTAATTTCAGAGCCTGTTATTGGTCTATTCAGGGATTCAACTTCTTCCTGTTTTAGTCTTGGGAGGGTGTATGTGTCCAGGCATTTTTCCATTTCTTCTAGATTTTCTAGTTTATTTGCGTAGAGGTGTTTATAGTATTCTCTGATGGTAGTTTGTATTTCTGTGCGATCGGTGGTGATATCCCCTTTATCATTTTTTATTGCATCTATTTGATTCTTCTCTCTTTTCATCTTTATTAGTCTTGCTAGCAGTCTGTTCTGTTGATCTTTTCTAAAAATCAGCTCCTGGATTCATTGATTTTTTGAAGTTTTTTTGTGTCTCTATCTCCTTGAGTTCTTCTCTGAATTTAGTTATTTCTTGACTTCTGCTAGCTTTTGAATGTGTTTGCTCCTGCTTCTCTAGTTCTTTTAATTGTGATGTTAGGGTGTCAATTTTAGATCTTTCCTGCTTTCTCTTGTGGGCATTTAGTGCTACAAATTTCCCTCTACACACTGCTTTAAATGTGTCCCAGAGATTCTGATATGTTGTGTCTTTGTTCTCATTGGTTTCAAAGAACATCTTTATTTCTGCCTTCATTTTGTTATTTACCCGGTAGTCATACAGGAGCAGGTTGTTCAGTTTCCATGTAGTTGAGTGGTTTTGAGTGAGTTTCTTAATCCTGAGTTCTAATTTGATTGCACTGTGCTCTGAGAGACAGTTTGTTGTGATTGCTGTTCTTTTACATTTGCTGAGGAGTGCTTTACTTCCAACTATGTGGTTAGTTTTGGAATAAGTGTGATGTGGTGCTGAGAAGAATGTATATGCAGTTGATTTGGGGTAGAGAGTTCTGTAGATGTCTATTAGGTCTGCTTGGTGCAGAGCTGAGTTCAATTCCTGTATATCCTTGTTAACTTTCTGTCTTGTTGATCTGTCTAATATTGACAGTGGGGTGTTAAAGTCTCCCATTATTATTGTGTGGGAGTCTAAGTCTCTTTGTAGGTCTCTAAGGAGTTGGCTTATGAATCTGGGTGCTCCTGTATTGGGTGCATATATATTTAGGATAGTTAGCTCTTCTTGTCGAATTAATCCCTTTACCATTTTGTAATGGCCTTCTTTGTCTCTTTTGATCTTTGTTGGTTTAAAGTCTGTTTTATCAGGGACTAGGATTCCAATCCTTGCTTTTTATTTGTTTTCCATTTGCTTGGTAGATGTTCCTCTATCCCTTTATTTTGAGCCTATGTGTGTCTTTGCACATGAGATGAGTCTCTTGAATACAGCACACTCATGGGTCTTGACTCTTTATCCAATTTGCCAGTCTGTGTCTTTTAATTGGCACATTTAGCCCATTTACATTTAAGGTTAATAGTGTTATGTGTGAATTTGATCCTGTCATTATGAAGTTAGCTGGTTATTTTGCTTGGAGAATTGCCATTTCAAATCCTTTGTCCATTTTTTAGTTGGGTTATTTTGTTGTTGTTGAGTTGTAGGAGTTCTTTATATATGCTGGATTATAGCCTTTTATCACATATTTTATTTGGAAATATTTTCTCCCATTCTGTAGGTTATCTTTTCATTCTATTATGTCATTTTGGCATACACAAGTTTTTAATTTTGATGCATGCCGATTTATCTATTTACTTTTGTTGCCTGTGCTTTTGGTGTCATATCCAAGAAATGATTGGCAAATCCAATGTCATGAAGCTTTTTCTCTGCTTTCTTCTACGAGACTTATAGGTTTAGGTCTTATGTTTATGCAAATATTTCCTCCCACTCTGTAGTTGCCTTGTTACTCTGTTGATACTGTCTTTTGATGCACAAAATTTAAAATTTTCATGAAGTCCAATTTATTTATTTTTTTCTTTTTTTTCCTCTGCCTCTGGTCTCATATTCAAGAAATTGCTATGAAATCCAGTGTCATGAAACTTTTGCCCTGTGTTTGTTCTAAAAGTTTCATAGTCTTAGCTCATACATTTCGCCTTTGATCCATTTTGAGTTAATTATTTTTTTATATGATATAAGGTAATTTCATTCTTTTTCATTTGGATATCAAGTTTTTCTCAAGAAAATTTATTGAAAAGATTTTCCTTTCCTTATTGAATAGTCTTGGCACCCTTGTTGAAAAGCATTAGAGTATATATGGGAGAGTTTATTTCTGGGCTCTTTATTCTATTCCATTTGTGTATATGTCTGTTTTTATTCTAGTATTATACTGTTTTGATTATTGTAGCTTTGTAGTAAGTTTTGAAATCAGGAAATGTGAGTCTTCAAGCTTTGTTCTTCTTTTTCAAGATTGTTTTAGCTATTCAAGTTCCCTTGAGAATTCATATAAATTTTAGGATGATTTTTCCATTTTTGCAAAAAATATTATTGGGATTTTGATAGGAATTGAATTAAATGAACAATATTAATTCTTCCAGTCCATGAACATGGAATGTCTTTTCATTTATTTGTGCCTTCATTAGTTTCTTTCAGTAACATTTTGCAGTTTTGTAGTTTTCAGTGTTATTTTTGCCTCATTGGTTAAATTTATTCCTATTATTTTATTATTTATGATGCTGTTGTAGTCAGTTGTCATTTTAAAGGTTTCCACACCAATGTTGATTCAAGATAGTAACCTATTTGTCATACCTAGCTTGTCCAACCCTTGGCCCTTGGGCCGCATGCAGCCTAGGATGGCTTTGAATGCAGCCCAACACAAATTCATAAACTTTCGTAAAATATTATGAGTTTTTTTTTTTTTAGCTCATCAGCTATTGTTAGTATTAGTGTATTTTGTGTGTGGTTCAAGATAATTCTTCTTTTTCCAATGTGGCCCAGGGAAGCCAAAAGATGGGACCCACTTATCTATACCCTAATGAGTAGTTTCATGGAGAAATTTAGCTAATATTCATTTGAAATCACCTGGTGCCACCAATTGGCTGTCTTGAGAGCACTAGAGATTATCTGAGTAAGAGGTACAACCAGATTTTTTCCCATTCTTCCTTTTCAAAATCAGGAGTTAATCATTGATTTTGTGTAATGGCCTCATAAGATTGTCTCCAGAGATTTATTGTTTGAGGGTTTATATAGGATCATAACTTTGGTGAAGCCTGGTTGTTTGGCATAGTAAGTTGCCAGGGCATTTCCTATAGCTTACACATTATCTATTTTTTCCATGAGCTTCAACCTTTATAACTACCTTTCCAGGAAGTAGGAGTGTGTCTACAAATTCCTGAATTTGTTGCCCATTTTTGATGGGGGTTCTGGTAGGGCAAGAAACCCCCTTTGTTTCCAAAGCATCCCAAAGACATGTACTACTCCGAAAGCATATCTGCTATTTGTATATATGTTTGATTTTTCGTCTTGGGCTAGTTGTCAAGAGGTAGTAAATACAGTAAGCTCTGACATCTGGGCTGATTTTACTCAAAGAGAGCTTAGATTAGTGACTGCATATCCTGGTTGATAACTTCCAGTTTCACTTTTGAGGTATGAGCCATCAACAAATAAGATTAGAAATAATATTAGGTCAAGGTTCTGTAGAGGAGTCTTTAATCAGTCTGAGTAAGGTACAGAGAATTCCCTAAGGAAGACAATCTTGAGGCTCCTTTTCTTTTTCTTTTTTTGTTTTGAGACAAGGCCTCACTCTGTCACCCAGGCTGGAGTGCAGTGGCATGACCATAGCTCATAGCAACCTTGACCTCTTGGACTCAAGTGATCCTCCTGCCTCAGCCTCCTGAGTAGCTAAGACTACAGATATGAGTCATCATGCCCAGTTAATATTTTATTTTTTTGTAGAGACAAGGTCGGGTTTCCATATGTTGCCCAAGCTGGTCTTGAACTCCTGTGCTCAAGTGGTTCTCCTGCCTTTGCCTCCCAAAGTGTTGGGAATGTAGGCATGAGCCACCAAACCCAGCCTCCCTTTCTTTAGGTAGAGGCAGAAGAGAGGTAGGATTCAGAGTGAGTGTTGCCGTGGTGAATTGTAATGTTGAGGCAATGAGTAATAGAATTTCTTAAGATATTAAGGCTGGGCGCAGTGGCTCACGCTTGTAATCCCAGCACTTTGGGAGGCCGAGACTGGCGGATCGCTTGAGCCCAGGAGTTCCAGATCAGCCAGGACAACTTGGCAAAACTCTCTCTCTACTAAAAAATACAAAACTTAGCCACATATGGTGGCACGCGGCTATAATCCCAGCTACTCGGGAGGCTGAGGCAGGAGAATCCCTTGAACTTGAGAGGTGGAGGTTGCAGTGAGCCGAGATCGTGCCATTGCACTCCAGCCTGGGCGACAAGAGTGAAACTCCGTCTCAAAACCAGAAACCAAAAACCAACAAACAAAACCCAAAAATTAGCTGGGCATGGTGGCACGTGCCTGTGGTGCCAGCTACTCCGTAGGCTGAGGTGGGAGAATCATTTGAACTTGGAAGGCGGAGGTTGCAGTGATCAGGATCACACTGCTGCACTCCAGCCTGGGTGACAGAGCTAGACCCTGTCTCAAAAAAAAAAAAAAAAAGATATTAATTGGCTGCCTGAAAAGTGTTGTGTATTCATTCTGTCAGTAGTAAGGTCTATACTGCATGAGGAACCCTAAACTCAAGTTGGGAGGCTAGAACTAGCTCAGCAGAAGCTGTAATAATTTTTTCAGGTATTAGGACCGCAATTGCCCTAAGACAAGAGGGATGAGCCTTTCAAACTGGGTCAAGGGTGAAGCTATAGTAAGCAATGTTTCTGTTCATTTTGTTTTGTTTTTGAGAGTCAGGGGTAGTAGAGGACACAAGTTAGAATAACTAGTTCCTGGTTTCATCAACAAGGCACACTAAGCACTGAGATGGCCATTTTAGTGATGTGTAGAGCTTGCCTCGAACTTCTAACAGAGTCCCATTTATTGTACATCAAGCAAGTCCCCTTTATTTTATGCTGTGAGGGTATCAACCTGGTTTTTAATGTAAGATCATTTAAAAATATTATCCTTGAAGTTAACTTCTCTAAAGGATCTTTTTTCTTATTTTTTTAAATATAGATTTTAAGAAGACTTTTTGCAACAGTTTTAGGTTTACAGAAAATTGAGTAGATAGCAAGGAATTTCCATATACCATCCCTCCCCCTCACAGTTTCCCCTTCTATTAACTCTTGCATTGCCATGAGACCCTTGTTAGAATTCGTAAGCCAATACTGATACATCATTATTAGCTAAAGTCCATAGTTTACACTGAAGTTCACTCTTTGTGTTGTACAGTTCTATGAGTTTTGAAAAATGCATAACGTCCTATATCTACCATCATAGTATTATCCAGAATAGTTTCATCCCCCTAGAGGTCCTCTGTGTTCCACCCATTCACTCCTCTTTTCACCTCCAAACACTTGACAACCACTAATATTTTTACTGTTTCCACAGTTTCATCTTTTCCAGAATGTCATAGAGTATGTAGCTTTTTCAGATTAGTTTCTTTCACTTAGTAATATGCATTTTAAGACTTCCCCGTACCTTTTCATGATTTGATAGATCATTTCTTTTTATAGCTGAATAATATTTCATTGTATGGATGAACTACAGTTTGTTTATCCATCTACCTATTGAAGGACAGCTTGGTTGCTTCCAGTTTTTGGAGCAATATGTTTTTAGTGGTTCCTATCAATTTGCGTTAAAACCCAAGGGCTTGTCCGGATTGCTTATGCACAAATAGACAAAGAGATTTTTGTAGTTTGGGATGCCTAGAGAAAGAGGCTGTTGAACGTCTTTTTCAGGTTACAGAAAACCTGTTCACTTTTGATTTCCTTAGGAGAGGGTCTCTTACTGAGGACTTAGTCAATTCATAAAACGGTATTTCAATCCTAGAAAAATTTGGCACTCATTGTCTGTAATATCCAGTTAAACTCCAAAATACTCTTAGTTGTCTTTTGTGAGGGGTCTAGAATATTTTTGGATAGTCTTTAGCGTATCAGTAGAGAATGGTTTATCTTCCTCAGTTAGGTCATGCTCTAAATAATAGGCTGCAGTTTGGAAAAAATTGTAAGTTATCTTTTGAAACGTTTATGTTTCTTTTCTGCTAAGGCTAGGGGCAACTAAACGGAATCCTTTTTATAGACTTCCTTGTTCTCTGAATAAAGTAGGATATCATTTACATTTTATGTCAGAACTGAATCGCAAGGGGAAATTTTAGGTCTTTTAAGTCTTGATTGAAGACCTGGGAAAATTGGAGGGGGCTCTAGTGAACTCCTGGGGTATGACTGTCTAAGTACATTATTGTCCGCCTTAGGTGAATGCAAAAAGGTATTGACTATCCTTATTCAGAAGTACACTGAAAGAGGCAGAGCAAAGATCCGATACTGTGAAGCAAATAACTTCAGGTGGAAATTTATGACAGAATGGTATTTGGGTCAAGTTCTATCAGGAAATGAAGTATAATGATTTTCTTGATGGCCTTGAGGTCTTGAACAAATTGGGTCAAGTTCTATCAGGAAATGAGGTATAACGATTTTGTTGATGGCCTTGAGGTCTTGAACAAATTGGTATCTTTGTCGCTTTGTTTCTTTACTCGGAGGATGGGAGTGTTACAACGGCTAGTGCAGAGTATGAGAAGACTTTTGTATGTAAGGCCTTTAACCATAGTTTGAGCCCTTCCTTTGGCTTCAAGGGATATTGGAGAAGTTTGAGTAATGGCTTGGTAGGATCTATCTGAACTTTTATAGATTCTGCTCTCGTTATTTTTCCTATGCCAGTGAAATTTTTAGCCCATAGAAGGTCATGGAATAGTGTCAAGATCTTTATCTGGGGTATGCATCAAATAAAATACAGAATGCAAAGGTATATTCAGAACAAACACAACTTGATTATGAATAGAGGAGTCCTCTGGAAACTTAAGAAATGCTCCCTCTGGTGTGCATTTATGATTGCAATCTCATGTATAAAGTATATCTCTCCTTATTAAATTTGCAGGTGTATTATCACAGAACAAGAAGGAATATTTCCAGGCAAAGGCCCAAGGGTTACAGTTAAAGGCTGGAAGACAGGGAAAATTTGTGTTATTTGAAATGCCTGCCACCTGTGCAGTACCATTACTCTGAAGAAGAGAGCACAAAGGCACAGTATTTAATGTAGAAATGGTAGCCCTTGCATTAATTTTTATTGGAAGTGTTTTGGGTATGGCTTCTCGGAGACTTCACCTTACTTTTCAGGGTTTTTCTGAACTGCAGGTTTTTTATGGAAAGAGATATCCTGTAGGTCCTCTGGGTCAGTCCAATCAACTTTTGCCATCTAGGATTTAGCATCTGTGGTTCTGACCCATATGTGTATGAGTTGATATAAGTCAGGTAATTCTGGGTCAGGTGTACCCAAAAGGATTTTAAACTATTCTATGAATATTTACTAGTCTTGTCTGCATTTAGGGAAACTTACAGCTCTTAATTCCGCTCAGGTCCAAGCTTTAAATTCGCCAGTTGTCTGAATACCTGGTTCATGGAGGGATGGGTCTTAAGAGGCAACTGGCATTTTAGGTTTTGGAGAAAGTTGTTGGGAAAAGGTAGGGGGCCTGAACAAGGACAACTGGAGGGAGGAGTTGATGGAGGTATAGAAGGAGAGAGATTGGGAGGATAAGGGGCAGAGGGAGATCTGGTTATAGAGAGGGAACTGGTGGACGAGGACAGAGGATTTACCAGGGAAATGAATCTAGTTCATTGTTGTCAAACTGCACATTAGCTTTGGCCAAATAATCTTTTAATGAAGCCATTTTCGATTTAGAGTTTCATCTGGAGACCTCTATATAACTAAAAATGCTGCTCATTGAACATGAGAAATTTTATTTCCATTTTTTTCTAAGGTGCCTCTCAAGTGAATGATTTCAAGTTAAATGTTCTCCACAGTAGCCATTAAAGGCTCACATCACCCTTGGTAAAATTATGCCATTTAGAAAGACAGGGACAAGAATTAGGATTCTAAATGAGAACACATATAAGAAGCAGGCATTTTTTTCTGTAAAAGGAGAGGATTTAGACTTAGATAACTCCATAAGAGATGGTGATGGTCAGCAAAATGTGGTGCTGGTGCTTCTGTGTCAGAGGCTCCCAAACTGATAGTCAGTGCCTCTGAATGTGGACTGTGGTAGATGGAAAACCAGAGAGAACACTTTCTGGATCAAAGCCAAGCTCTAAAAACAAAACATAAAAACAGGAAAACCTCACCCACTTTTATTGATAATCCACAGAAAAGTTTGTCCAAATGGAAGCTTATCTGGTGAGAACTGCAAACTCACCGACTGTGAGGCCTGCCCAACTCACCGGACTGTGAGGCTGGCTCAAACAACAGGCGTGTAGAGCCTATGACTGTGTTGTACCCTGCGATTTTCTTTCTTGTGATAAACAACAGTTTTAGACCATACAACACAAAATGGAAACACAAAAGCGAGTAAAAGGAGATGAAAAGAAATGGTTTGATTCCATCAAGGCTGCCGAACAAATGGAACTGATAACGAAACGTGGATACCAAACTGAGAGTAAATGGACAGGGAACTCAATGCAAAGAAAGAGTTCAGACCTAGTGCTGACTTACCACACTGGGCTGTGTGTACCATATCTCACAAAAAAATGGAAAATAAGCGAAGACCACCTAAATGGGAACAAGCAGAGGCAATTTATTTAGAGCTTTCTATAGCAAGGGAGTTAGCCCCATCACTTGCATTTGATAGAGACTTATTGGCAGGCAGGTGAGTTGGAAAATTTTATAGTGAAAAAGGGGAAGGCTTCAGATATGTCTGATTGGAAGTTGCTGGCATAGGGAAGCTGGAGGTGGACTAACTAGAGGTGGGGCATCCTATGTGATTGGTTGGTTTGTGCACCTTGTATCTTAGGCATAGCATATTTGGCTTTTTCTGGTTGGTCCTGAGTTGGAAGTGAGGGTGAGAATTAGAACACCTGGCAGTTATTGAACAAGTCTGGACCATTTTGGGGCCAGTTACTGCAGAGACTATGGTTTGGCTTCTGGGATAGTTGCTGCAGAGGTTATGGGTAAGATTTCTACTGTCATGTGTGGTCTGGACATTGTTCATTTGTATTTTCGGTCTCTCAGATCCCATTATCCCCTTGGCTACCAAGGAGTTCAGCTCTCTAATGGCATTTCCTGCCCTTACCTTGGCCTAATGGGTTTCTCAATGACCCCAGTGCCTCTCTAGGGCATTTGTTTGTTATGCAATGTCCCTTGAGGCCCTCCCACACATCATAGTAGCTGATGTATTTTACAGCCTTAGGTAGTATGTGCACTGTATCATATCCACTTCTCTGGATGTTTTGATCCTTTTCTCTGCTGTCTGCCTTGGCAGTTATGGCATTCCTACTTAACGTAGTATGGGACATCTTTTTCTCTAACCCTGCAAGATCCACCCATCAGATTGTTAGCACTCTCTTACAGCATCCTTGCTACGGTGTTAAATCATGTATCTTGGGAGAGTGCTTCTAAATTGAGAAACTCTCCCTTCTCTAGGCTAACATCCAGCATTCTCACTCTTATACTTGACTCCTGCTGTTATATGTTGGGTGACACCCACAGCAATTCTAGGGCATATAGAGCCCCTTTCCTTAGTTACAGGCCAGTATTTCCCTGGCTGGGTTATAACATGCTTTAGTTACTGGCCTGTGGCAAAGAGGAGGTAGTTCTCGAGGTGGGTGCATGTTATCTTGCTAGGCAGAGGCTTCTGCAACATCTTATGCAAGGATGGAGTGCCAACCTTTAATAGAGAGGAGTAGGCCACTTCTACAGGCCAAGAGGATTGAAGGGGGTTTGGGATTCAAGATATTCAAGTGAATCTACTTGGTTATCTTCATCCAGTGTTTCAGGGCTCAGTCTGGGCTGGGACCTTACCATTACAGACTTTCCTAGTTTGAGGATTCAGCCTTTATACTGCCACTATCCTTGCAGTAAACTCTGGGCCAGATCCTCAGTTGTGTTTCCCCCCGTTAGCTACAGGAGATGAAAGGCTATTTGTATGCTGCCAAGGAATGTGTCTAGATTTCATATTTGGGTTTTATTGGTAATTAATCACCCTCCGACTTTCACTTTCTTTCTCAAATGCATTTATTGTCCCAGAAACAGCTATTCAATTCCCCATTATTTATAACTATCATGCATATAATTACTCTGTGCCCCCAATTTTTCTAATGCCTGGGATTCTGCCAATGCCAGTATGTTGCCTTCTTCCACATTCCCAGTTAGTTTGCCATTGATTAAGATCTTATTTGCTTTCCTGTAACATGCCATGGGCTATTCATGCTCCATGATTCAGCTCTGAAATCCATTTTAGTGGCTACTTCCTATGACAGCCCCTGGCACCAGCTATCTTAAATTGGCTTGGGAAGACTTTGCAATGGAGATTTGCATGCAGAAATTTTGGGGAACAAAGAAAATGTGACAGGACAGATGGAGGATTGAACTGGGATGCAGCTGCAACAAAGCCTCAGCCAACTCACTGAGAGCCCTAGAATTGGGATGATTCTTCAGAGTTGTCTCAACTTAAAGCAAGTGAGCTGGACCTGTATACCCTCTAATTGAACAGTTATTGGCATGAATTACCCACAGAGGCTGAGGGTAATTCCTGGAGAACAACTGAATTTAGCTGCTAATACTCCCAGCAGTCTTGATGGGATTGGGACTATGGACAGTCCAGCCCAGTGTCACTACTGCATTGAAATTGGAAGTTGGGCCATGTATGATTACTTGAGGATGGGAACTGTGATTTTTGAGTTGCAAATCATATGAGCTCCATAATGTTTGGCTCTGAGTCTTGACTCCTAGGGAGCAAGAAAGAGGCAAATGTAAAATTCAAATAAGGAGCAGACATGCCTGTAATCCCACTACTTTGGGAGGCCAAGGTAGGAGGATCGCTTGAGCCCAGGAGTTTGAGATCAGCCTGGGCAACAGAGAAGATTCTCTCTACAAAAAATAAAAATATAAAACATTAGCCAGGTGTGGTGGCATGTTCCTGTAGCCCCAGCTACTGGGGAGGCTGAGATGGGAGGATTGCTTGAGCATGAGAGGTCAAGGCTGCAGTGAGCACTGCACTCCAGCCTGAGAGACAGAGTGAGACCCTGTCTCTAAAAAACAAAACAAATTTGGAACAGAAAATGAATGCACATTCAAAATATGTCCACATACCAAATTTTTGCCCAGGGGAAAATCAGTGTCATTAAATGCTATCAAATAATTGGAGATGTTATGCCTGAGGAAATATAATTATTGAGCTAATTAATATAGAATTTAAAATAAGAGTGTTTAATTTCTTCTAGAGATAAAGGAGGAGATAACATCCGTGAAACTAGAAAAATTTATATGACATTGATCAGAAGTTGTGAAATAAGAGCATATAGATATTAAAAACCCAAGTAATCAGAAGTCTTAAAAATGAAAAATGCAGTATTTGAAATAAAGTCTTATAAAGAACAATAAATGAATTCTGAAAACAGACAATGACAGAATCAGTTAATTGGAAGAGCGAAAGTGTGCTATGATACAGGATATGAAAATATAGATATTAAGAGATCTGGGAGAGGGCATTGATTAAGCAGCACAATTTCTCTATTAGGAGTTTCAGAGATTGGAGAGAGGTTTAAATGTGCAAGAGATATATATTTTTTGAGATCTTATGGAAGAATTAACTTCCCATCTATAGAAAGCTCACTGAGTTGCAGCTGGCAAAAGTCTACCAACAAACACATCAGGTTTAATGAAACCATAGGGCATCAAAGTCAAGAAAAATACTAGTGTAAGCAGCCTAATCCTGTTAAAGGAATGGCAATGCAAATGACAACTTCTCACCTGCAACAATAAATGTCATGTAAAATAATAGAATTATCTTTAAAGTAGTGAGAGAGTATAGGATTTATTTTAGAATTCCAAACCCAGCTACAATACTACAAGTTTGAAGGTGTAATTTAAATATTTGCAGACATACGAACCCAAGATTTACCACATAAACCACGGCTGAAAGAATTCTTAAAAAGTATACCATGGAAGGAAGACAAATGAGGCCAGAATAAAGGAGTGGAATGTAGGAATAGAAAGTGAGCAAATTAAATGGTAAAGCATGTTGGAAAATCTAAATAATAATTATTGATATTCAACAGAAAAAAAACCTAGCATCTCATTGGCTTTAACTTTATCAGCAATAATTTATTTCATTATAAAAATGAGGCGAACCTGGCAAAATAATGACATTTTAAAATTAGTGCTGTATAAACTATCACAAGAACAGAAAACCAAACACCGCATGATATCACTCATAAATGGTAGTTGAACAATGAGAACACATGGACACAGGGAGGGAAACATCACAAACTGGGGCCTGTCGGTGGGTGGGGAGATAGGGGAGGGATAACATTAGGAGAAATACCTAGTGTAGATGACGGGTTGATGAGTGCAGGAAACCACCATGGCACATGTATACCTATGTAACAAAACTGCACATTCTGCACATGTACCCCAGAACTTAAAGTATAATAAAAAAAATTAGTGCTGTATATGGTTATGTAAAACAAACAAACTAAACATTCAAAAAAAGGCAAAAAACAAACCAAGGTGGAGTTAGAATCATATAAAATACTGTAGAATAGCAGAAATGCAAAGATACTTAGTAGTTAGAAATTCTATTAGCACAAATCACCATGAGTTGATTAAGAAAGAAATTACAAAAAGTCATCTTATGCATACAGAAAAAAAAGTTTCTTTAATTTTTAACATTTAAAACCTTAAATGCACCCTACAGTTACTGCCTTTCTCCTTCCACTTGTGTCTTCTCAAGTCCTCATAAAGCATCCAATTGTTTTAAATCCCTGAAGCCCAAAGCCTGGTCTCATTAGCGCTCTTGCCAGGTTTCTGTACGTACTCTTGTGGCCCAAAGGTTCCATCTAGCTATTGTATTGTATTATTGTATACACACAAATAATTAAATGTCAACATTTAAAACAACTTGATAACATCTTTGTAGTAACAGGCAAAAACAAAGCAAAAATTCAACAGTTTTTCATGATCTGAAAGACTGAAAATTAACTGCTTCAATAGATTAAGGGTTATCTAACAACCATGTAAAGATCATACTTTATGGTAAAATTTAGAAGCATTAACACAAGGCATAAAACAGGAATGCCCATATTAACCATACTGTTCAATCTGGACTTGAAGTAATGTCCAATATAAAAGATTAAAGAAAAATAAGATGTATGAAGCTTGTCAAAAAAGACAATATTCTCATTATTTGGAGATATTGTTTTTATCAATCAATCAATCAATCAATTGAGAATCTACACATACACCATTAAAGAAATTCAGTAATTGCATTTGATACATCAACCTAAGAAACAAATTATTTCCGGCTGGGTGCGATGGCTCGTGCCTGTAATCCCAGCACTTTGGGAGGCTGAGGTGGATGGATCACCTGAAGTCAGGAGTTCGAGACCAGCCTGGCCAACATGGTGAAACCCCGTCTCTACTAAAAATACAAAATTAGTCGTGTGTGGTGGCGCATGCCTGTGATCCCAGCTACCTGGGAGGCTGAGGCGGGAGAATTGCTTGAACCTGGGAGGCAAAGGTTGCAGTGAGCTGAGATTGTGCCATTGCACTCCAGCCTAGGCAACAAGAGTGAAACTCTTGTCTCAAAAAACAAACAAACAAACAACACACACACACATACACACACAGAGTCTTAGAATTATAAGCTTTTCCAGGATAAAATAATTATATTAAAAACATAGAAGAAGAAATGAATGGAAAAGAGCTGGCTCTAAGAGTTAGGGGGGAAATAAAGCCCAATAACATAAACAATTTGCTAAACCAATCATGAAAAAAAGGAGGGTACATGATCATTATTCCCAGTTCGGTCTGTTTTGCAAACAACAAACATTTGTCCAGGTACAACTATGTGCAAGATCACCCAAAAGGGCTCAGGCCACCATAGGGAAAAATTCCATGTTGAGAAGGTCGTCATAAACTAGCCCAGAGACTAGGGCCAAAACCCATTAAACAAAATAAATGTAGTAAATTAACTTGGGAGAAAAGGTGTGCCATGGTAACGTGCTGGGGAAAGGGCGGATTTTTAGAGAAATGTGCTGGAACTGAGGTTCAAAGCAAAACCAGGGGGAATGGAGCTGCCTAGGGGTGACTTCCAAACAAAACAGGCCCGAAGCAGCAATCTCACAGTCTGAAAGTAGACTGTATTTCAACTAGCGTATTTTTATGCTGAGGAGGAGGATCTTTTTTTTCCAGACTTTCTAAGTCAGCCACTGATCCAGAATTCTGCAACGCAGCCTGTATCAAAAAAGCATCTATCCGTTATCCACTCTCCGAGATCCTTGTAGGTTGCGCAACATACACACAACGGCTATCAGGAGACGGTCTCCTGGAGCCCAGCAGGGTGGCAAGGGATTGTGGGAGGCAACTCATTCCTGGAACAGGCGTCTTCGGACCTTGCACGGAGGGCGCTCTGGGAGCTCCGGGCGCGCGTGGGGACCTGGACTCGGAGAGGGAGGTAGAGGTTGGAGAGGTGAGCTGGGGACAGGCTCCAGAAGATGGAATTCCAGGTCGAAGATGGGGCGTGGAGAGCGTCTCTCTGAACTGGGGTTGGGGGCCAGAGCACAGGGCCCTCGGATGGGGCCCTCCCGGTAGGGGCTGAACATACTTCTAGCGGAGGGGTAGAGCCCAGCGGCTGAGCCGGCTGCGGAGTCCATCCAGAGCTCCGGGAACTCAGAGTCCGCGTCCTCCTCGTAGGCCTCTTCCTCGGCAGCGATCTCTGGGACAGATGCGCAGACTTCCTGCTCGACGACGACGTCTTCCCCGTGAGCGCCCAGGAAAACGTCCACTTCCAGGCCGGCAGACCAGTCGCCCTGCGCTCCTGAGCATTCGTCGACGGAGCTCAGGAGGACCTCGGGGATCACGATGAGGGTGTGTCCACCAAGAGACACTCGCAGGACCGACATTGGCGCGAGCTCCAGCACCAGGTCGACGTCCTCCAGGGGCACACGCAGGGCACAGCCCGCGTCCAGGACCACCATGGAGGTGAGCGCGTCCACGGCCGGGGTCCCCGCCGGGTCTTCCGGGCTGGGCGCCGCTCGGGATTCGGGGCCCGCGGGCTCCTCCAATCGGCTGCGCTTGGCAGGGCCTGGTCCTCCTGGCTGCTGTCCCCACCAGGGCGCAAGGCAGGCGCTGGGGCTGCAGGGCCGGCTGCCCATCACCTCGACGGCGCTGCGGACGGCGCTCCTGGGCCTGGCAGGGGACGTGGGTGCGGGGGGCTCGGGGCGGCGAAGTCCTCTTTGAGGTAACAGGTGTCGGCAGGACCGCGCGACGCGGGGCGAGTCCTCGGAGCTCTGGGGGCGCCTCCCGGAGATCGGAGTCGGTGCTGCTGCTGGGGGAACCTCGCACGCTGTGTGGCTCAGCCTCGCGCGATGGAAACTTGGGCCTTCCTGACGCAGACCCGGATGCGCACTGCAAAGCCAATTATGTTGTAAATGACGGCAGCGGAACCGAAGTCGCAAAATGTCACGCAATCCTCTGCCCCCTGGAGGACCCGCCCTAGAGGCGGAGGTACACCTGCTGCCCAATAGCGGTGGCTGTGGTTGGTCGGTGGCTGTGGTTGGTCGGTCACGCTGGGGAAATACTCTTACGGGCCGCTAGGGGGCCGAGCATCTGTGCCGCTCTAGGGCCTGGCTTCCAGTATCAAGTTCTTGTCCTTTGCGTTGACGTCAGACGCGGAGTTGAAGAGCGATTCAGGTTCAAGTAACACTAGTGGAGTGCCAAACCAGGACACCGAATCCTAAACCCATATTCCCAGGCCCCGTCCCGGAAGTGCCCTGCGCGTTACTATTGACGGATAGTGGCGTGCGTTTTTGAGTTCTCCTATCTTGTACATCGATGTAATATCCTTTTAGGGGTCTTGGAAGGGAGGGTAAAGCTGAGATCCTGCGTGACAATGGCAGGTCCTGCATTATCTGTTTATTATGATAGTTGGTACTATAGTAATTACAGTCTTCCCTTGATATCCCTGGAGGATTGGTTCCTGGACTCCCGCATGGATACCAAAATCTACAGATGCTCAAGTCTCATATAAAATGGTGTACATTTGCATATCACTTACATCCTTCCGTGTATTTTAAAGCATCTCTAGAATACTTATAGTACCTAATACAATGTAAATGCTATACCCCTGGTTGCTACACAGAGTTTCATATATATATGGTTTGTTTGTTTCTGAGATGGGGTTTCATTCTGTTGCCCAGGCTGGAGTGCTTTGGTGCAATCTCTGCTCACTGCAACCACCACCTCCTGGGCTCAGGTGATCTTCCACCTCAGCTTCCTGACAAGCTGGGATTACAAACACGTGCCACCACACTCGGCTAATTTTTGTATTTTTTGTGGAGACGGGGTTTTGCCATATTGCCCAGGCTGGACTCGAACTCCTGGGCTCAAGCATTCCACCCGCCTTGGCCTCCCAAAGTGCTGGGACTACAGGCGTGAGTCACTGTGCCTGACCTTATATATATGGGTTTTTTTTGTTTTTTGTTTTTTTTTTTGAGACGGAGTCTCGCCCTGTCGCCCAGGCTGGAGTGCAGTGGCAGGATCTCGGCTCACTGCAAGCTCCGCCTCCCGGGTTCACGCCATTCTCCTGCCTCAGCCTCCCGAGTAGCTGGGACTACAGGCACCCGCCATCTCACCCGGCTAATTTTTTTGTATTTTTAGTAGAGACGGGGTTTCACCGTGTTAGCCAGGATGGTCTCGATCTCCTGACCTTTTGATCCACCCGCATTGGCCTCCCAAAGTGATATATATTTTTTATTGTGTTATTTTCCTTTTTTTTCCCGAATATTTTTGGTCTTCTGTTGGTTGAATCTGCGAATTCGAAACCTGCGGATCCAGAGGGCCGACTCTATTATGTTACAATCAGCTGAAGTATGGTTAACTTTATCTAATTTGACCTAAACTACAGCTCTGAGGTCTATCTGTTTTAGCCCAATTTATGGATGATGAAAATGTCATGCAGAAAGGTTAGCCAACTTGCCCAAGAGCCAGTAACTACCAGAGCGGGGTCTGGCTTGTCCAGCTCCATTTAAGGTGATAGACCTACACAATGTCAGCGTTTTTGACCTGTGTCAGCTGAAAGGCACCTCTACGTCACGTGTCCAGGCGGTAAAAGGGAAGGTGTAGCTCAACTAGTGTTAATAGGAGAAAATACTCAGCACTGATTTTGGAATAGTAATATTTTCAAGTGCTTACAGGGGACAACAAAGCATTTCCTGACATCTTTGCTAAGCATGTGATGATCCCACCTTGGCGGGAACCATTATTACATTTTATCATTCCAAAATATTCTTGGGCATTTAAAAGCAAATCTCATACATGTTATTTATCTCCCTCCCCTTTCTACAAAATTTATTCTTTTTTAGGGTTGCATAGCATTCCTTTGGATAGTCTTTACATTTAAATCAAGTCTCTCTTGCTGGACAGTGGTCTGTCATCACTTGGTGGCACTGTCATCCTCTGGTAGGTTCATGGAAAATGCAGATTATTTGCCCCATCCCAGAGCGACTGAATTACAATTCTTGGAACGTGGGGATTAGGTAATCTATGTGAGCACCTCTAAAAAATTCTATTTTACTCCAAAGTTCAAGATCATTGAACTTGTTTTCATTTCTCAGTTGAGGAGTTCATGAAGCCCGGTGGCTTATGCTTGTGATCAGGGACCTGCTTGTTGGTGTCAGTGTTATGGAGGGAACTCCAACTTTCTGGCTGTGTTCAATGCTTTTCTTAGCACAGCTGGCCCGCTTCGGGTGGATTTCCGGTGGCTGTCCAGTGGTTGCGTGGTGGGGAATTCTCCTGGGATCGAGTGGCCTGAGACTGGGCACTGGCCGGGGTAACCAGGGTCCAGGGCTGTGTTGGATGGTGGCCCTGCTGGGAACCTGTGGTTCCTGCGGACACCTCCCGCCAGGAGAGTGTGGGTGCAGCCAGAACCCGCCTCCAGCTCCTAGGTGAAAGAAACAGCAGCTCAGCGCAAGCATCCAGGCAGAAGGCGGTGGGGGTGGAGCCTGCAGGAAACTGCCTGCTTTGGTCCAGTAGAGTTTTGTCTAGACCCTTGAACCTTCTTGCAGAGAACAGTGGGGGCACCATTCAGAAGCAAGGGTGGACGTGTCATGATGTATGGGGTAGATGGGCAAGCATAGATTCTGTCAGCATACTGGGAGGGGGTCGGGGCTCGGGGTTCCTGGCTAGGCCTCCAGCTCTGAGCAGGGTGGCGCCTGTGGCTTGAGTGGTGCCACCTCCTGTCTGCTGCTTTCCTGACCTCAGCGGTCTCACCTGAGAGCTCCTCAGTGTCCTGGGCCTTGTGACTTAACCCAACACTCTGCTTGCTCTAAATCCTCCCTGTGAGCTCTCTTTCCAAGTGAATGTGGTCCTGCTCCAGGACAGAAGTAGTTAGCGGGGGTCCTGGGGCAGACACATCTGGTTTTCTCTCCTGGCCGGCCACAGTCTGATTGGGTGATCATGGGCAAGTCACTTCACCTCTCCTAAACTTCAGTTTCTTTATATGTAAAATGGGGAGAATGCCATGTACTGTGACAGATATATATATATATATATATATATATATATATATATATATATATATATATATCATATATTCTTTATCCATTCATCCATTGATAGACATTTAGGTTGATTCCATATCTTTGCTATTGTGAATTGTGCTGTAGTAAACATGTGAGTGCAGGTATCTCTTTGACATATTGATTTCTTTTCCTTTGGGTAGATACCTAATGGTGGGATTGCTGGATTGAATGGTAATTCTATTTTTAGTATTTTGAGAAATCTCCATACTGTTTTCTATAGTGGCTATACTAGTTTACGTTCCCACAAACAGTGTACAAGAGTTCTCTTTTCTCTGAATCCTCACCCACATCTGTTATTTTTTGTCTTTTTAATAATAGCCATTCTGACTGGGGTAAAATGATATCTTATTGTGGTTTTGATTTTCATTTTCTTGGTGATTAATGTTGAGCATTTTTTTCATATACTGGTTGGCTGTATGTCTTCTTTTGAGAAATGTTTATCCATATCCTTTGCCCACTTTTTAATGGGACAATTTTTTTCTTGTTGAGCTATTTGAGTTCCTTGTATATTTTATCTATTAGTCCCTTGTAGAATGAATAGCTTGCAAATTTTTTCTCCCATTCAACAGGTTGCCTTTTCATTTTGTTGATTATTTCTTTTGCTGTGCAGGGGCTTTTTCATTTAATTAAGTCCCATTTGTCTATTTTTTTGTTTTCTATGCTTTTGAGGTTTCAATGATAAATTCTTTGTCTAGACCAATGTCCAGGAAAGTTTTCTCCAGTAATTTTGTAGATTTGGGTCTTACAGTTAAGTCTTTAATCCATTTTGAGTTAACTTTTGTATATGGTGAGAGATAGGGGTTTAGCTTTATTGTTCGGAATGTACCTATCCTATTTTCCCGGCACCGTTTATTGAGGAAGGTGCCCTTTCCCCATTGTAAGTTCTTGTCAGCTCTGTTGAAGAGCAGTTGGCTGTAAATATGGTGGCTTTATTTCCAGGTTCTCTATTCTGTTCCATTGGTCTATGTGTCTATTTTATAGCTATACCCTGCTGTTTTGGTTACTATAGCCTTGTAATATATTTTTAAGTCAGGTAATTTGATTGATGCTTGCAGCTTTTTTCTTTTTGCTGAGGACTTTGGCTATTTGGGCTCATTTTTGTTTCTATAAAAATTTTAGGATTTTTTTTTCAAATTCTGTGAAGAATGATGGTATTTCAATAGGGATTGCATTCAATCTGTAGATTGCTTTGGGCAATATGGTCATTTTATATTTTATTTAATTTTATTTAGAGACAGGGTCTTACTGTGTTGCTCAGGCTGGAGTGAAGCGACATGATCACAGCTCATTGCACTCTCAAACTCCTGAGCTCAAGTGATCCTCCCACCGCAGCTTCCTGATAAGCTAGGACTACCAGTGTGTGCCACCACATCCAGCTAACCTTTAAAATTTTTTGTAGAGATGGAGTCTCACTATGTTTCCCAAGTTGGTCTCGAACTCCTCATCTCAAGTGATCCTCTTGCCTCAACTTCCCATAGTGCTTGGATTATAGGCATGAGCCACTGTGCCTGGCCAATGTGATTATTTAAGGGTACTAGTTCTTCTGATCCATGAGCGTGGCATGTTTTTCCATTTGTATGATCTTCAATTTTTTTCATCAGTGTTTTGTAGTTCACTTTGTAGAGATCTTTAACCTTCTTGGTTACATTTATTCCTAGGTATCTTATTTTATTTTATTCTTTATTCTTTTCTTTTTTTAAAAAATAGAGATGGGGTCTCACCATGTTGCCCAGGCTGGTCCCAAACTCCTGGGCTCAGGTATTCCTCCCACCTTGGCCTCCCAAAGTGCTGGGATTAGAGGCGTGAGCCACTGCGCCTGGCCTAATTTTTTTTAGTACCTATTGTAAATGGGATTGCCGTCTTGATTTCTTTCTCGGCTAGATCATTATTGGTGTATAGGAATGCTCCTGATTTTTGTATGTTGATTGTGTATCCTGCAACTTTACTAAATTCATTTATCAAATGTAAGGAGTTTTTTTGGTGCAATCTTTAGGTTTTTCTAGATATAAGATCATATTATCAGCAAAGAGGGACAATTTTACTTTCTCTTTTCCAATTTGGATCATATAGCATTGCTATGATATCCATGATCAATGCCATTTGGCATTGCTATAAAAGACTACCTGATTCTAGGTAATTTACAATGAAAAGAGGTTTGTTTATATGGCTCATGGTTCTGCAGTAGCATGGCACCAGCATCTGTGTCTGGTGAGGGTTATCAGGGTGCTTCCACAAATGGTGGAAGATGAAGAGGAGCAGATATCACATGGTGAGACGAAGGAAGAAAGAGAAGGGAGGTGGCAGGCTCTTTTTAACTATCAGATTTTGTGGGAACTAATAGAGCAAGAATTCACTGATTACTGCAAGGATGGCACCAAGCCATTCATAAAGGATCTGCTCCTATGACCTGAACACCTCCCACCAGGCCCTGCCTCCAACAATGGGGATCCAATTTCAACATGCGAATTGGAGGGGACAGATACCCAAAATACAACATCAGATAGCTTTTCCTTCTTTCTCTGGCCTGATTTATCTGGCTGGAACTTCCAGTACTATGTTGAATAGGAGTGGTGAAAATGGGCATCCTTGTCTTGTTCCAGTCCCCGGAGGAAAGGCATTCAATTTTTCCCCCTTCAGTATAATGTTAGCTGTGGGTGTGTTGCATATGGCGTTTATTATTTTGAGGTATATTCCTCTGTGCCTAGTTTGTTGAGAGTTTTTATCATGAAGAGATGTTGAATTTTATCAAATACTTTTTCTGCATCTATTGAGATGATCATATGATTTTTATCCTTCATTCTGTTGACCGGTTTTATCACATTTGTTGATTTGCATATGTTGAGCCATCCTTGAATCCTTTATATAAATTCCACTTGATCATGGTGTATTTTTTTTTTTTTAAATGTGCTATTGGATTTGGTTGGCTAGTATTTTGTTGAGGATTTTTGCATCTAAGTCCATTAGGGACATGGGCCTGTCATTTTCTTTTTTGTTGTGTCCTTGTCTGATTTTGCTATCAGGGTGATGCTGCACTTATATAGTGAGTTAGGGAGAATTCCCTCCGCTTCAATTTTTTTGAATAGTTTCAGGAGGATTGGTATTACTTCTTTGTATATTTGGTAGAATTTGGCTGTGAATCCATCAGATCTTGGACTTTTCTTTGTTGTGAGACTTTTTATTACTGATTCAATCTCACTACTCATTATTGGTCTATTCAGGTTTTCTATTGTTTCCTGATTTAATCTTGGCAGATTGTATGTGTCCAGGAATATGTCCATTTCCTCTAGGTTTTCCAGTTTGTCAGCATGTAGTTGTTTATAATAGTTTCTGATGGTCTTTTGTATTTCTGTGGTATCAGTTGTGATGTTTCCTTTTTCATTTCTGATTTTATTTGAGTGTCCTCTCTTTTTTTTTAGTTTTATTTATTTTTATTATTATTATTATACTTTAAGTTTTAGGGTACATGTGCACAATGTGCAGGTTAGTTACATATGTATACATGTGCCATGCTGGTGTGCTGCACCCATTAACTCGTCATTTAGCATTAGGTATATCTTCTAATGCTATCCCTCCTCCTCCCCCCACCCCACAACAGTCCCCAGAGTGTGATGTTCCCCTTCTTGTGTCCAAGTGTTCTCATTGTTCAATTCCCATCTATGAGTGAGAACATGTGGTGTTTGGTTTTCTGTCCTTGCGATAGTTTACTGAGAATGATGATTTCCAATTTCATCCATGTCCCTACAAAGGACATGAACTCATCCTTTTTTATGGCTGCATAGTATTCCATGGTGTATATGTGCCACATTTTCATAATCCAGTCTATCATTGTTGGACATTTGGGTTGGTTCCAAGTCTTTGCTATTGTGAATAGTGCCGCAGTAAACATACGTGTGCATGTGTCTTTGTAGCAGCATGATTTATAGTCCTTTGGGTATATACCCAGTAATGGGATGGCTGGGTCAAATGGTATTTCTAGTTCTAGATCCCTGAGGAATCGCCAGTGTCCTCTCTTTTTAGTGTAGGTAGCAGTTTGTCGATTTTGCTTATCTTTTCAAAGAACAAATTTTTCATTTTGTTGATTTTTTATGTTGGATTTTTAGTTTCTATTTCATTTAGTTCTGCTCTGATCTTTATTATTTCTTTTCTTTTGCTAATTTTGACATTAGCTTGTTCTTGCTTTTCTAATTCCTTGCGATGGGTTGTAGATTGTGGATTTGTACCTTTCTCCCTTTTTGATTAGGCATTTATTGCTATAAATTTCCTTTAGCACTGCTTTTGCTGTATCCCTCAGGTTTTGGTATGTTATGTTTCCATTTTCATTTGTTTCAAGAAATTTTATTTCTTTATTGATCCAATGGTCATTCAGGAGCACACCGTTTAATTTTCATATATTTGTATGATTTTCAAAGTTCCTCTTGGTATTAATTTGTGGTTTTGTTCCATTGTAGTCTGAGAAGATACTTGATATGATTTTGATTTAAAAAATTTTTTAGATTTGTTTTGTGGCTTAACATATAATCTATCTTGGAGAATGTTTCATTTGCTAATGAAAAGAATGTATATTCTGCAATTGTTGGATAGAATGTTGTGTAAATGTCTTTTAGGTCCATTTGTCTTAAAGTCCAGTTTAAATCCAATGTTTCTTTGTTGATTTTCTGTCTAGATGATCTGTGTAATGCTGAGAATGGGGTGTTGAAGTCCACTATTATTGTATTGCAGTCTAGCTTTCTGTTTAGATTCAGTAATATTTGCTTTATAATTCTGGGTGCTCCAGTGTTGGGTGCATAGATATTTAGAATTGTTATATCTTCTTGCTGGATTGATCCCTTTGTAACTATATAATGACCTTCATCATCTTTTTTTTTCTTTTTACTGCTCTTGACTTGAAGTCTGTTTTATCAGATATAAATATAGCTACTCTTGCTCACTTTTGGTTTCTGTTTGCATGGAATATCTTTTTTCAGTCTCTTTACTTTCAGTCTATATGTGTCTTTACTGTAAGGTGCATTTATTGTAAGCAGCCATTCTATATCTTTTAAGTAGAGAATTTAATCTGTTTTACATTCAAGGTTGTTATTGAGGCTTTGTTCCTGTCATATTGTTAATTGTTTTCTGGTTGTTTTATGTATTCTTTTTCCCTTTTTCTCTTATTATTTGTCATTGTGGTCTGGTGGATTTCTGGAATGCTGCCATTTAAGTCCTTTGTCTTCTTTGTGTGATTGCTTCATCAGTGAGTTTTGTAATTTTGTGTGTTTTTATGATGGTATATGTCATTGTTTTGCTTCCAGGTTTAGGACTCTCTTGATCTTATTGTAGTGCCAGTCTAGTGGTGACAAATTCCCTCAGCATTTGCTTATCTGGGAAAGACTTTATTTCTCCTTTATTTTTGAAGGTTAGGTTCACTGAATATAGTATTCTTCTTTGGTAGTTTTGTTTTTCTTTCAGTACTTTGAGTATATTATCCCATTCTCTTCTGTACTGTAAAGTTTCTGCTGAGAAATCCATTGTCAGTCGCATGGGGTTTCCTTTATAGGCGGGTATGCAGTTTTTACTTGCTGTTTTTAGGATTTAGTTTTTATCTTTGACTTTAGGCAGTCTGACTATAATGTATCATGGAGACCTTTATGCATTGTATCTGCCTAGGGATCATTGAGACTCCTGTATCTGAATGTCTAAATCTCTTGCTAGACTTGAGAATTTTTCATCTCTCATTTTATTAAATAGATTTTCTAATCTTTTCATTTTTCTCTTTGCCCTTGACGATACTGATAATTTGTATATTTGGTTGTCTTGTGGTGTCCCAAATGTCATGAAAGCTTTTCTCATTAAAAAAAAAATTATTTTTTTGTTAAGTTTTTGTCTGACTAGGTTTTTTTTTTTTTTGCTTTTGTCTGATCTAATCTATTGTTGCAGCTTTCAAATGTATTTTATATTTCCTTCAATGACTTATTTAGTTCCAGAATTTCTATTTGGTTCTTTTAAAAAATATATATCTCTGGTAAATTGCTAGTTTATATCCTGAATTGTTCTTTTGATTCTTTGTATTGTTTTTCAGAACTCTCTTGCAACTGACTGAACTTTAGAATCAATATTTTGAATTATTTATCTAGAATTTTGAAGATTTCCTTTTTATTAAGATCTGTTGCTGTACAATTATTGTGTTCCATTGCAAGTGTCATATTTCCTTGCTTTTTCATGTTTCCTATGTTCTTATGTTGACATCTGTGCATCTGGTGTGAACTGTTGCTTCTTCCTATTTTTCAATGCACTTTTGAAGGGGAGGACTTTTCCCTGAAGATGTGTCTGTGGTATTGGTTGGGTAGGGCACTTTGACTTTGATTCTAGGTATGTGCACTAGTGTTATCTCTGTATGATTTATTTGGCTGTAAACAGCATTAGTGCTTTGTGTGATTTCCTCAGAAGGTTAGGGTGCAGTTATTGATGGAGGGTGTGGTGAAGTTGTGCTAGGACCTGGGAAGCCAAGTGAGCCAGTCCTTAGACCACAGTGGTGGGCTAAGCATGCCTGTCTTTGTGTCCCATGGCAGTATATGTGCTGGCAACTGTGTTGATATTTAACAGTGGGCTGATTCTTTGGCCTCCAGATGGCTAACTTGGATGCCAGTAGTGGTAGCAGTGGGCCAGGCAGGTGAGTGGGTTCTTGGGTCCCTGGGCAGCTGACGTGGTATGGATGATAGCAGTAGCTTTATTTGGAGGACCTTCTGGGTCCTCAACAGTGCTGGTGGTGACTGTAGTGTGGGGTTGCTCCCTGTAATTCCAGACATACTGGGCTCAGGCTCTCCTGCTTTCTGCAACAGCAGCATAGCACCATGTGATGGTAGTGGGGGGCTTTACCTTCATGCAGAAGCCTGGGCACAGAAACCTCATGGTCAGTGGGTTTGCAATCACCACTTACCACCATAGACAGGTAGTCCTCTGGTTCACCCACCCCAGCCTCTGGTGGCAACAGGAGCAGGTGTGCAGAGGGGGAAGACGGATCTTATTTTCTGTGGGACAACCTGAACACAGAGGACACTCTGCTGGTGGAAGGGGATTTCATTCTATGCTTACAAAGTTGAGCACAGTTTGTGCCAGTGCTGGGCATGGGATCACTTCTCACAGCATCAGACAATGAACTCTTTGGTCTCTGGAAAGTGTGAACTTTGGATTCCTTTGTCCCAGGGGCTGCCTTTTTGTTGCACTGGATCATCTTTTCTTTGGAAAATAGTGGGCTAGAGTACTGGGAACTCTCTGTGGGCTAGAGTACTGAGAGCCCTGAAGTACCTTTGGGTCCATCCAGTGCTGTGCTGCTGCAGCCGTCAAAGTGGACTCTGGGGAATGTCAGTGGGAGCTCCTGGGATGTGGAGGTATGGGGACTGTTGTTCCCAGGGCAGAATGCAGTTCCATGAAGGCTGTGCTCTTGAAATGATGCCCTGCCACAACCACTCAGGTCTTATGGGAGGGTGAGTGACCCAGTGCAAGTCGCTTGTCTGCTGCAGTGCCCTCATGGGGCCTGTAACTCACTGTCTATGCCAGTGTCAGATTTGTGCGGGTAGAAGAGCTCTCCTGTGGTTCAGATTGTAGCAGTCCACAGGCTTGCTGGACAGCTGAACTCTCTCACTTACCCTTTCCCTGCAATATTGAACCCCTTCATGCTCAGGCAGATCTTGGCCAAGCTGGATGTTTGCTTCCTTTATCTTATATGCCTCAGGTGTTTCCCATGTGTTCTCCAGAGGAATCTGGTTGAGGGTTGAGTTATAATTGTCTAGTCATAATTTTGTTTCTTCTTTCTGAAGGGGGCATCTGATGGTGGGAACTCTGATTCTTTGCTGCTTCATCTGAGACCCTGAGGCTCAGGCTGAGGGCTTGGACCAGACAGTGCCCTTGGTAATGGCTGTAATGAGGGTGGCTCAGTTATCTTCTATAGTGCAGAAGTAAGTGGCTTTAAAAGTTTGTTTATTTTTATACATACAAGTAATAATATCTGAATACATTAAAAAACATCTATACAGTGTAGCTAAAGTTGTAGTTTCTCCTTAACTCCCCATCCAACCCACGATCCAAGGTTGATTTGATAAGGTTCTTTTCTATTATTTACAAACACAGCATAGGGTTTTTGTTTTCTTCCTGGGATGGCAATGCATTATGGGTAATTTCCTGTAATATGTTAGGGCTTATGCTATTTGGTATTGCTATCTGCAAAGTACATTATCTCTTCTCTCTTTTATTCAAGAGACCTTTTTCTACATGCAATACAGCCTTCTATATCTTGTTTGAAAAATTTATGTGGGTACAAGAAAAGACTACTTCAAAAATCTGTTGTACAGCAACTCCTTTGTCTTTTCCCGAAAAATGAAGATGAAAGTGTTTCCTTCTCTTTCCACTTATCTCAC
Organism: Homo sapiens; assembly: GCF_000001405.40. Lineage (NCBI taxonomy): Eukaryota > Metazoa > Chordata > Mammalia > Primates > Hominidae > Homo > Homo sapiens. The sequence continues at coordinate 139,056,437 of NC_000003.12, forward strand.
AGTAATTTGTAATTCTGGTGTATTATGTTATGCTATCTTTACTTCCTGAATACGTAACTGAGGTAGGGGCAAATGGCATGGTATTGCTGATGCTATTACAAAGATTAAATGATGGCTGGTGTGAACACAACGTCATTAATCCCTTACTATTTTAAGGGTGCCAAAACTGACTATTAAAGCAGCTATTTGGCTATTTGGCTTTCAAAGGCTGAGGCTGAAGCTGAAGCTAAGTAGCAGATTTTTACCAAACACATAGGCTGAAGTCAAACTTTAGAGCTTTCGTGTTATAATTGAAAGCCAGTGATTTCTGTGTATTAATTTTGTATTCAGTTGTCTCATTAAATTCTCCTATTTTTTCAGTCATTTTCTAGGTTTTACAATTATGTGGTCTGCAATGAGAATATTTTCTTTTGAAGTTTTATACCTCAGTTTCTATCTCTTATCTAATTCTGTTGGCCATTACCTTCAGTACAATGTTAAATAATAGTGGGAAAGCGGCATCTTTTTCTTGTTCTAGGCTTTGGTGAGGATACTGTTCATGTTTGCCCATTAAGCACAATACTGGCTGTTGCACAGAAATAAATGTCATTTAGAGAAGTATCAGTCTCTTTCTGTATTACTGAACTTTTAATGCTTTATTTGGAAATATTTACAAATTTGTAGAAACATTGCAAGAATACTACAAAGAACTCTCATTTATCCTTTATCAATTTTTAATATTTTGCCACATGTATTTTATTATTCTCTGTTTCTCAGAGAGAGACCACATGATCTTATCTATGTATCTCTCTCTCTCTCTCTCTCTCTATCTATCTATCTAATCTTATCTATCTATTCCCTGAACCATTTGAGTAAGGTGTATACATTAGGCCCCTTTCCTCTATAATATTTTAGTTTATACTTTGTAAGAACAAGAATATTCTCATACATTACTTTAGTATAGTTTTCAAATTCAGAAAAATTGGACATTTATGCCATACTGGACATAATCCAGTCCATTTTCCAATTTTTTCAATTGTACCAATAATATCTTTAAAATATCTCTATCTCTATTTATCTCTCTATCTATACCTAATCTTTTTTTGCCTACAAGATGCATATTGACATCATGTATTATTTTCAAGTGTCATGTCTCTAGTTACCTTTTATCTGGAACAGTTTCCTAGCCCTTTGTAATTTGCATGTGATTAATATTTTTGAAAAATACACATAGTTATTTTATAGAATATTTATTTTGGAGTTCTCTGATATTTCCTCATGATAAGATTAAACTTGTGCATTTTTTACTTGAATACTTATTTATTTTATTTTTTAGAGACAGGGCCTGGCTCTGTTGCCCAAGCTGAAGCACAGCTGCATAATTGTAGTTCACTGCAGCCTCAAACTCCTGGGCTCAAGTAATCCTCCTGCCTCAGCCACCTGAGTAGCTATGACTACAGACATGTGCCACCATACCCAGATAATTTTTGTATTCTTTTTTTTGTAGAGAGAGGGTCTTTCTAGTTTGCCCAGGCTGATCTAAAACTCCTGGCTTCAAGTGATTGTCTTGTCTTGGCCTGCCAAAGTGCTGGGATTACAGGCGTGAACCACCGTGCCTGGCTTTGAATACTAACAAGTAATCTTGTGTTCTTTTCTGGGGTACACTATAGTCATTTGTTTTTTACAGGTGATGTTAATTTTATTTTTTCTATTTAATGATTACCAGTAAATTTATGGAGTTGTGCAGCCATCACCACAATCCAGTTTTAGAACACTTCCATCACTCAAAATGTTCCTTCATGCCTGTTTGCATATAATCCCTGCTCAACTCTCCAGACCTGGGTAATTGCTGAATCCCTCTATCTATCTCTATAAATTTGCCTTCCACTAGATGGTTCACATAAATGGAATGATGGCGTATACAGTTTTTGTGGTTTTTGTGTCTTGCTTCTTTCACTTAGTGTACTGTTTTTGAGACTTAAACCAGTTGTAGCAGTTATCTAAGTTGTACCCTTGTTGTGGTATGTGGTATCAGTATTTAAGTCGTTTTAATTGCTGAATAGTATCTTTTGCATGGATACATTACATTTTGTTTATCTGTTTACCAGCTGGTGAATTATTTCCAATTTTTGTCTATTATGAATGATGCTGCTATGAGCATTTACATACATGTCTTTGTGTAGACATGTTTTCATGACTCTTAGATATATTCCATGGAGTAGAATTGCTGGCCCAAATACCAAGTTTATGTTTCACTTAAAAAAAAATCCCTGCCAAATGATTTTGCAAAGTGGTTGTACCATTTTAGATTCCCAACAGCAATACATGAGGGCTCCAGTCTCTTCACATTCTTACCAACACTTGTATTGTCTGGCTTTTTGATTGTAGTCATTCTAGTGGGTGTGCTGTGGTATGTCACTGTGGTTTTAATTGGATTTTTCTGAGGACTAATGATGTTAAATATCTTCTGAGTTTATTAGCCATGCTAATCTTCCATGCTTAAATGTCTATTCAAATTTTTGTCCATTTTAAAATTCAATTGTTTGTCTTATTATTGAATTATAGGAGTTCTTCATGTATTCTGGACACAAGTCCTTTATCAGATACCTGGTTTCTGTGTATTTCCTCCTAATTTGTGGATTAAAATTTTTTTCTTAAATATTTTCTATAAATATTGCATTTATTTTCTTTACCCCCCCCAACTTTTAAGTTCAGAGGTATATGTGCAGGATATGCAGGTTTGTTACATAGGTAAACATGTGCCGTGATGGTTTGCTGCACAGATCATTCCATGACCTGGGGATTAAGCCCAGTATCCATTAGCTATTCTTCCTCATGCTCTCCCTCTCCCTGCCCCCCTGACTGACAGGCCCCAGTGTGTGTAATTCCCTCCCAAGTGTCCATGTGATCTCATCATTCAGCTCCTACTTATAAGTGAGAACATGCAGTATTTGGTTTTCTGTTTTTGCATTAGTTTACTGAGGGTGATGGCTTCCAACTCCATCCATGTCCCTGCAAAGGTCATGATCTCGTTCCTTTTTATGGCTGCATAGTATTCTGTGGAGTATATGTATCACATTTTTTTTATTAAGTCTGTCATTGGATAAAGCACATTGACGCCCATTGATGAACATTTAAGTCTTTGGTATTGTGAATAGTGCTGCAATGAACATATGTATGCATGTATCTTTATAATAGAATAATTTATATTCCTTTGGGTATATACCCAGTAATGGGATTGCTGGGTCAAATGGTATTTCTGCCTCTAGGTCTTTGAGGAATTGCCACATTGTCTTCCACAATGGTTGAACTACTTTACACTCCCACCAACAGTGTAAAAGCATTCCGTTTTCTCCACAACCTCACCAGTATCAATTGTTTTTTGACTTTTTAATAATAGACATTCTGACTGGTGTGAGATGCTATCTCATTGTGATTTTGATTTGCATTTCTCTAATAATTAGTGATGTTGATTTTTTTTTCATGTTTGTTGGCCACATGTATGTCTTCTTTTGAGAGGTGTCTGTTCATGTCCTTTGCCCACTTTTTAATGTTTTTTTTTTTTTTTGTAAATTTGTTTAAGTTCCTTGTAGATTCTAGATATTAGACCTTTGCCAGATGGATTGATTGCAAAAATTTTCTTCCATTCTGTAGGTTGTCTCTTCACTCTGATGATAGTTTCTTTTGCAGTGCAGAAGCTCTTTAGTTTGATTAAATCTCATTTGTCAATTTTTGTTTTGTTGTAATTGCATTTGGTGTTTTTGTCATGAAATCTTTGCCCATACCTATGTCCTGAATGATATTGCCTAGATTTTCTTCTAGGGTTTTTATAGTTTGGAGTTTTACATTTAAGTCTTTAATCCATTTTGAGTTAATTTTTGTATATGGTGTCAGAAAGGGGTCCAGTTTCAATTTTCTGCATATGGCTAACCAGTTCTCCTAGTGCTATTTATTAAACAGGAAATCCTTTCTTCATTGCATTTATTTTTTTATTGTTGACTTCTGAAGTGCAAAAGTTTTAAATTTTGATGAAGTTTAAAATATTTAAATAATATATTGTGTTTTTGATGTTATATCTAAGAACCTTGTCTAACTAAGCTCATGAAGATTTTCTTTTTTTTCCTAGAAATTAACAGTTTTATTTTTTACATCTAGGTGTATGATCCATTTTGAGTTAATTTTTTTGTGTATGGTGTGAAGTAATAATTTAAGTTTATTTTTTGAAGGTGTATACCCCGTTGTTAAAAAGACTATCCTTTTACATTGAATGGATACATTGGCCTCACATATAGTTTATCCTAGAGAATGTTCCATGTTTACTTTAAAAGCATGTGTATTCATCAGTCATTGGACTGACTGTTCTACATATGTCAGGTTGAGTTGGCACTTAGCTCTTTTGTGAAAAGTAAATTGACCATAAATGCCAAGATTTATTTTTGGACTCACAGTTCAGTTTCTTTCATCTATATTCTTGGGACAGTACCACCCTGTATTGATTACTGTGTCTTTAGAGCAAGAGTTGAAATTTAGTAATGAAAGTCAACTTTGTAATTCTTTTTTTTTTTTTTTTAATTTTTGAGATGGAGTCTCGCTCTGTCACCTAGGCTGGAGTACCGTGGCGCAATCTCGGCTCACTGCAACTTCCGCCTCCCGGGTTCAAGCAATTCTCCTGCCTCAGCCTCCCAATTAGCTGGGATTACAGGCACCCATGACCACACCCAGCTAAATTTTGTAGTTTTTAGAGACAGGGTTTCACCATGTTAGCCAGGCTGGTCTCGAACTACTGACCTCAGGTGATCCACCCGCCTCGGCCTCCCAAAGTGCTGGGATTACAGGTGTGAGCCACTGCACCCAGCCAACTTTGTCATTCTTTTTAAAAATTATTATAGTAATTCTGGGTGTTCTGCATTTCCATGTGAATTTTAGGATCAGCTTGTCAGTTTCTACAAGATACCTACTGGATTTTGATAAGGACTGTGCTGATTTTATAGATCAATTTGGCAAGAATTGCCTTCTTGACAATATTGAGTCTTTCAATCATGAATATGGAATATTTTCCATTTATTTAAATCTTCTGTAATTTCTCTCAACAATGTTTTGTTGTTTTCAGTGTGCAAGTCTTGTACTTATTTTGTTAAATTTATTCCTAAGTATTTTATTCTTTTTATGGTATTATGAATAGAATTGTTTTCTAATTTCATTTTCAGAACATTGCCAGTATATGAAAATACAGTTGATTTTTCAATTTTGATCTTGTATTGTACAACCTTGCTAAACTTGTTATTAATTCTGGAATTTTTTTGGTAGATTCCTTGGGATTTTCAACATATAATGTTTTATCATTTGAGAATAAATATAGTTTTACTTCTCATTTTCCAATCTAGATGCCTTTAACTTCTTTTTCTTTTCTTTTTGCACTGCCTTGAATGTCCAGTAAAATGTTGAGTAGAAGTATTGATAGTGGAATCCTTGCCTTTTTTCCGATCTTGGGGAGGAAAGCACCATTCCTCCTTTCACCATTAAGTATGATATTTACTGTGTTTTCTTAGATGTCTTTTGTTTTGTTTTGAGATAGGGTCTCACCCTGTCACCCAGACTGTAGTGCAGTGGCATGATCTTGGCTTACTGCAGCCTCAGTCTCCTGGGCTCAAACAATACTCCCACCTCCCAAGTAGCTGGGACTACAGGCACGTGCCACCATGCCCAGCTAATTTTTGTATTTTTTGTAGAGATGGGGTTTTGCCATGTTGCCCAGGCTCTTGAACTCCTGAGCTCAAGATATCCACCTGCCTTGGCTTCCCAAAGTGCTGGAATTACAGGTGTGCACCACCATGCCTTGCCTTAGATGTCCTTTATTAGGTTAATGAAGTTGCTTTCTATACTTAGGCTATGGAGAGTTTATATCATGAATGGGTACTGGATTTTGTCAAATGCTTTCTTCCTTCTGAATCTGTTGAGTATATTGTATGGTTTTTGTTCTTTATTTTATTAATATGCTGTATTACATTAACTAGTTTTTGTATATTTTGCCAACTTGTATTTTTTGGGTAAATCCCACCTGTTCATGGTATATAAATCCTTCCTATATGTTGCTGCCTTTAATTTTCTAATATTTTGTGAAGGATTTTTGCATCTTTGTTCATGAGCTGTACTGGGTTTTAGCATTCTTTTCTTGTCATGTCTTCTTCTGGCTTTGATATTTTTTATTTGCTGTGAGAGTAACACTGACTTCATGCAATGAATAGGTAGTGTTTTATCCTTTTCTATTTTCTAAAATTTGTGAAGACTTGATATTATTGGTATTATTTCTTTAAATATTTGACAGAATTTACTAATGAAGTTACCTGGGCCTATAATTTTCTCTGTGGGAAGATTTTAAATAGGTATTTCAGTTTAAAAGAAAACTTTTTAAAGACATATTCAGACATTCTATTTGAGTCAGCTTTGGTAATTGATATCTTTCTAGTAATTTGTTTATTTCATCTAAGATATCTAACTTTGGCATAAAGTTGTTTGTAATATTATAATCCTTTAAATTTTGTTTTTATTTAATTCAAAGTATTTTCCAATTTTCTTTGTGGGTTTTTCTTTGATTCGTGGGTTATTTAGAAGTTTACTGCTTAATTTCAAAATATTTGGAAATTTCCTAGCACTGTGTTTTCAAAATATTTGGATATTTCCCAGCACATAATTCTGATGCAATCAGTTGCATCAGAATGCAACTGATTCTGTTGCATTCAGGTAACACATTTAGTATGATTTCAGTCTTTTTAGGCTATTGGGACTTGTTTTATCCTGGAGAATGTTTCATATATGCTTTAAAAGAATGCATGCTTTGCAGTTATTGGATGGAATGTTCTATATATGTCAGGTTGAGTTGGTTGATAGTGCTGTTCAAGTGTTCTCTATTTTTAATGACTTTCTAATTGTTATGTCAGTTTTTGAGAGTGGAGTATTAACATCTTCAATTATAATTGTTGAGTTGCCTATTTCTTTTTAAAATTCTGTCAGTTTTTGCTTTATGTATTTTAGAGCTATGTTGTTAGGTGAATGTACATTTATAATTATTACATTATCTCAATTTATTGAACTTCCTTTTTATCATTATGAGTTGTTTGTCTTTTCTGCTAATAATAATTCTCATTTTAAAGTCTACTTCCCCCCGCCCCAATATTAATAGAGCCATTCTAGCTGTCTTGTGGTTACTGTTTACATGATATATATCTTACCATTTCAATCCATTTGTCCTTTGAATCTTAAATGTATCTCTGGTAGACAGCATGTAGTTGGATTTTAAGTTTTTATGCAGTTTAACCATTTCTAACTTTTGATTGGAATGTTTAGACCATTCATATATATGGTAATTATTGATATGGTGAATTAACATTTGCCATTTTGATATTTGTTCTCTGTGTTCTGCCTTTTTTGTTCCTCTGTTACTCCTTGACTTTTTTGTGTTAAATGTCTTTTAGTGTATTATTTTAATTTTTATCTTGATTTTTTGATTATTTTATTTTGAATTATTTTCTAAAGTTGTTGGACTCTAGGGATCACAATTTGTATCTTAACTTATCACAGTCTATTTAGGATTAATATTAACTTAATTCCAGTAATATATAGAAACTGTGCTCTATTATAGCTTTTTTCTTCTTTGTTCTATACTCTCATCTATATTTATGTTTGTTATAAATCCAATAAAACAGTGTTATAATGATTTTATTATGCAATCTTATGCCTTTTAAGGAAGTTAAGAGAACAAATGAAAAAATATATTTATAGCATTTACAAAATAATAGACTTTATTTTAAGAGCATTTTTAGGTTCATAGCAAAACTGAGTGAAAAGTAGAGTTCTTATATGCCCTCAATGCCCAGGCATGTATAGCCTACCCAACTGTCAACATCCTATACCAGAGTGTTACATTTTTTATAATTAATGAACCTACATTGACATATAGTCATCAGCTAAAGTCCATAGTTTGCGTTAGGATTCACTCTTGGTGTCATACATTCTATGGGTATTGACAAATATATAATGACATATATCCACTATTATAGTATTATACAGAATAATTTCATTGCCCTAAAAATTCTCTGTGCTCTGCCTGTTCACCTGTCCTCCCCTAAACCTCTGATCTTTTTACTATCTCTATAATGTTGCCTTTTCTAGAATGTCATATAGTTGGAATCATACAGTATGGAGCTTTTTCACTATGGCTGCTTTCATTTAGTAATATGCATTTAAGGGCCCTTTGTGTCTTCTCATGGCTTGATAGCTCATTTCTTCTTAGTACTGAATAATATGCGTCATAGATGTTTCAGAGTTTATCCATTCACCTACTGAAGGACATCTTGGTCACTTCCAGTTTTTGTCCATTGTAAATAAAGCTGCTGTAAACATTCATGTACAGGTTTTTGTACAGACTTAAGCTTTTGACTCCTTTGGGCAAATACTGAATGTGATTGCTAGATTTTATGATAAGAGTATATGTGGTTTTGTAAGACACTGACAATCTGTTTTTCAAAGTATCTGTATCAGCAATGAATAAGAGTTTCTCTGGCTCCACATATTCACCAGCATTTGGTGTTGTCAGTGTTTTATATTTTCCCCATATTAATGGATGTGTAGTGATATTTCATTGTTGTCAATTTGTAATTTCTTAATGATATATAATGTTGAATATCCATATCAAGGCCCTGTCTCTACAAAAAAATAAAAAAATTAGCTGGGTATAGAGGTACATACTGTGGTCCCAGTTACTTAGGAGGCTGAAGTGGGAGGATCAGTTGAGCCTGGAAGGTCAAGGCCACAGTGAGCCATGATTATGGCACTGCAGTCCAGCAAGAGTAACAGAGTGAGACTCTGTCTCAAAAAAAAAAAAATGTTGAGCATCTCTTCATATGCTTATTTGCTGTCTGTATATATTTGGTGAGATGTCTGTTCAGATCTTTTCTATGCCTTTATAGGTGAAGTGGGTTTCTTGTAGGCACCATATATTTGGGTCTTGTTTCTTTATCCATTCAGTCACTGTATGCCTTTTAATTAGAGAATCGAGTCCACTTACATTGTGTTATTTATTATTGGTAAGTAAGAACTTACTACTGCTATTTGTTGCTTGTTTTTTAGTCATTTCCTATTCTCTTCCTTTTATCCTTTCTTACTGTCTTCTTTTGCAATAAGTAATTTGATTTGCATTACTCTGACGATTAGTGATATTGAGCATTTTGTATAAACCCACTGGCCATTGTTATGTTGTCTTTTGAGAAATGTCTATTCATGTCCTTTGCCTACTTTTTAATGAGATTATTATTATTATTATTTTACTGATGAGTTTGTTGAGTTCCTTGTATATTCTGGATATTAGTCCCTTGTCAGATGAATAGTTTGCAATATTTTCTCCCATTCAGTGGGTTGTCTCTTCACTCGGTTGTTTCCTTTGCTGTGCAAAAACTTTTTAGTTTCACAGAGCGCCATTTGTCTATTTTTATTTTTGTGGCCTGTTCTTTTGAGGTCTTGGCCATAAGATCTTTGCCTAGACCAATGTCCTAAAATATTTTCCCTGTTTTCTTCTAGTAGTTTTGCAGTTTCAGATCTTACAATTAAGTATTTAAACTATCTTGAGTTGATTTTTTTTTCGATGGAGTCTCTCTCCTGTAGCCCAGGCTGGAGTGCAGTGGTGCAATATTGGCTCACTGCAACCTCCGCCTCCTGGGTTGAAGCGATTCTCCTGCTTCAGCCTCCTGAGTAGCTGGGATTACAGGCACCTGACACCGTGCCCAGCGAATTTTTTTTGTACTTTTAGTAGAGACGGGGTTTTGCCATGTTGGCCAGGTTGGTCTTGAACTTCTGACCTCAGGTGATCCGCCCTCTTTGGCCTCCCAAAGTGCTGGGATTACAGGCATGAGCCACCACGCCCAGACAAATTGATGTTTTATTTGATAAAATATAGGGGTCCAGTTTCATTCTTCTGCAAATAAATGTCAGATTTTCCCAGGACCATTTTTTGAAGAAGGTGTCTTCTCCTCAGTGTATGTTCTTGGTTGCCTTTGTCAAAAATCCATTAGCTGTAAATATGTTAATTTATTTCTGGGTTCTCTATTCTGTTCCATTGGTCTATGTGTCTGTCTTTATACCTATACAATGCTATTTTGGTTACCATAGACTTGTATGTATTTATAAGTTGGATAGTGTGATACCTCCACTTTGTTCTTTCTGCTCAGGATTGCTCTGGCTATTCAAGATATTTTTTGGTTCTATACAAATTTTAGGATTTTTTTCTATTTCTGTGAAAAATGACATTGGTATTTTGATAGGGAACACATTGAATCTGTAGATTGCTTTGGGTAGTATGGTCATTTTTAGCAATACCAATTCTTCTAATCCATGAGCATGGAATGTCTTTCCATTTGTTTCTGTCCTCTTCAATTTCTTTCATCAACTTTTTATAGTTTTCCTAGTAGAGGTCTTTCAGCTCTTGCTGAGAATGGGGTTTTAAAGTCCCCCACTGTTGTATTGCAGGCTATCTTTCTCTTTAGATCCAATACTATTTGCTTTATGAATCTGGGTGCTCCAGTGTTAGGTGCATAGATATCTGGAATTTTCACTTCCTCCTGCTGGATTGATCCCTTTATCATTATATAATACCTCTTTTGTCCTTTTTTAATGTTCTTTTTTTATTTATTTATTTTTATTTTTTATTTTTTTATTATACTTTAAGTTCTAGGGTACATGTGCACATTGTGCAGGTTAGTTACATATGTATACATGTGCCATGCTGGTGCGCTGCACCCACTAACTTGTCATCTAGCATTAGGTATATCTCCCAATGCTATCCCTCCCCCCTCCCCCCACCCCACAACAGTCCCCAGAGCGTGATATTCCCCTTCCTGTGTCCATGTGATCTCATTGTTCAATTCCCACCTATGAGTGAGAATATGCGGTGTTTGGTTTTTGTTCTTGCGATAGTTTACTGAGAATGATGATTTCCAATTTCATCCATGTCCCTACAAAGGACATGAACTCATCATTTTTTATGGCTGCATAATATTCCATGGTGTATATGTGCCACATTTTCTTAATCCAGTCTATCATTGTTGGACATTTGGGTTGGTTCCAAGTCTTTGCTATTGTGAATAATGCCGCAATAAACATAAGTGTGCATGTGTCTTTATAGCAGCATGATTTATAGTCCTTTGGGTATATACCCAGTAATGGGATGGCTGGGTCAAATGGTATTTCCAGTTCTAGATCCCTGAGGAATCGCCACACTGACTTCCACAATGGTTGAACTAGTTTACAGTCCCACCAACAGTGTAAAAGTATTCCAATTTCTCCACATCCTCTCCAGCACCTGTTGTTTAATGACTTTTTAATGATTGCCATTCTAACTGGTGTGAGATGGTATCTCATTGTGGTTTTGATTTGCATTTCTCTGATGGCCAGTGATGATGAGCATTTTTTCATGTGTTTTTTGGCTGCATAAATGTCTTCTTTTGAGAAGTGTCTGTTCATGTCCTTCGCCCACTTTTTGATGGGGTTGTTTGTTTTTTTCTTGTAAATTTGTTTGAGTTCATTGTAGATTCTGGATATTAGCCCTTTGTCAGATGAGTAGGTTGCGAAAATTTTCTCCCATTTTGTAGGTTGCCTGTTCACTCTGATGGTAGTTTCTTTTGCTGTGCAGAAGCTCTTTAGTTTAATTAGATCCCATTTGTCAATTTTGTCTTTTGTTGCCATTGCTTTTGGTGTTTTAGACATGAAGTCCTTGCCCATGCCTATGTCCTGAATGGAATTGCCTAGGTTTTCTTCTAGGGTTTTTATGGTTTTAGGTCTAACGTTTAAGTCTTTAATCCATCTTGAATTGATTTTTGTATAAGGTGTAAGGAAGGGATCCAGTTTCAGCTTTCTACATATGGCTAGCCAGTTTTCCCAGCACCATTTATTAAGCCGAATTCTACCAGAGGTACCAGGAGGAACTGGTACCATTCCTTCTGAAACTATTCCAATCAATAGAAAAAGAGGGAATCCTCCCTAACTCTTTTTATGAGGCCAGCATCATTCTGATACCAAAGCCAGGCAGAGACACAACAAAAAAAGAGAATTTTAGACCAATATCCTTGATGAACATTGATGCAAAAATCCTCAATAAAATACTGGCAAAACAAATCCAGCAGCACATCAAAAAGCTTTTTTAATGTTCTTAACTTGAAGTCTGTTTCATCTGATACAAGTATAGCGACTCCTACTTGCTGTTGGTTTCTGTTTGCATGGAATATCTTTTTGAATGCCTTTACTTTCAGTCTGCATGTGTTTTTACTGTAAGGTGCATTTCTTCTAAGCAGCCATTCTATATCTTTTAAGCAGAGAATTTAATTAGTTTTACATATCAATGTTATTATTGAGGCTGTGTTCCTGTCATATTGTTAATTGTTTTTTGGTTGTTTTATATGTGCTTTTTCCCTTTTTCTCTTATTATTTGTCATTATGGTCTGGCATATTTTTGGAGGGGTGCCATTTAAGTCCTTTGTCTTCTTTATCAGCAAGTTTTGTAATTTTATGTGTTTTTATGATTATATATGTCATTGTTTTGCTTCCAGGTTTAGGACTCTCTTGACCATTTCTTGTAGTGCCAGTCTAGTGGTAACAATTTCCCTCAGCATTTGCTTATCTGGAAAAGATTTTATTGCTCTTTTATTTTTGAAAGCTAAGTTCACTGGATATAGTATTCTTCTTTGGCAGGTTTTTTTGTCTTTCAGTACTTTGAGTATATTATCCCATTCTTTTCTGGGCTGTAAGGTTTCTGCTAAGAAATCCACTGTCAGTCTCATGGTGGTTTCCTTTATAGGTGACTAGGCATTTTTTACTTGCTGTTTTTAGGATTTGATCTTTATTTTTGACTTTAGGCAGTTTGATTATAATGTGCCATCTTTTTAGTAAATGTATTATAGGTTTCTGGATTGTGGTTACCATAAGACTTACAAAAAAAAGTCTTGTAGATATAAGATGTTATTTTAAATAGATTACAACTTACTGTATATTACAAAGAAAAGAGTAGAAACCAATAAGGAAACAAATTTTTAAAACTCTATACATTAACTACCCACCCCCCCACATTTTGACTTTTTGTTGTCTAACTTACATATTTTTAGGTTGCCTATCCCTTAACAGGTTGCTGTACCTATTATTATTTTTGATAGGTTTGAGTTTTGGGTTTCATACTAGAGTTATGAGTGGATTGCACATGACAATTACAATATCAGAGTAGTCCGGGTTCATCTATGTATTTAATTAATTAATTTATTTTTTTGAGATGGAGTTTCACTGTTATTGCCCAGGCTGGAGTGCAATGGTGCAATCTCAGCTCACTGCAACCTCTGGCTCCTAGTTTCAAGTGATTTTCCTGCCACAGCCTCCTGAGTAGCTGGGATTACAGGCACGCACCACCATGTCCAGCTAATTTTTTTATTTTAGTAGAGACGGGGTTTCTCCATGTTGGTCAGGCTGGTCTCGAACTCCCGACCTCAGGTAATCTGCCCACCTCGGCCTCCCAAAGTGCTGGGATTATAGGTGTGAGCCACCATGCCTGGCCTATGTATTTAATTTTACCAGTAGGCTTTGTACCTTCAGGTGTTTTCTTGTTGCACATAGGTGTTTTCTTTTTCTTTCATATTGAAGAACTCTTTACTATTTCTTGTAAGATGGGTCTGATGGTTGTGAATTCTGTCAGTATTTGTTACTCTGAGAAAGATTTTATCTCTGCTTCATATTTGAAGAATGGCTTTGCTGGATACAGTATGCTTAGATAGCAGTTGTTTTCTTTCAGCACTTTGAAAATGTTGTTCTACCACCCATTCCCTCAGCTTGTTTGGTTTCTATTGAAAAGTCTGTTGCCAAACAAATTGGAGCTCCTTTAGATGTTATGTGCTTCTTTTCTTTGGCTGCTTTTAGGATCTTCTCTTTGTTCTTGACCTTTGAAAATTTGATTACTGTATGCCTTGGGGATAGTCTTATTTGAGTCAGCTATGTTTGGTGTTCCTGTACCTGGATATTTATCTCTTTCTCAAATTTTGGAAGGTTTTCTGTGTTTCGTTTTTTTTAAAATAAGTTTTCTACTTCTTGCTCTTGCTGAACTCCCCCTCAAACAATATTAATTGTTAGATATCTTCAAGCTCACTGATTCTTTCGTCTACTTGATCCATTCTGTTGTTGACAACATTTGATAAATCTTTTGCAGCAAATATATTTTTCTCAGTTTTAAGATTTTTATTTGATTTTTTTCATTATTTCGATCTCTTTGCTAAAGTTCTTGGATAAATTTCTTAATTGCTTTTCTGTGCTATCTTGGAGATCACTGAGCTTCCTTAGAACTGTTATTTTGAATTCTTGGTCAAAAAGTTTACAAATTGCCCTCTTGTTAGGGTCAGTCATTGTTTCCTTGCTTTGTTCACTTGGGGAGGTCACATTTCCCTCTTTGCTATTGTTTCTCGTGGTTGTGCATCTGCGTCTTTGCACTGAAGAATTAGTTATTTATTCTAGTCTTCTCTGTCTGGCTTGTTTTGGTTTTTGTCGGGTATATTTGCTTAGAGATTCTTTGTAATTTACCTACTGATTTTCTTTTCTTTTCTTTTCTTTCATTCTTTCTTTTTCTAGGTCATGGCCTCCTTTTGGAATTGGATATTGAATGGTGTCTAAAGCCCAGGTTTACCTTGGTTCTAGTAGACTGTCTGAGTGCCACCAATTCCCAGTGGAGGAGGTCCCAAAGGAAAAATCCCAGTAGTATGGGATGACTGGCTATGGTTTTGTGCCCAGGAAACCTATAGAATGAACCTTGTACGGAGGGATGCTGCTGAGCAATCACTCTGATTTGGCACCTCATTTAGCCAAGTTACAGGACAGAGTTTTCAGGGCTGGGGGTGGTAGTCCCACCTCCTCACTTATCTCTATCTGACCTTAGGGATATTTCTCCCTTTGGGAACTTTCTATGCCTCCTGTGGGTTGAGGTAGGGACAGGTCTCCTGCCAGGGATCTCAAGATCTCAGGATGGTAGGGAAGTTTGTTGTCCACCTAGATCTGACTTTTTCCAGGGTGGAAACCATGAGTCAGGGGAATATTTTTCATGTGCTTGGTGCTGGTTAGATTGGGGGAAGGGATGTCATGGATATGGAAATCGGATTCTCTTACCGTCTTCTCAGAGTTTTTTTTTTTTTTTTAACTTCTCTGTGGCCTTGGAAACTGATTTACTCTATATTTGAGCTTTGGGAAGTTGCTGGCTATAATTTCAGTGCTGTATATTTGTTTTGGGGTTTCTGTGAAAGAGAGTGAAGCCAGCATGCTACTACTATATCACCATTCTGGAACTGGAAGTCTATGAACAGTAGTTTGTTTAATCATCACAACTCTTTGAGGGTTATTATCTTCTTTTTTTTTTTTTTGGATGGAATCTTGCTCTGTCACCAGGCTGGAGTGCAGTGGCAAGATCTTGGCTCACTGCAACATCCACCTCCCGGGTTCAAGCGATTCTCCTGCCTCAGCCTCCGGAGTAGCTGAGACTACAGGTGCTCACCACCATGACTAGCTAATTTTGGTATTTTCAGTAGAGACAGAGTTTCACCATGTTGCCCAGGATGGTCTCCATCTCTTGACCTCGTGATCCACCCACCTCAGCCTCCCAAAGTATTGGGATTACAGGCATGAGCCACCGCACTCAACCAGTTATTATCTTCTAAATGAGTCACAAAGAGTCTTTCATGAAGGCACATAAGTAGTAATTGGCAGAGCTGAGATTTTAATCCAGGCAGTTTGAATCCGAGTTAACACAATTAATCAAGTAAAAAAGGAACAAATACAATTAAAGAAATTAAGAAATTATAAAGAAAAAATGATTACAGGTCCATAAGTAATAAATACAGTCATAAGGATGCCTTTACTTGGAAAAGTAAATGTTATTAATACAAGCTGGATAAAAATAGTTGTTTTCTTGGAAGAGGTAACTTATCAGAATTGACCCTAGAACATGAAGAAAATATAAATAGACCAATTATAAAACACCAGATTTGTCATGCTAAAAGTACCGGGTCCAGATAGTTTTACAGAATTTCCCAGATCTCTAACAAATGAATTATTCAAATGCAGTTTCAACTGTTGTAGCTCATGGATTAAAAAGCTTCCCAATTATTTACAAAAAGCATTACAATATTGACACAAAAACTTGACAAAAATTTCATTAAAAGTATTGGAGACAGAGTTCAGTATGAACTCAAAATCCTAAATAAAATATTGGCAAACAATTCTATTGCACATGAAAAAATAATGCACCATGACCAAATGGGATTATTCCAAGAATAGGAGGTGAAATCAATATTGTGAAATCATATTAATAGATTAATGAAAAAAATTATATAGTCCTCCTCACAGACCCAGAAAATGTATTTGTCAAAAGTCAAAATTCATTCTTGATGTTTAAAAATTCAAGAAAAAAATCAACAAGCATCAGAGGAAAAAGGGCTAAAACTGAATATAAATAAAAACAGGTGACTATAACTGTATTTCTAATAAATAGAATAACCACACAGAAGGGATCAGAAGTACTAATCCAAATAAATTTTAAGCACTGTATTGTAACTATAGACCCTGAGTCAGTAGGGAAAAATGTAAATAAATCTTGACCCTTCTTAGAACGTTTGTTGAAATGGTGCAAGTATATCAATTCCAAAAGTATTTTGTGTGCTGTATGATTGAACCTATTGGTAAATATATTAATATTGCTAGAAACCAGGATTGTCACTATGGAAGAAAGGAGACAAATATGAAAAGGAAGAAGTTAAATGAGAAGGCAGTGGTTCATGGCAATTAAAGGTACCATATTTGGTTCACAGTTATCTTCACTAAGAAACAGACTCCTCAGAGGAATGGCTACTTGTAAAACTGGGGCAGTTAAGATATAAGATGAGCTTAGAACATCTTGTGTTAGAAAGTAAGGAAGTGTTCCCCTCCAAAAATGATGGGGATCTGTCAAAAAGACACAAGGAACAGCTTGAAGAGGCTCCCATCAGCCAAATCTGGAAAAAATTTAGCATCAAAATAATGAGTCATAAATTTAGTGAACAAAATAAGAATACATGAGTACATATTGATAATGGATGGATATATGAATGGATAAAGAGGGAGGGGGGAAATTTCCTCATAGTACAATGACAAGTGAAAATTAACATTTGACTGAAGGGAGGAGCTTGAAGATAGCTGACTAGAGGGGACTTGTACTCACCTTCTCCACAAAGAAACAAAATAGTGAGTAGATAACCACACTTTGTATAGATCATTTTAAAAAAATTGCTAGAATCCAACAGATAAGTGACAGGAAGCATCTAAAGCAGCAAACAGGAGGGAAGTGAGGCAGCCTGCCTAACCAGGATTGGCTGAGAGCCCAGAGAGGCTACTCAATATGAGGAAAGAGTAAATGAGAGATCCCCATGTCCTCGCTGCAGACTCCTGCAATCCTAGCCACAGGAAAGCCCTTTGATCATCATGGGTCCTGAAATTGATATAGGGAGCTGCCTGGAGATCTACAACAGCACTGCTCTCGAGAAGAAACTCATGCTTCTCATACAACACTGAGCTTTAGGCAGCTACAGCAAGGTGCCATTTTGAGAGCCCAGGCCTGAACAAACTGCACCCTGCCCTGGGGTCCAACAAAGCCTGCATCTCCATATTCCTGGAGCCCCACCGACATCCTCTACCTGCAGCCACTGTCACAGATGGCTGCTGCTGCCAGGGCCATGGTGTGGGCAACCAGCAGTGACTCTATTGCCACCAGCAGCCAAGCTGCCACACATTTTTATGTGCCCAGACTGAATGGAACACATAAAGCAACCAAATGTTTGACTTTTGGAATCCCAAAAGGTCAAGAGTAGATGAAAGTGTTAGAAAAACCTATATAATGAGAAAATAGTTGAAAATGTACCAAGTCTAGCAAGAGATTTAGACATCCAGATACAGGAAGCTCAACGATATCCAAATAGGTGCAATTCAAAAAGGTGTTCTCCATGGCACTTCATAGTCAAACTATCAAAAGTAAAAGCGATAATCCTAGAATTAGCAAGAGAAAAATATTTATTTACTTATAAAGGAACTCATACCAGACTAACAGCAGATCTCAGTAGAAACCTTATAGGCCAGAAGAGAATGAAATGATATATTCAAAATGATGAAAGAAAAAAAACCTGTCAGCCGAGAAACTTACACTCAGCAAAGTTATTATTCATAAATGAAGGAGAAATAAAGTCTTTCCTAGACAAGCAACAGATGAGGGAATTTATCACCATTAGACTGGTCATAGAAGAAATGCTTAAGCGGTTTCTACACCTGGAAGTGAAAAGATGATATTACCACCATGAAAACACATGAAAGGATACAGTCAGCTGGTGGAACAATCATACAAATAAGGAAGAGAAAGAATTCAAATTTACTCATATAGGAAACCACCAAACCACAATGATAAACCATTAAGACAGAAAGAAAAGGACAAAGGATATATGAAACAACCAAATTGTCAATTGGTAAAATGACAGGAGTAGGTCATCATATATCAATAACTTTGAATGTAAATGGATTAAACTTTCTACTTAAAAGGTATAGAGTGGCTGAATGGCAGGACAAATGAAAACAAAAACAAGACCAAACCCATGACCCAACTATATGCTGCCTACAAGAAACCCATCTTACCTATAAAGACACATATAGACAACAGTAAAGGCATTCAAAAAGATATTTCAGCCAGGTGCGGTGGCTCATGCCTGTAATCCCAGCACTTTGGGAGGCTGAGGTGGGCAGATCACCTGAGGTTGGGAGTTCGAGACCAGCCTCAATATAGAGGAACCCTGTCTCTACTAAAAATACAAAATTAGCCAGGTGTGGTGGTGCATGCCTGTAATCCCAGCTCAGGAGGCTGAGGCAGGAGAATTGCTTGAATCTGGGAGGCGGAGGTTGCAGTGAGCTGAGATTGTGCCATTGTACTCCAGCCTGGGCAACAAGAGTGAAACTCCGTCTAAAAAAAAAAAAAAAAAAGATATTCCATGCAAACAGAAACCAACAGCAAGTAGGAGTCGCTATACTTGTATCAGATGAAACAGGCTTCAAGTTAAGAACATTAAAAAAGGACAAAAGAGGTATTATATAATGATAAAGGGATCAATCCAGCAGGAGGAAGTGAAAATTCCAGATATCTATGCACCTAACACTGGAGCACCCAGATTCATAAAGCAAATAGTATTGGATCTAAAGAGAAAGATAGACTACAATACAATCACGGTGGGGGACTTTAACACCCCATTCTCAGCAAGAGGTGAAAGACCTCTACTAGGAAAACTATAAAAAGTTGATGAAAGAAATTGAAGAGGACAGAAGCAAATGGAAAGACATTCCATGCTCATGGATTAGAAGAATTGATATTGCTAAAATGACCATACTGCCCAAAGCAATCTACAGATTCAATGTGTTCCCTATCAAAATACCAATGTCATTTTTCACAGAAATAGAAAAAAATCCTAAAATTTGTATAGAACCAAAAAATATCTTGAATAGCCAAAGCAATCCTGAGCAAAAAGAACAAAGTTGGAGGCATCACACTACCTAACTTATAAATACATACAAGTCTATAGTAACCAAAATAGCATTGTATAGGTATAAAGACAGACACATAGACCAATGGAACAGAATAGAGAACCCAGAAATAAATTAACATATTTACAGCTAATGGATTTTTGACAAAGGCAACCAAGAACATACACTGAGGAGAGGACACTTTCTTCAAAAAATGGTCCTGGGAAAATCTGACATTTATTTGCAGAAGAATGAAACTGGACCCCTATATTTCATCATATAAAACATCAACTCAAGATAGATTAAATACTCAATTGTAAGATCTGAAACTGTAAAACTACTAGAAGAAAACAGGGAAAATATTTTAGGATATTGATCTAGGCAAAGATCTTATGGCCAAGGCCTCAAGAGAACAGGTGACAAAAACAAAAATAGACAGTGGCACTCTATGAAACTAAAAAGCTTTTGCACAGCAAAGGAAACAACCAATAGAGTGAAGAGACAACCCATTGAATGGTAGAAAATATTGCAAACTATTCATCTGACAAGGGACAAATATTCAGAATATACAAGGAACTCAAACAACTCATCAGTTAAAAAAAACTCATTAAAAAGTAGGCAAAGAACATGAATAGGCATTTCTCAAAAGAAGACATACCAATGGCCAATGAGTTTATGAAAAATGTTCAACATCATTAATCATCAGGGTAATGCAAATCAAAATCACAATGAGATATCACCTCACCCCAGTTAAAATGGTTTTTATAAAAAAACAGGGAATAAGAAATGTTGTTGAGTATTTGAATAATGGGGACCCTCATACACAGTTTTTCTGAATATATATTGATGCAGCCACTATGGAAAACTGTATGGAGGTTTCTCAAAAAACTAAGAACTACTATATGATCCAGCAGTTCCACTACTGGGTATATATCCAAAAGAAAGGAAATAAATATATTGGAGATATTTGCACTCCTATGTTTATTGCAGCACTATTCATAATAGCCAAAATATGGAGTAAAAATAAAATTAAAATAATTAATATTCACAAAGCATCTATAGCAGTGCTCATCAATGGAGGAATGGATGAAGACAATGTAGTATGTATACAGAGGGGAATATTATTCAGCCATAAAAATAATGAAATCCTATCATTTGTAGCAATATGGAATGGGACTATGGATGGTTATTACGTTAAGTGAAGTAAGCCAGACAGAGAAAAACAAATATCACATCTTCTAACTCATATGTGGGACTTTTAAAAAGTGATTCTTTTATGATAGAGAGTAGATTGGCAGTTACTAGAGGCTGGGAAGGGTGTAGAGAAGGAGGGGATGAAGAGAGGTTGAGTAATGGGTATGTATGTACATAGTTTGATAGAAGAAATCAGACCTAGTGTTTGACAGATCAGTATGGTGACTATAGCTTACAATAATCGATCATATATTTCAAAGTAGCTAGAAGAGAATAATTTGAATGTTTAAAGCATAAAGACAAATATTTAACATAATGGATATTACAATTACACTGATTTGATCTTTACAAATTATATCCATTTTTAAATTATCACATGTATCCCCTAAATATTTACATCTATTATGTATCAATAACAGATAAAATTAAAAAATTAATATTCATGAAACATCTATTGCAGTGCCTGATACATAAGTGCCATTGAGAGCTTTTATTTTTTTCAGTCAGCTTTTAGATTTATTATACTACTATTTTCTATGTTTCTTTCTTTTTTTTAATTTTGAGACAGAGTCTTGCTCTGTTGCCCAGGCTGGAGTGCAGTGGTGCGATTTTGGCTCACTACAAGCTCCGCCTCCTGGGTTCACGCCATTCTCCTGCCTCAGCCTCCTGAGTAGCTGGGACTACAGGCGCCCACCACCACGCCCAGCTAATTTTTTGTATTTTTAGTAGAGACAGGGTTTCACTGTGTTAGCCAGGATGGTCTCAATCTCCTGACCTTGTGATCCACCCGCCTTGGCCTCCCAAAGTGCTGGGATTATAGGTGTGAGCCACCGCACCTGCCCTTCTATGTTTCAGTTAATTTTAACTTCTTGAGTTTGATGCTTCATTATTTATTTTTATTCTTGCTTATTTATTAAGATAAATATTTAAGGTTGTGAATTTTCCTCTGAGCACTGCTTATGTTGTCTCTTGAAAGTTCTTACATGTATCCTCATGGGAGTAGGGGTTTTTATTTTCTGATCATGTCATTAATTTCTAGTTTAAATGCATTGTGGCAGATTGTATTTTGTTTTATTGTTAGATTTTGGCACTTAAAAAATATTTTTAGGCCCAACATTTGTTCAGTTTTTGAGAATCGACAAGGATGTGTGAAAAGAAGGAATATTATCTATTTTCAGATATGTTGTTTGATATATATTAATTAGATTTTCTTCATTATGTTTTTAATGTCTTTTATATTCTTAATTATTTTTCGTGATCTATCATGAAAACAAAGTGTAAAAATGAATAAAATCTTCAGCTTCTAGTGTGTTTCTGTTTCTCTTGAAGGTTTTATTTTATTAACATTGATAGTGTATTTTTCGATGCATAGATATTTGTACTGGTTAAATCATCATTGTGAACTATACTTTTCTACATTGTGAAGGAGGCTTCTTTTTTTAATTTAATACTTTTGCTGTGAATTAAAGTTGGTTGTACAATACATTGATATCTTGTTTTTTGTTTTTTTTCCACTTGGTATACCATTGCTTATTTTATTTTTTAGCATTTTTGAATTATTTTGATTTGAGGTGACTCTTACATATAAAATAAGAGTTGCATTTGGGTTTAGGATCCAATCTGAACGTCTTTTTGTTTTAAATAGGTGAGTTTAGCCTGTTTACTTAGGTTGCTAACAATATATTTGGACCTAGTTCTGACATGTTATGTTAAAAAAATTTCACTATGTGATCTGCTTATTTTTCTTTATTCATTGGAGTATTTTAAGAATTAAAAAAGTTTGTAATTTTGTTCTGGTTATAGTTATTATTTTATATAATAGTTTTAGTCATCTATTTCTGTAGATAGTATCTATTCATTTTCCACTATGAGCAATGATGAAATTATTCTTTTTTCCTCCCCACATCCTCTTCTTCCTCTCCTATTATATAGGTGTGATTTCTAGCAGGTTGTATTGTCATAATTGACATTTATCTTAGTGCTTTTAGATATATTTATAACTTTATTTATTGATTTGTTTACTTTAACTGCTTTTTTTCACCAGCTATTAAAGAAAAGGAAATTAATGTACTTCTACTACTGGCCATTTTTTTTACCCCTCTTCTTCCCAACTTTAGTTGAAAAATTTTAAATTATAATCTGACATCTGTTTTGATTTTACTTTTACATATATAAGTAATTTTTTGATATTAGTTGACTTAATTAATTTTTTAGGAATATTATAGGTTTATAGAATGATTATGCAGATAGTACAGAGTTCCTGTGTCTACCCTCCCTTCAGAGTTTCCCCTGTTATGAACATCTTGCTTTAATGTGGTACACTTGTTACAATTGATGAACCATTATTGATAGATTATTAACTGAAGTTTATTTTTTACATTAGGGTTCACTCTTTGTTGTGCAGTTCTATGGGTTTTGACAAATGCACAATGTCATATATTTACCATTACAGTATTGTTTGGAATAGTTTCATTGCTCTAAAAATCCACTGTGCTCCAACTGTTCATCTCTCTCTCCTTTCCCTTCCCCTTGGCAACAATTGATATTTTTACTGTTTTTATAGTGTGCCTTTTCCAGAGTGTCACTTATTTGGAATCATACAGTATGTAGCCTCCTCAGACTGGCTTCTTTTACTTAGCAATATGCATTTAGGTTTCCTCCATGTCTTTTCACGGCTTGATAGATTTTTTAAAATGATAACCTCTTTTATTTATATAGAATTATAAATTACAAACTATTATTTTGCTTAATCCATTTAACCACCAAGTAAGGCAGACAGACTAGAGGATATTAGCTCCATTTTACAGGCGAGAGTGGAAACATTGTTCTCATATTTAGTATAAGACAAGCTGGGATATGATCATGCCCCTGCACTCTGGCCTAGGCAATGGAGTGAGACCTTGTCTCTTAAAAAACCAAGACAGTGATGTGATGTAAGCCTTGGGTTTCCATACTCACAACTGCTTCCCCCCAATCCCATGACTTTGTGATACATCATTTGAAAGTAATCTGATTTCATAGTGTTTTACAGTATAAGAGTAACATCTATTCCTGGCAGTTTAACTCTGGAGACAACCAACCTAATTACCTCATAACCTGGCACATTTTAAGGCATTGTTATACCTCTAACTTAATTTCACAGCTATATTTGAGGGCTCCATGAATCAAAATTGCAGCAAGCTGATCTGAAAGGACCAGGAAACACAATGGTCAAGCATATTTTCAAGTTTAATCTAGATTTGGCACATCCTCACCAGTTGCTCTGATGGCAAGCAGAGGCAACTAAGTGAATGGAATAGAGGGCAGGTCCATTTAATAGAGGTGGATATTGGTCAAAAAAATACAAGCAGTTTCAGACCCCTTTTTCAGGATTAAAATCCCTGGAAGCTCTGTTGCTGGACTACTACATCATTACCAGCAAGACAGAGGGCAATGCTTCTGGAGTCCAGAATATGCAAGGAGAAGGTCAATTAAGCTGCCTGCCTGGGGCCTAGGAAGCCAAATAAAGCTAATTTCATCTATGCAAACCAAGAAAATGATTCATTCCATCCAGATCTGTGTTTTAAGGAGAAGTATAATCATCAGGGAAACCAAAATTCCATCCTGAAGCCCAGGGGGAATAATGGTGGGCATTTCCCAGTATCATAGATGGTGCAGAGGGCAACACAACATGCCACTGTGAAGGGAAAAAGCTATCTTGGTAACCAGATGCTAGCAACATCAAAGCCTGGGTGACCAATCCTGATAAGAGCAGGACTCCCTTATATAAGGTCCCTGAGGAGAAGGGGTTATGAACATCCTAAAACTGCAAGCAACATTTTGAGTATATGCATGTTTTCCTGGTGAAGGGACCCTTCATTCTCAAATCCTGAGCCAGCAAAAAGGACTAAGCCAGTTGCAGGCTAGGATTAAAAAGCCACCATATAGACTTAGAGCCAGGCAAGTCTGAGAGCTCTCAAAGCCATGACTGAAAAGTTGGAACTTGGACTCACAGCAGAGAGAAGTGAACACTTGCTTTTGTGCTTGTCTTCCTAATTGTATTTCAAGTCTTTTCAAAATAAGGCCCTAGGACTTCCCAGTTGTAAGTATGCCCCTGGGCTTGGTCCACTGCTGCAGGAGTTTTAGGGGTCCTTGTAGAAAGGGGTCCTTGAGTTATTTATTCACCAACATTAAACCCTAGGGTAGAAGATGAGGCAAAGCAAGACTCCTTCCTTCATGGCATGTGCTGATTTCAGAGGAGGCAACAGCCAACTTGGAAAACACTGAAAATTTTCCTTGGAACTGAACTGTGATGAGAGGTGACTGCCATGCACACAACCTACTATCTTTTGTCTAGCCCTTCCCTTCCAGTTTTTGAAGACAGAGCAGAAAATAATCTCTCAAGATACTTGATAATTTCAAAAAACAAAAACATGTGCTTCCAATGCACTGTGTTTTCAGAAATTCTGTGTCTATTTCAGTTGGAGGATGAGCTGATTGATGTGTTCACCCTGATAGCCAGGTGAGCCCATATCCTTGAAGAAGTCCATTCTATTATTGGTAGCATGATGGGCCATTGAGAGGTAGAAGGGGCACAAGAACCATGAGATCTCTTGGAAATTCTTCCCAGGGAAGGCCATTTCATGACGGAGGTCTTCCAAGCAAATGACACCAAACCTCCCCAGGTGCTCCTTAGTCACTGTGTTGTCTGATGGAGGGATGGTCTTATTCTTAACCTTGGCTTGCACACGTTTCAAAATGAGTTCCTGGACAGACTTCAGATTTGGAAATCCCCAGGTCACATAAGTTTCCACTTTTAGGCTCTGGGGGATGACTTTGACAGACACCACAGAAAATCTTCAGAACTCTTGCAGTGTTCCTCTGCACCAGTGAACTCACCCCATTAATCCTTTGGATGTATACAACAGAGGCCAAGAAAAGTTTATCTGGCAATTCTAAGGCATGAGGCTTCACTTCTAGTCATAGGAGATGCACCCTGCCACATTTCTGCTGCTAGGAATCATGTAGGACGAATTCCAGTCGCTTAAACCTGAGCCTTCTTCCTTTCCTCTGCTCATTCTTTACCAGAAGTGCCTACTTTGCCTGGATGGCTTTGAGGGCTTGAAAAGTCTTCATCTTTTTCAGGAGATATTCTGGAATCAAAGGGAATTTTTTTCTTTGCTCTTGCTCTGCCATCTTTCTAGGCTGCAGCCACTGATCACGCATATCACCTGATCCTGCACATGCATGCCCTGTAGGAGACAGAGTGGTCTGCCGGCAGGGACAGCAAGAGACTAGCTATATGAGACCAACTGAGGCTCCATGGCACTGCCATATCATTCCAGATCAATTTTTTTTATTTGTAGATATCTGGTTATTGCACCACTATCTGCTGAAAAGACTGTCCTTTCTCCATTGAATTCCTCTTGTTTCTTTGTTTCTTTGTCAAAGATGAGTTGAATATATTTATGTGGGTTTATTTCTGGGCTCTCCTTTCTGTTCCATTGATTCATGTGTCTGTTCTTTTACCAATGCCGCACTGTTTTGATTGCTGTAGCTGCATAGTAAGTCCTTGAAGTTAGTGTTACTCCTTGGACTTTGTTTTTCTTCCACATTGTGTTGGCTATTCTGGGTCTTTTGCCTTTGCATATAAACCTTAAAATCATTTTGTTGATATTCATAGAATAACCTGCTGGGATTTTGATTGGGATTGTGTTGAAACTATAGATCAGGTTGGGAAGAACTGACACCTTGATAATGGTGTCTTTCTATCCATGAACATGGAATACCTATTTATTTTTAAAAGATCTTCTTCAATTTCTTTCATCAGAGTTTTGTAGTTTTCCTCATAGATCTTGTACGTATTTTGTTAGGCTTCTACCTAAATATTTCATTTTTTATGCTAATGTAAAGAGTATCATGTTTTTAATTTCAAATTCCAGTTGTTCATTGCTGATATATAGGAAAGCTATGGACTTTTAAAAAATATTAACCTTATATCCTTCAACTTTGCTATAGTTGCTTCAGATTCCACTAGTGTCTTTCCTGTTTTTGAGTTTCCCTAGAAATTCCTTCTTAAGTAGAATCTGAGCTTTGCAGTTCTTTCAGCTGTAATCTCCTGTTATTAGATAGGAACCCTGTTGATGTTATAGATGGTAGAATTATATGGGGAGGGGACATATTCAATACTCCTATGGTTAGGTCTCAGTCTTTTAATGGGTGTGAGCGCCTGGTCTCTGACATTCACAAGTGTGCCTCAGATATTGTATTCCTTCCTTAGGTGAGACAGGAAGACTAGAGAGGACTGGAGTTGGGTATTTTCCTTCCCGCATGCTGGTTAGGCTCTGGTTATATCGTTTCCTCTGAGGGCAGGCTGCTGTCACTGGAGAACAGAGAAGAACAATCCTGGGAGTATTTCTAAAAGGCTACTTTACCCCTGGGCATATTTCAGATCGTTAGCCCCCTACCCCCACCCCCTGCCATGAGCATGAGAGGATTTTCATTAGATTTTCACCCAGGTGGGGCTTCTTTAAATAGAACTCAGGGAAGTGTGGTCCTCTCCAAAGCTGAACCCCCGACCCTGGGAGTATTTAACCCCCAAGGTAGTCCACACTCAGCTTCTGGCAATCTGTCAATTCCCATTTAAGTGTTCCTATCAATTCCTGGCTCTAGTAGCTTCTGCTTTTGGTAAGCTGTGATTCTCTGTATTCACTTGTTTCTCCAGTTTTTCAGGTAGCAGTTTGCCCTGTGACCTCAATTCTCTGATGGGTCTAAGAAGGTTGTTGATTTTTAGTTTGTTCAGCATTTTTTGTTGTTGTTGTGAGGATGGAAGTGACAGCTTCCAAGCACTAAACATCAAAGCTGAAACCAGAAGTCCCTTATGAATTTTTATAATGTGAACATACTCATGTAAGCAGCCTCCAGAATAAGAACCATGACATTACCAGCAACACCCCAAATCCCCTTTACAGATGCTAACTCCTCCTTAAAGATAATCAGTATACTGACTTTTATCACCATAATTAGTTTTGCCTATTTTTGAATTTTTTATAAATGAAATCATTCAGTATGTATTTTCTTTTTATGTCTGGCTTATTTTGCTCAGCATATGTTTAGGAGTCATCCACATTGTTGGGTGAAGTAGTAGTTAATATATTTTCATTGCTGACTAGTATTATAATAGTCCTCCCTTAACTGTGGTTTTGCTTTCTGCAGTTTCAGTTACCAGGGTCAACTGTGGTTCAAAAATATTAAGTGGAAAATGCCTGAAATAAACAATGCTTAAGTTTTAAATTGCATGCAGTTCTGATTAGCATGGTGAAATCTCACACTATCTGCTTTGGCCTGCCTGGGACATGAATCCTCCCTTTCTCCAGCATATCCATGCTATATATACTACCTTCTCATTACTTACTTAGTAACTCTCTAGGTTAGCAGGTTGTCAGATAGACTGTTACAGTATCACAGTGCTTGTGTTCAAGTAACCCTTATTTTACTTAATAATAGCAAGAATAGTGATGCTGGTAATTCAGACATGCCAAAGAGAAGCTGAAAGTACTTCCATTAAGTGAAAGATGCAATTTCTCAACTTAATAAGGAAAGAAAAAATTGTCTGCTGAGGTTGCCAAGATCTACAGTAAGAACGAATCTTCTATCTGTGAAATTGAGAAGGAAAAAGAAATTCATGCATAGTATATTTAGGATTCAGTAGTATCCACAGTTTTAGGCATCTACTAGGTGTGGACATGGAGGGACTATTGTCACTGTAACTCTGTATCACAATTCAGTTTTTTATTCTTTTGTTGGTAGACATTTTCATTTTACTTTTTGAGCTATTACAAGTAATGCTGTTACACATTTCTTTGTACATGTCTTTTGAGGCACATTTGTAAGCCTTTCTGTTGGGTGTATACCCAGGAGTGCAATTGTTGGGTTGTAGAATGTGTGATGTTCAGCTTTTGTAGATACTGCCAAGCAGTTTTCCAAAGTAGTTGTACCAATTTATATTTTCACTAACAGGGTGTAAGAATTCTAATTGCTTCACATTGTCACTGATGCATGGTATTGTTTATCCTTTACATTTTAGCCATTATGGTCCATGGGTGGGTAAGTAGTAGTAACTAATTGCGTTTTAATTTATGTAACTGTGATGACTAATGAAACAGCACACCCTTACATGTGTTTAATTTCAGGAACTCTTATGAAGTGCCAGGAGGCTGAGGCCTTGGGAGGATTGCTTAAGGCCAGGAGTTTGAAACCAGCCTGGGCTACATGGTGAGACCCTGTCTCAAAAAAAAATCGTTATATACTATTTATATCATTTATGTCATTAAATTCTACTCAGTTGCCTTTTTCTTTTTAATTTGTAGGAGTTATTTATATATTTTGGATATGAGTTATTTGTTGGACACATCTATTGAAAATATCCTCTTCCACTCAGCTATTTGCATTTTATTTTATTTAATGGTATTTTTTGATGAACAAAAACTTTACAGTGGTAATATATTCTAATTTATCAGTTGTTAATGATTAGCAATTTTGTATCTTTTTTAGGAAATCTTGTCTATCCCAAGTTTATGAAGATATTTTAAAATGTTTTATTCTAAAATTTAAACTGATTTGGCTGTTATTTTTATATGTGCAATCCATCTGGAACTGGTTTTTGTGTTTAGTGTGAGGTAGGGTGCAAAAATTTATTTATTTTTATATGGATATCTATTTGATCCTGTACCATTGAGTGAAAATCTGTCCATCCCCCTCTGCTCAGTAGTCTAATCTTTGTCATAACCAAGTAACTGTATATATGTGCGTTTGTTTCTGGAATCCCTAGTTTGTCACATTGAGCTATTTGTCTCTTCTTTGCCAGAACCATACATTTAATTGTTATTGTTTTACATAGCTTGAAATCTGAAAGTTTAAGTTCAGCTTTGTCCTTTTTCAAGGGTTCCTTGTCTATTCTTGGCCCTTTGCATTTCCATATAAATTTTAGATTCAGTTTTTAAATTTATATACACACACACACCATGCCGGGATTTTGGTTGAGGTTCAGATCTCCAGAAGTATTAGTGGGAGCAATAGTTCCTTAATTCTTGCATGTCTAAAACTCTTTGTTGCTTTTATAGTTGAATATCAGTTTGGCCAGTGTAAAATTTTAGAATTGCCTTTTCTTTCTTTGCAAATTTTACAGGAATTACTCTAATTTTTAAATTTTTATTTATTTATTTTAACTTAAAAAAATTTTTGGCTTTGCATGTTGTAGAGAAATCTCAAGATGGCCTGATTATTTCCACCTCAAAAGTGACTTGATCTTTGTGCCTTCCTACCCAGGTTTTTTTTTTTCTTTAAATTTTGAAGCCCAGAGATTTTTGCTAGAAAATGGCTTAGTTTTAAATATTTTTTCTCTGTTTTCCCCAACACATGGTCAATATGTAAAGTCAAAATTTTTCTTATGTCACGAAAATTATCTATAATTGTATCTTAAAATATTTGTTAAGTTGCATTGTTTTTTTCTGTCCTCCAAAGACTCTAATTATACACTGTTCATCTTCTTTGTCTTCTGTATCTGTAATGTTTTGTCAATTAACAAAATACTTCCTTTTTATTTATTTTCTGACTTATATATACATACTATGCCCCTTGCAGGGTTTTAGAAAATGTCTGTTCTTTCTCGTCTGTGTTCCAGTTTTGCCTTAATTGATTTCCAGTTCAAATTTTATCTTCTCTTATTTTCTCACCATTTCTTCTTTGAACTCTTAGTACATTTACTAGGTACTCTTGTTGCATAGAGGTGATTGTTTCATTAAGATTTCTAAATTAATGGCAAATTTATTTTCCTTCACAATTTTAATCTTCTTTGCATTAATATTTCTCTTAAGTATATTTGTTGTCTGCCATCTGTTTTTCTCATTTGTTTCTTGTAGCATCTTTGAATAGTTCCTGTGCTGATTCCTTTTAAATTATTCATCTTTGAAGATGACGAGGCTTTACTAGACTAGCTATTTTCGAGAGGTTTGTGAGGAAGAATGGCCAGGGCTTAGTTACAGGTTAGGTAGAATTTTTCTTATGATTAAGGCTTTTATTTGTGAGTTTGTTTAACATTTATTTCATTCTAGTCCATAAAATAAGCAGCTGTAGAACTTTTACAAAGCAAAGTTTGTCTTTGTCTCATTGCCTGAGTAATATGACTTGTCTGTGTGATTCTTTGTTTAGCTGAATTTGCCGTGTTTCTTGGAACCAATGTGAATTCAGAAGTGCTCTTAATTTTAGTCCAGAGACTCCTTTCCAGCTTTTGCAAAGAAAGGATTGCAGAGATATACCTTGCTGATTCTTAGTGACATCTGCCTAATCTTCCCACCTTTTGGCACTTACTTAGTGGTTTGGAGTTTTAGGGGGCTTTTAGTTTTACTGAAAATGGAGTTTGGAGGCTTTTCCCCCTTTTCTATTCTTGTTGCCTTTGGGATAATTTCCATTAAAAGAAGGAGGGAATGTTCAAACTGAAAGTCAGCATTCACGTTAAAATATGATAGCACTTTAAAGACATTCCATTCACATTTCTACCAGCAGTACATGAGTTTCTGTTTCTCCATAACTTCCACGACACTTGCTTATCAACCTTAAATTTTTTTTCTCAATAAGTAGGTAAAAGGCTGGGCGCTGTGGCTCACACCTTGGAGATGCCAGGAACTGCAGGGCCTCAAAGAGGGAGTTACAGCCCTGGCTCCAGGAGCTCCCAGTCTGGGCTCCCTGAAGGACCACAGCTCTTCTTTCCTTCTCTTTGCCCACAACATAGCGAGCAAGGGGTATGTCTCAGCCCTGTTTTTATTATAGCTCTTTTAGCCTTATTTGGTGAGTCCCAAGTTCTTGTCTTGTGCCCAGGAAGAATGAGGTATGCAGACAAGTGGAGGGTGAGCAAGACAAAGAAGAGCTTTATCAAGCGATAGAACAGCTCACGGGAAACCCACAGGGAGCAGCTCCTTTCTGCAGCCAGGGTGTCCCAATGAGTATTCAGCTCCTAGCATAGAGGATAGCTCCTCTCTGCTAGGCAAGTCATCCCAATAA
This sequence comes from Homo sapiens, assembly GCF_000001405.40. Taxonomy (NCBI): domain Eukaryota; kingdom Metazoa; phylum Chordata; class Mammalia; order Primates; family Hominidae; genus Homo; species Homo sapiens. The sequence goes on from NC_000003.12 coordinate 139,088,240, forward strand.
GTGTTCAGCTATCAGTGGAGAGTGTAGCTCCTCTCTGCTGCTGGTCATCCCATCGTCTGTGCAGCTCTCAGCAGAGAGGAGGCTCTAGAGTGGGTAGCTCCTCTCTGCAGGCAGGTCATCCCATCATTTCTGCAGCTCTCAGCAGAGAGGAGACCCTAGAGTGGGTTGCTCCTCTCTGCAGCTGGTCATCCTGATGTATGCTCAGCTCTGAGCTTGGGCTTTTATGGGCCTCAGAGGGGAGGAAGTTCATGCCATTTGGCCCATGGGTGGTCACGGGCAAGCCCAAAAAAGGCACCACAAGTTCCCACTCCAGTCCACGGGACTGGCAGCCTGGCCCCCAGCCTTCAGGCCCTCCCTGACCTGAAGGTGAGAGCCTCACTGGGGACCTGCCCCCTTCCACCCAGGAACTGTCTGCCTTCTGCCGCTGTTCATGGCATCCAGGCTGTAGGTGCCAAGGGGTGCCTGCAGGCCAGCGCTGAGATGCCCTCAAACTCTCCTCGGCTTCCCTCCTATGCTTGTCAGTGCCCAAAGTCTGGAGCGGGCTGAGGTGGCAAGAAGGAGCTGGTGTGTCAGCACTGCTCCAAGTGTGTGCACACCTAGGCTGCAGCAGTGCCTAGGCTCAGCCCCAACTTTGCTCTGAGATTGGAGTGGGCACTGACAGCAGGGAGAAGCCAGGCAGTGGGAGCAGGCACTTGCAGAGATGCCTGGGTCTTCAGACATGGTATTGGGAGCAGGCACATGCAGAGATGCCTGAGTCTGCAGCCATGGATTGAGCAGCTGCAGCTGTGCCCAGGGGCTCAGGTCTCCTGCCTGCTCTGTGGAGTGGGAGAATTGGGTTTGCAGCCTCTGTTTGGGTGGCTGCAGCTGTGCCTGGGAGGGTAGGGCTCCTGCCTGTTCCTAGGCCCCAAGAGCACAGGAATGCCTGGACCCAGAGCCATGGCTTGGGTGGCTGCAGCAGCACCTGGGGAGCTCCTGCCTTAACTCTGAAGGAGTGGGGCTCCTTCTTGTTCCCAGCTCCTACCAGCTCCATGGAGTGTGCAGCCCCGGGCACGCCTACCTGGTGCAGCCAGCATGATGGTAGTGGCTACTCCAGATGGCTCACCACTAGCTAGGCCTTGACTATAGGGAATGTCTCTAAATTTTCTCCCCTAACTTGGATTATTGTTGTAGGTTTCTGTTAGATTATCAACTTGAGGAATTTTTCTTCAGTTGGTAGTTTGTCAAGAAATATTTTTATTTTCTTAAAAAAATCAAGAATGGATGTTCAAATTTATCATGTGATATTAGCATGTACTTTCTTTAGGTATTTTGTATTTACGTTCATAAATGTGGTTGGCATAGCTTTCTTTGTTTATGCTCTTCCTGGTATAAGAGTTATGCTAGCCTTGTGAAATGAGTTGTAGCTATCTATTTCGTTTTTCTATGCTCTGAAATGGTTTCCACAACCTAGGATTTTTCTCTTCTTTGAAAATTTGGCAGCATTTGCTCATTAAATTTCGTAAACATTAGGGTATTTTTCCATATTTTTTGTCATTATTGGTCTCTGAGAAAAGCATAATTTCAACTCCCCTCACCACCACCCCAACAAAGCATTTAAGGATACAAATCTTTTGAGCTCCTTGCTTGTTATACCCTATAGTTTGTAACTTCTATTTCATTTCTAGTTGATAATAACTATTTTGATTTTCTCTCTGACTTAAGAATTAGGTAGAAATTATAGTTTCTAATACACAGATATTTTCAAACTTCTCATTATAATTTTTATTTTTAATTCTATTGCATTGTGTTAGTGAATATGGACTGTATGATTTCCTTTGTGGCCTAATACGTAGTCAATATTTCAATGTTTCATGTGTATTTTATGAAAATGTGTATTTTCTATTTGTTGGGTGCAATTTTCTGTGTTTTACAGTTATAACCAATTTATTATTGTGTTATTTAAGTCCTTTTGGTAGTATCCAATAGAACTTTCTGAGATGATGGAAATGTTCTGTATCTGCACCATCTAATAAAGTAGCTACTAGCTGCATATGACTATCAAGCACTTAAAATGTGTCCATTGGGACTGAGGACCTAAGTTTTAAATTATATTTAATTTTAATTATTTTAAATTTAAATTTAAACAGTCATGTTTAAATAGGCTACTGTATGGATGGCACCTCTCTTTATAATTAATTTTGGTCTAGTTTATCTCTTAATTTCTGAGAGGTGTTTAAAAATCTTTCACTAGGACTGTGGATTTGTTGGTTTCATTCTTCTTGGCACTCAATGGGCCTTTTCACTCAGAGACTTTATGTCTTTCTTCAACCTTGGGAACTTTTTTCTGATTATTTATGCGAGTGTATTCTCTCCTTCTATCTTCTCTAATCTTTGTTTCTGAGACCCACTTTTTTGGGTAATATTTTATCTCTTGGAATTCTGTTTCTCCTAATCCTTTTTAAAAAAATTTCCATTTCTTTGTTGTTTTGTGTTGTGCTCATGGAGAATTCCTTGAGTCAGTCTTCCAATTACTTGATTTGCTTTTAGCTGTGTCTAGCCTTTTATTCAGCTCTGATTTATGATTCCATTGTAAGATCCCAAGAACTTTAATTTTTTATGGCTATGATTTTCTCTTGCACTTTTATGTACATAGTGATTACCCTTATTGTAAAAACTTACTCTGCTGTATTAAGTCTCCTTCTTTGGGTGTTCATGTGTGTGTTTGTATGTGCACTTCTCTTTCATGGGCTGATTTTTTGTATCTGAGAGTTTATTAGCCTGTGGATGCTGAATTTGTTAACTACACTCTGTGATTATGTGGGGAAGAGTACTTTTCACAGAGTGTGCCACTAGTTTGTCTTTTGGCTGTGGGAGCACCCTGTTCTTCAGGGTGTGTTCAGGCACTCCATGTACTACCCTCATTCTGTGGTCTCCCTTACTGACCCCACTTGGGCTATATATCATTACCTGGTCTTAGCAAGTAAGGGTCAAAGGAGAGGATGATCCCATCTGGCTGCTCTTCCTGTGGTTTCGCTGACCAGTTACCTAGCAGGTTGTCTCAAGGCCTGTTTGTTAGGAACTGTTAAGATCTGAAATTTTACCTTACTTGCAAACTAACAAGTTAGTCTGCCACAGTTTCATAGATGTTGGCAGAAGACATGAGACCTCTGGGTTGGAGACAAAGGATTTCACTACTCATGGTTCATCAGGCAGCATGAAGTTGTTTGTCATGTCAATTCCCCTTGCTTCTTCCCAACACCCTCAAGTCCCACAGGAGTGACACAGAGCTGGCTCATGTGGATGCATATGCACTGAGTTGTTGTCAAAGCTGAAGGACCTCAGGCTTAGGAAACTCCAATCTTTTATAACGGGCTGCAGGCAAACTTACCCAAAATTTGCCCTTGAGGGTGACATTATTTTTATTGTACTAGACAGAAACTAATCGTGTCCCCTGCTCCTGGAGGGAGATACTATCTCTATCTTCTATGGCTATCTCTATTCAAACATCTTTGAAAGGATAGTCTGGAAGAAAAGCTATCATTGCCTCTTTTTACAAGATTTGCAGAAATGTGGGAGAACTTTGTTCCAACACTTTCCTGCTTCTGGAATCCACTACCTCTGAGCTTTGAGTAGCTTTGGGGTCTTGCCTGTTTTTATGCTTCAGGTTCTTTTGTGCATGAGTTTTGGCTGTGATTTTCTCTTTCAAACCAAGTAAGTTCCCCTTGTCTTTTATTTTTCAGGGATTCCTGAAATCTCTGGCTTACAAAGACCACTTTGTCTAATTTTCTAGTGCTTTTAAAGTGGGGAACAGTGACTCTGGAGGCCACAGAGAGTAACAATAAGAATTATTGTGAGCTCTCTAGGGGAAGGTGATCCCAGGCATCTCTCCTGTTGCTGTTGGTCAGCAAGCCATGTTGATTGTTGCATCAGAGCCTCTCTCGAATCCATCTGCTTCTCTCTTCAGTGACATTAACTTACTAAGACCCTCACTAAGATGATCTCTTGATGGAATTATCTCTCACTAGGATTATTCCACTAGAATGTCAGTTCCTTAAGGGCAGGGATTTGTGTTGGTTTTGTTCACTGTTTCCTCACTGCCTAGAACAACGCCTGGAAACTTTACTAATGAATGCCTTTTATTTTTCAAATAATAGCTTCATTGAGATATAACTGATACACCATAAAGTTCACTCTTCTAAAGTGTATCGCTCAATGATTTTTAGTATATTCACAACATCATGCATCAATTACCCTACCTAATCCAGAATATTTTAATCCCCCTCCCCCAAAACCCCATCCCTGTTAGCAGTATTAGTAGTTACTCCCCATTCTCCCCTCTCCCTAGCCCTGGGCAACCACCAGTCTACATTCTGTTTCTATGAATGTGCCTATTTTGGACATTTCATATAAATGGAATCATACAATATGTGATCTTTTGTGAGTAGCCTCTTTTGTTTGACGTGGTATTTTCAAGGTTCATCCATGTTGTAGCATGTGTCAGAATTCTTCCTTTTTATGGCTGAATAATATTCCCTTGTATGGATATACCACATTTTGTTTCTCTCCTCATCAGCTGTTGCACATTTGGGTTGTTGCCACTTTTTGGCTATCATGAATAATGCTGCTCTGAACATTCATGGACAGGTTTTTGTATCGGCATGTTTTCAGTTCTCTTAGGTGGAATGGAGTGGAATTGCTGGGTTATGTGGTGACTCTATGCTTAACTCGATGAGGACCTGCCAAACTATTTTTCAAAGTGGCTGCATCATTTTACGTTCCCACCAGCAATTTCTCCATATCTGCACTAATACTTATTGTCTGTCTTTATGATTATAGACATATTAGTGGATGTGGAGTAGAATCTCATTGTGGTTTCGATTTACATTCTCCTAATGACTAATAATATTGAACATCTTTTCATGTGTTTATTGATTATTTGTATATCTTCTTAAAATAAATGTCTATTCGAGTCCTTTGCCAACTTTTAAATTGGATTCTCTTTTTATTGTTGAGTTGTAAGAGTTGTTTTTGTATTCTTGATGCAAGTCTCATCAGATATATAATTTATGAATATTTTCTTTGATTCTGTGGTTTGTCTTTTCACATTCTTGAGGCTGCCCTCTGAAGCACAAAAGTTTTACATTTTCATTATGTTCAATTTACCTATTTTTTCTTTTTTCACTTAGCTTTTTTGGTGTCACATCTAAATTGAATGAATGTTTGAACAGTTTCTTAACTACTTCCCTTCTGTTGCATCTGTCTTTTCCATTATAACCAAAGTAAGTATTTTAAAAAGAAAATTTTATCATTTGTTACCTATTCCAAATCCTTAGTTGGCCTTCAGTGACTTCACTTTGCTTTCAGGAGAAGTCTAAATACTGTTTTGTGACTGCAGACCCTCAGTGATGTGGACACATCTGTGTTATGTAGTGGTACTGGCTTCTACCCTAGTTGGATCAATGACTATTGTTCCTGTTCTCTCTTTCTCTTTACCTTTCTCACTAGGGCTTATAGCTCTATGCATGTGAATGAAAGTAACATTGTGGAGAGATGAAATTACATAGGACCATGACAACATGATAAAAATGTCTTAAAAATGGGCTTTCTGTAATAGAAATAAAATTCAATCCTGGAAATCCCAAGTATGTGCTAATAAGGAATGAATTTATTTCAAAGGCAAAAGCTGCATTAGATGGTGATCTGAATGACTTCTTATCAACTTGAATGCCTTTTCCTGTGCAGTGTGCAGTTACTCTCAGGGTGAACACTTCTGAACTCCCTGGGAGAGCTGAAGGCTTCTCTGGTTTCAGTGTAATTCAATTTAACCAGCGCTGTCATAGCATCTGCAGCCTGAAGCTGTTTCCCACCCAGATACCACAGTTCAGGGTAGACATGGAGGAGGCAAGGAGAGGAATTATGCAGCATACACCCCCAGTTGTTCTCCTTGGGAGGTGGGGGAATGGGAGAAGGGAATTAAGGGCATCTACTGGATGCTGGTTAAGGTGCTGGCTGCTTTTTATATATTACAGCATTTAATCCTCATAGCAGTCTAGTGAGGTAAGCCTTATTATACTCATTTTTCCAGAAACCTGTCTCTTTCGGCTACCCAGGCTCTGCTCTCATTGACCACTAGATGCCCCATCTGAGAGTAGGAGAACATTAGAAATGCTCCATCTTGACTCCACACTCCTCTGGCCCAAGGTGCTGTCATGAACTTGGGCTTGTAGATGGTGGAACAGTTTGGGATAAGCTAGGTTGGGGTCCTGTCCTGAGGCTGCCTTCCAGGACTTCTCCTTACTCTCTTGGAATATTTATCTTTCCAGCCCTCGACTGTCATTTCTGTTGGGTGATGCTCACCTGCCTTGTAGCCCACAGTGTCTGTATCTCTCTATGGCTTCCCTGGAGCTAGGGCTTCCCTGGAGCTCCAAGGTTCTGGCGGGGGGGAGGTCCAGCCCTCTGGGAATTTCTGACAGGATGGTGGGAGAGCCTCTGTCTCCATTTCCTCAACACCATTTGTTGTGTGGGAGGCACTGTGTCTGTGCAAGGATGTGGTGGTGAGGACGAGAAACAGCTCCTGTCCTCATGAAGCTTACCTTCTTATGAGGGAGACCATTAACCAATGAGTAAACAAACATAAATAGCATCACTACAAATGCTGATGAGAGCTGTGAATGAAACAGACGGGGGGGATATACTTTAGATGCTGGGGACAGATCTTCCAGCTAAGGTGAGAAAGATGAGCAGGATTCAGTTGAGGTTCCTTGAGTAGGAGTGGTCCAAAAGTCCTGAAGACAGAAAGAACTTGGTGTTTTGTGGGGCATGAAAAGGGGTATGCAAGACGAATGGATAGAGATGGGCAGGAGCCCAATCATGTGCAAACGTGTTAGCAAAGGAAGTGAGTATGGATTTTTTCAGGGTATGTGGAAAACTATTGAAGGATTTAAAGCAGGGAGTATGTGATCAGAGCTGTTCTTAAAAGATTTGTCTGGCTCCTGTACAGAGTTGGCATTGGAAAGAGTGGGCACAGTTGTTCACTGGAAAGAAAATAGTGACTGGACTAGGTAAAGGAGAGAGGTGGAGGATTCCAGAGATGTTCACAAGGTAGAATGTTCAGAACATGCTGTTGGGTTGGATGAAGGGTTGGGTCAGGTGGGTTGGGGAGCAGCTGTCCCAGCTCCAGATACCCCTGCTTCCTGGCTTCCCTCACTTTCTTTATTCACCACCTCTGCCCCCAGCTGCGTGAATTCTTCCCTCCTTCCCCTCCCCATTGGCAGCCACCTCTAGAGTTCCAGCTTTGGGAATCTCAGGTCCTCCAGTGAGTGATCCTGGCCTGGCCAAAGTACAGCAGCCTCCTTTACCACTTAGCTTGGCTGAGGCAAGGTTTGTGTTTTTCTGTTAAAGGAAGTTTAGATCATGAAACTAAGGAGAATGGAAGATGAATCAACTCACCAACATCAACCAAAAAATTACATAACCTTTGCAAAAAGAGAGTTCAGAATGCAGATTCTTTCATGTAATTATAATTTGGTAAGCATCTCCTGAATCCCTATAACTAGCTGGCTTCTAGGAGATTGGGGATGAATCCCAGAGGTTCTTGCCCTTGGGAGCTTGCAGGCTAGTGGGAGAGACTGAGAGAGGAGGCAGCCTTAGGGTAGAGCATGGTCAGGGTCTGTTAGGGCCAAAATGGTGGGCAGCCCAGATGAGGTGGGGGTTGAGGGAGATTGTTTTCTTCTTGTCGTGTTTGCCACAGATCCAGCCCCCCAACATGTCCAGCCTGCAGTGGCTCCTCTGGATTTACTGGTCAGCCAGATGTGAAAAGGTCAAAACCTTGGGAAACGAAAGCCTGACTTGAGCCAGTCTGTGCCAGCACTAAGCTTTCCCTCCCGGGATTCCCAAGGCTGGCAGGACTCCCTCAGGTGGGCCAGCAAAGAGGAAACCATCTGTGGTTGGAGCCTGGAGGGACGACCATAGATTTGGTGAGGCAGCCTCCCTGGACAGTCTGAGACTGCAGAATCAGGGCAGGGGGTGCCTCTGCTTTCTCACTGGCTCAGTTAGCATAGGAGATGGTGGTAGGGCTGTGGCCTGGACACAGAGGGGCACAGCCTGGGTCCAAAGAGTCCTGGGATGAGTATAGGCCCAGGGGATTGCCCCAAGCTCCTAAGCAAGCTCCCTAGTAAGGCAGGTCACTAGGCAGAAGGTAGAAGGCTCTTTCACCTGGGGCTCTGTGGAAAGGGGAGACAGGAGCCTCTGTTGGAATGTTAGAACAACCACCCTCCATTATGGCAATCACAGTTGCTGTCTGTCCCTGTGATTCACCACTTACCAGAGTTAGCTGCATTTGCAGAGAAAAACATTAAATTGGAATCCTAGGTCTGCCTCTTGGCTGTGCATCCTCCCTTAAGTACCTTCCTCTTTCTGGGCCCCAGTTTTTGCACCCATATAATGAGGGGATGGGGCTAGAATCGAGCACTGAGCAACACTTCATTCTGTAGAATTCACTTTGGAGCCCACTTTCCTTCTCTGGCCTTTTCCCTCTTCTCTTCCTCTCTGTCCTCATATCTCTCCCCACCCCACCATGGTGCCTGGGGCCCAAATTCTTTCCAGGAGCTCTACAGCAGGGGGCAGTTGAGCCACCCACACTCCTCCTTTGGAGGCAGCCTAATCTGCTGAGACAGCATTTTCAGAACAAGCACACCTTTCCTGCTGTGTTGATCACTTCTCATGGCACAAGTTTGGTGTTTGTGGAGAGACCCTCTTCCTCAGAGACTCAGAGATGAGATGCTCTTCCATCCCCTGTCATGAGGGACAAGGGTGGCATAGAGGAATCAACTGCCACCTATGCTTTTCTCTACCTTTTTCTCTAGTTTCATTTCTTGTTTGATAGTTTCTAGTTTGTGGGATCTGGAGCTGGACTGATTTGCATTCTGATCCCTGCTCTTCATAGCTTTATGATCTCTCCAGCACCATTTGCTGAAAAGTTATTTTTCTCCGTCCAATTATCTTGGCATCTTTGTCAGAAATCAATTGCCCATATGCGTATGCATCAGTCTCTTGACTTTCCATTCTGTTCTGTTGATTTGTATTTCTCTATGCCAATGCCATTCTACCTTGATTACTGTAGCTTCCTAGAAGTCCTGAAATCAGGGAGTGTAAGGCCTCCAACTTTGTTCTTTTTCAGAATGTTTGGCTATTCTAGGTCATTTGGTTTTCCATATAAATTTTAGAATCAACTTGGCAAATCCTTTAAAGAAAGGTGTTGGGATTTTGATTGGTATTTATTGAATCTATAGGTCCATTTGGGGAGAATTGCTCTATTAACAATATTGAGATTTCCAATTCATGAACATCAACATTCTCCATTTATTTAGGTCTTATCTATTTTTGTTGTAAGTGTTCATAGATTTTTGGTTTTGCGAACTACCTACACTGCCTGTTTTTATGCGGGGACCTGGGAAGATTAAACAACTATGCTCTCACCACTGCTGCCATCTTTGCTAAATCTCTTTTACCAACTTCTTGAAAACAATGCTTAGTTCATTAATTTTTATTCTTTTTTATTATAAAAATAGGCATTTGTGACTATAAGATTTCCTCTAAGCACTGCTTTAGCTGTATCTGGCAAATTCTGATGTATTTTTGTTGGCATTCATTTCAAAATATTGTCATTTTTTATTGGGACTTCTTTGATCCACTGATTATTTTTAAAAATTATTTAATTTCCAAACATATGAGTATTTTTTGTTATTGTTACTGATTTTAACTTAATTGCATATAGGTAGAGAACATGCTCATGATTTTAATACTTCTCAATTTGTTGAGATTTATTTTATGGTTTAGTATATGGTCAGTTTTGTCATTTTTTGTGTACTTGAAAATAATTTTTATTCTACAGTTGTTGGGTGCAGTGTTGTATATGTTCATTAGTCAAATGTTGTTATAATGTTCTTTATCCTCAAGTATTTTTCATCTGATTGTTTTTAACAGTTACTGATTATTAAATCTCTCACTTTGAGAATATATCTCTTTTCCTTGTAGATTTACCTAAATTTGTTTTACATGTTTTGAATGCATATTATTAACTGCACATACATTTAGAATTGTTTTATCTTGCTGATGAATGGAATCTTTTGTCATTGTGAACTGGCTCTCCTATTTTCTAGTAATGCTTTTTGTTTTAAGGTTTTCACTGTCTGATGTTGGTATAGCTACACTGCTTCTTTGGGTTATTGATTGCAGAATATATCTTTTACTATCCTTTTACTTATATAACCTTTCTATTCTATTATATTTTACATGTTTCTCTTTTTAAACATATTTGTTTAAGTTAAAAATACTTTTGACAATCTTTTAGCTAGAGTCTTTTAATTGGAGCATTTAGTCCATTTACACTTAATGTATTTAAATCTACCATTTAATTATATGCTTTCTATTTGTCATATATGACTTTGGTTTCTCTTTTCTCTCCTTTTTTGCCTTTCTTAACTTTCTCTTTTGGATTTTAAAAATTATTCCATTTTGCTGGTTAGTTTAGAAACCACGTACTTTTCTACTATTCTCTTAATGGTTATCATATAGATTGCCATGAGCACTGTGCATTTCTTTTGTCCCCAGTGCTTGCTGTGGCTGAGTTCTTAATCAGCAATCTGTGTTTTGCTTGCGGTGTGTGTATGTGTACTTACTGCAGTCACTGTGGAGCTTTCTTTATGTCAATCTGATGGCCATTACCCCAGTCGTTTCACCCCTGACAGCACTACCCACCCAAAGCAGTATGGTAGATTTTAATGAAGGATTTAGTCGGGGGAAAGAAATTATATCTTGAAGAAACAGAGAAAACAGCTTCAAGTGGAATTTTTGGCATCCTTACTCTTGAAAGACCCTTGATTATTGTAACCTTAGGAAATTTTTCTCTAGTTTCCTCAACTATTCTTTTTATCTCATCCCAGAAACAGAAACCATGTCTAGAGAGCCTCATCTTTATTATTAAACTGCCCATTTATAAGTATTCCTAAAAAAATGGTGAAAGTAACAGTGATCACTGAGTGTTTACTATGTGCAAATCAATCAATGGGTCAATGAACAAATATTTATTGGGTTTCTACTTTAGGCTCAGTACTTTCTAGGCACTGGTACTAGAAAGTGCAGTGCTTATTGATTCCCATGTATTATCTAAATTAATCCTCACAGTAGCTGCATGAGATAGGTACAGTTATTATTCTTTTTGTGCAGATGGGGAAATTAAGGCTTAGGGAGGTTTAGTTCCCTAGGCCAACACAGTTCTCTTCCTGAAAGGTATTCTATCATGTGTTTTGAAGTAACATGTTTTCTTTCTACAATATACTGGAATCAAATGAGGTAATGTATGTAAGCCATCTAGTTTGTCAAATCAAATTTGCTCAGTTAATGTTAGTTCTTTGTAAAGTGAGACAACAACAACAACAATCACAAAAGAAACAAAACATAGACTATTGTAGCCACTTGATTCTAATAATTTAACCAATTGTCTTCAGAACAAAGCAGAAAATAAACAAATAAATACATACCTCAATAGCTCTACAAACCTTTGGGGTGGGGGTGCAAAGAAGAAGAAGACACAGCCTCTAGTCTAGAGGGCAGAACTGCCAGGCCAGCCCCCTAATGGCAGCGGGACACTTACTGGATGCTCGGCCCTGAAAGCTAGCTCTGCCTGCATGTTCTCATGTACTGCTGAGAACAACCTCATGGAGCAGGTTGTTTTTCCTTTCAGATTAAGAATCTGAATGCAAAAGGGTCAGTCACTTGTTCCTCCTCCTCTCCCATAGGCCCTGTAGAGATCATTTTGATTGAGTTTTTCCAAATGCTCATCCACTCCTGTGCCTGCAGTCAGTGTGCAGGCTGGAGCTAGGCTGGTTTGAGGAGCTGCCTTGGCCACTGCCAGATGAATGGGTATGCAAGCAGAGTCTTTTTGGACAGGAAAGGGCAGTGGACAAACCAGCCTTTTGAGGTTGCTGGGGGCCTGAATGAACCAGTCGTTTGAGTGCATCCCTGGGCTCTGCCGTGCAAGCAGAGCCATTTATTACCTAGTGAACCTGGTCTATATCTAGGACTACCCCATTGTCAAGGTAGCTTTGGACTTGGAGATGAAGTTCCCTGTGGAAAGCAGGCTGACCTGCCTACCTGCCATGAGCTTCCAGATCCCAACCCCAGCCTCTGGGACTTCCTTGTCTCCCAGCCCTGGTCGCTGTGCTGCCATCATCAGACTAACCTTCACTTCTTCCTTCAGACTGTGGGCTCCTTAGGGCACAGGCCAAGTTGTCGTCATCTTAGCATGGGGCCTGGAACTGGCCAGGTCATGTTTTTCCCGTGGATTGAATGATACTGAGCTCTGGCCTGTGTCCTGAAGATGCTTTATATTCCCAGTCTGGCCTCAGACTTGTTGAGGTTTCAACAGCCCCTCAGACATTCAGCAGCCCTGCCCTGACCCCTCTGGCCTCTCTGGTCCTAGAGTCAGCACTATCTGGCCCTCTGTTTCTCTAAGCCCAGGCCTTTCACAGGTTCTGCTTCTTCAGCCTGTGTGTAGCTGTCAAGGCTTCTCTGACCTCAACTGGCCCCATAGCCTTCTCCACTCTAACTTACTTGCTTTTCAAACCCCAATTCTCTAAGCCAGACTCTTCTTGGACCCTTAATTTTTTTACTAGCCACTTTTGGGCCAGTGTATACCCTGGTCCAATCAGCTGGGACTGGGCTGGTGAGGCCATGTGGCAGCCCAGGCAGCAGAGGATCTGTGCTGGCCAAGTCCCACAGAAGGGCATGGAGTGGGCAGGCTCAGTGATCTGCACCTCTAACCCACTGACAGCCCTCTGCACATGGACGTGGGACTGGGCTCCTTCACCAGCCTAGACTCTGTGGGAGTGGTACCCACATCTCATTTACATCTGGATCTTCAGTGCTTAGCACAGGGTCTGGAGCACAGCACATGAGTAGCCTGAAAACCATGGCAGTGATATAGATTGCTGCATGGTGGGCTGCAGATCCTCCAGCCAGCTCCTCGAAGACCCAGATTGCTGCCTGAAGCAGAAATGCCTGCTTTGACTGCGCCCACCTGACTGTAGGCCGTCAGGGGCCCAGCTCTGATCTGCGCAGCTTAGGCCTGGGCACTTTCTATAAGTGTCAAAGTGGCAGCTGTTGCTCAGGAAGGTCTCATTGCTTGAATATTTCAAAGCACTCAGAGCGTCTCCCAATTCCTCCCCTGCCTGTGACTGCACGTGCAGCACAGAGAGGGTAGACAAAAGACCTTCTGCCCATGGCCCCTGCTCACTTTAACAGGCAGCTTCTCTCACAGATCCTCCCCCTAGCCCCCTGGGAGTGCTACCCAGGGGCCACCTGCAGAGAGGGGAGGGGAATGCATCTGTGCTCCTAGAAGACAGTGTTTTTCCTGTCCCCTGGTCACCATCACACCAGCAGGGAGACCTTTTCAAGCACCTGCAGCTGCTCCTGGGTGGTGGTTACCTGACAGAGTCCCTCTGAGGTGGACCTGGGAAAACTGGAGATGTCATGGAAAGGCCTTTGGTACTGTACCTTCCTGATTCTTAGGATCTGCAGCTGGTGGTCCTCTGAGGGACTGAGGGTTAATTGCCATCCCCTCCAAGGAGATTTGGATGGAGAGGAATGGGATGGTGTAATGGAAAGGGTCAGAACAACCAACAACCAAGATTTGAACTGGGGCCCTGGGCAACTAGAGCACACCCCTCTCAGAGCCTCAGTTTCCTCCCCAAGATTATCTTGAGGACACAGAAGTGTTTTAAGTTTTGTAAGCCTGTGTCCTAAGGTGGAGTGGGGGTGGAGCACCCTGCACTCCTACAGTTCAGAGGTCAGTAAATTAGTCTGGGAAAAGGGGAGTGGGGCTCTCCTCTTGGGACAAGGGAGGGGCCCTCTCTGAGTCCCTTTAGTTAAACTGTGAACTCCCCTCAGAGCAGGTATGATCCGTTATGAGAGCCTGGTTGGAAGACCCAGGAGTGGCAGGACCCAGGATGGATCAGAGTGAGCTGTGGGGGCACACGCTGTGGGACTGGCCCCTGCTGGGTGAAAGACCCTCAGAGCTCTGGGTAGAACCTGCAAGCAAAAGGGTATCCCAGTGATGTAAATCAGACCAGTGTGCAAAAGTAGATATCATCAACGTGCATATTGAGCAACTACTGTGTGCATCTGGGGAGAATGTTGGTACACTGACAGGCTGTAAGCACATGTGAAAAGCTATGAACTGTATCAGATAGTTGGCGGGTGTGGGGATGTGCAGGAGGATTCCAAGGGGAGGGGTGGTATGTGGGTGGAAGGGGCCATAGCTTAGTGGTGCTCTGCAGAAGCTGATTTCGGTGGGGGAATCATGGAGGGGCAGAAAGAGTGTGCAAGGTCAGGAGGGTGCTTGCTGTGACCCAGGAACCAGATGTGGGGAGTTGGGTCAGGCCAGCAGCAGTGGGAAAGAGAAGGTGCGAGGAAGGAAAGGAATTTGAGAGGAGCAGGAAACCAGTCATGGTTGCCTGAGCAGAGGGAGCAAGGGTGAGGACCAAAAGGAAATTCCCACATGTTATGTCAGGTGCAGGGAGAGAGGTAGAGCTGACAGGACTAGGTATGCTGGCCCCCAAGTGAGAGGTGGGATTGGAGTTGCTGGGAGAGCTTGCTTATGGGCCAGAGGATGTCTGGCTCATCTCAGTACTGCTCATGGGGCGGAATGAATGCGAAGTCCCCCCAGATGGGGACACCATGTGGCAGAGTGGGACCACTCTGGCTTTGATGCAGTCTCGCCATACCTCTCTCAGCTGTGTGACTTCAGGAGCAATCCTTAACCTTTCTGAGCCTATATCAGCTATACCATCTCCCTCCACCTGACCTTGAGATGGCAATTACAGTGGCTGTAGTCCAGTTTATCAATAGAAAGGAGCCATGGCTGGACAGACGTGGGGACATGGGGCAGTCCCATTTCACAGGCTGGAAAACAGAGGCCCTAAAACAACACAGCTCCCTTACACAGCTGGCCTTTGGGGCTGCTTGGTCCTAGCTCTGGATCCTCCACAAGGATCCTCACACTGTGGTGCTGGAAGTGCCTGGTGGCCTTGTGGTGGCCGCTCCCACCTCCCTATCAGCTGTTAACCTACAAATGCCCTAGTAAGGAAAATATTTTCATTCTTTTATAACACCATTCTCAGGACTGCTTAATCATATTTTTCTTTGTCTTTGAAAACAAGCTCCTGTGTGGTTTTCTATTTTCTTGCTGCTCTTCTAAGGATATTCTAGAACTGAACCTTGCTGTCTGGCACTTCATGCCTTTTTAATTGCGTCACCATCCTCTGGCTACTTTAGATGGGGTTAGGGTGGGCAGGCGCTAAGCCCCTCCAAGTGCCTCACACCACACTTGACCTCACTTCTATTCTGGGACAAAGGTGTCACCTCATTTTGCAGAAGAAACTGATGTTCAGAGAGGTTAAGTATCCTGCTCAAGGTCACACAGCCTTTTTGATGAGAATTCAAGCCATTTTGATCTCCAAGCCAGGGATAAGTCTGTTAATAAACCCACTCTGCCCTGATCTCTGGCACCAGCCTGCTGTGGTGACCTCAAGCAAGTCCGTTAAAGTCTCTCTGCCCCACGTTCTCTGGGTGTGACAGCCTATTGTGAAAACAGGAGAATGAGGATAAGAGTGACTGTCAACTGGCTATGTGAGCCATTGGTCAGTTTTCTGAAGGGTCTGCTATATGCCCGCTGATGCTGTGGTCTCCCCAACCAGATTATTAGCATCCTCACACCCCTTGTATGACTTGACCCACAGAGGGGCTCATCAAAGATGTGCTTGTGTTGGATTCTTTTTGTTATTGTTATTGGATCTTGATATTATATGCTGAAGCCAAGTTGTGACTGATGGAAGAATCTGTAGAGGTGTTTGCTGAAAGCTAAGGGACTGCATGGGTGGGTGGGTGGGAAGGGGAGTTTCTTCACAGAAAGGAAGAAGAGGAACACGTTGCTGTGTGCTCGTGGCACGTGGCCTGTTGGGTCCTTTCGCAGTCCTTTGAAGCAGTTGCTTTTACTGTCCCCTGTTTTACAGAAGAGGAAACAGCCAAGGTGACTTAAGGGCAGAGCGCCAGCAGGTATGGAGCCTGAATTTAAATGCAGGTCTGCATACTGCAAGCACCTGGGTTCTCTCCACCCCTCCTCTGGACTCCCATTTGTTCTCTGTCAGTGACTGAGAAAGGGTGGGTGGGACTAGGAACTCAGCTTCCGGTCCATGACCACATCCATGGAATATGGGAGGAAGAGATCAAATCACAAATCTTGGGAGTGAGGGAGAGACACATCCTTGGGGCTACTCAAGCCCCCCATATCCTTTGCATACCTTCTTTATCCCTTTTCTACCCAGTGGATTTGGAGGGAGTGGGCTTGGGATACCATCAGACAACGAGAAACACGATTTGCAGGACTGTGTGGAGGTATCCAGGCCTGAGGGCCCTGCTCCAGAGCTCCCCTCCTCACTCTGTGGCTGGAACAAAATCTCTTCCTTGTGTGGCCTTGGCTTCCCTAGCAGGGATCCCAAAACATGGGATCTGGCCATGCTGCTCAGTCCTTGGGTTGATTTCTTTGAGCTCCAGCTTCTCTGAGCATCCCCTCTGCTGTCCCCACATCCTGATAGCCCCTCTGGGAGCTGGGGCCTGGCCTTTCTGCCCATTCTCAACAAACACTCTTGTCTGGAGACAGGCAGGACAATGGAGAGCTACCTTGTCCTGCTGCTGCCCCTGCCACCACAGCTGCTTATGTGTGACCGATGGGGTTGAGAGGGGCAAGAGTTCTGTGGAGAGAGTGGAGGGAAAGAGTTTTTTTTTTTTTTTTTTTTTTTTTTGCTATGCACAGTTCCTCCCAGCAACCTTCCCTCTCTGACCAATGGGGCCTCTAGGCTCTGCCCTTCACGTTGGGGTCTTCCCCCACCTCCGGCCCTTTGGTTTTGATATGGCTAGTGACCAGCACTGACCACCATCCCAAGCTGGGAAGAGCAATTGGTGAAGAGTGTGTGTACTATTTACTTTCTTCACCCTTGCCCCTTTATTCTCAAGGTCTTTTGATTGTGAAGCAAGGCCCGAGGCCTTGACTGGTGAGATTAGCCCGGGAGGTGGTGGCTCCCTCCTGCTCTCTGTGGTGAAAGCCAAGCACACTTTCCTAAAACCAGCGTCGGAAGCTGTGCTGTAGCCTGTAATTACTGACATGAAGGTCCCCACACAGAGTCTGGATGGAGGCTGCCCTGGAAGCAGCCCCGGGCTGGGAAAGGGCTGAGTGTCAACAGGCCTGTGTTTGAATCCAAGTCACCTGTGTTCTCTGACAGGTCACTCAGTTCCTCCGGCCACAGCTGCCCCTCTGTGAGATGACATAACACTGCTTACCTCTTGGTGTGGCTATGAGGATTGATTGGGCTGATGTGTAGAAAATATGTAATGCAGGGCTTGTCCTGGAGGTGATGTTAGGTAATGGTGAGGTGGATCTTCCCTGTGTGGTCCCTCCCTTCGTGTGCCCCTGCCCAGCCTCTTGGCACCTCCTGTTTACTCCCCGAGCCCCCAGATTCTCACCTTTGCCCAGAGCCACATTCGGGCTTGTCTTCCTCTTCCATGTCCCCGCATGCAGAATCCTCTCTTTCTTCTGCCAGGGTTCTTCCTCTCCAAGCCCTCCTCTGAACCAGCTATCCCTCTGGAATGCAGCTGACCAAACAAATTCCCACTAATGTAACTGGTAGTATCTTAGAGGTGAACTCTCCTGTGGGCATTTTATTTGTATCTTAGAAGAATTTTTGTTTTAAATCTTATTTTTCCCAACTGGCATATAGTAGGGTGCTCAATAAAGGTGGGTTGCCTGAATAAGTGAAAGAACCTAAGGAACAATGTCTAATGGTGGAATTTCAGTCATGTCTTCATGCTTTCAGCCTCTCTGCAAACATTTATTTTGTGTGCTAGATACTGGAGATATGTTGCTGGATAAAACAGCCACAGTCCTTGCCCTTTGGAACTTCCAGTATAGTGGGGACAATCAGTTAATAAGCAAACAAACACATTTCTATTTATAAATGGTGATAAAATTCCTTGGCTAAAAGAATATTGCAGAGTCTATGATACTGTATAACAGGGGCTTCTAATTAAATTTAGGGGATCCTGATGCCACTTAGCAGTGGGATTTCAGAGGACCTTTCAGAGGAGCTAAGGTAAGATGAGATGGAGGCAGAGTGGGGCAGGAAAGATGGCTTAGGGGCCTCTTTGGGCTTTGTGACACTCCCTCTCAGGCCAAGACCTCCAGCCTGTGCCCCGGGCTCTGCCCACATGGTGCCCCTGCCCTGGGAGCCCTCACAGTTTACTATGGGGTCCAGCACTGCAAGCTGCAGGGGCTAATGCCTAAACTCCTGGTGCAGTGGCATGCCCCACTGCAGGCCTCCCCGAGTCTCCAGGCTGCACATTTCACCCTGGCCTGCCTATGACCTGCCCAGCAGATGTCCATGGTGCTCCAGAGGAAGAATGGGTCGTCCTCCACCCACCCAGCGTCTTTTTAAGCACTTGTCATGTCCGGCTTTGATTGCTGTCCTAGATAGCCAGCTTCTAACCAGAGATCAAACCTCTTCGTTCATGCCAACGTGAACAGACATTAGACAACAGACCATTACTTGAAAATACATCTCTTCTCATCTTAGCATTTAGCCAGGGATCACTGGCAGAGTCTTTAAGGCTGTCTCTCCCGGCCCTGAGGGTCAGGCTGCTTGCCACCTCTGCAGCACTGTTCCTCTGCCCTTTAGGCTCTTTCTTCTCCTGCTCATCTGTCAGCCTGTGGCCATGTGACAGGCCATAGGAGATTTTCTAGCATTTTTCCTGTTCTTGTCTGTGCTGCCTGTAGGCTCCTCTTTATGGAAGCACCACCCAGATTGCTTCCCATCTTCCTCCCTCAAGCCTTTGCTAGTCATCACATCTAAGTGGGTAGGACCTGAGCTTTGAAGCCTGGGTTCTAATTAGAACTGGGTTCTAATCCTGTGTTGAGCACTCGCTAGCCTTGCAAGTGGTAAAACAGGGTAACCACATAATTTAGCATCTCAAGTAGAATCCTTTTGAGAGTGAATTTGACAGAGATAACAGGTATAAGCCAGTGCTGTCCTGGGCAGTGGGAATCTGCTCATCCTTCATTATGTACACAAAGGAGCAACAGCTTCCCCAGATAGGTTTTTTTGGGGGCAGGAGCTGGTTTGGTCTCATCTGGCTCATGGTTCCTTCCTAGTGTCCTGTGCTGGTCACTGGGGGCTATGAGCTGAGTGGGACTGGGCCCTTGCGCTCTTGTCCTTCGCTCCATGCAGTGGGGTCTGGCAGCGCCTGCCTAGGGCAGAGCAAGGTGGAGGAGGTGGGCTGAGAACCCAGCATGTGCGGCAGCCCCAGATGAGCTCCCAGGTGCCCCTTTCTGCTGATAGAGAAGGAGGTAGGAGGGACTGAGTGGAGGGGTGTGAGCTGGGTTAACAGATATGCCGCTTGAGTCTGGTTAAGGGAGACTGGTGCTGTAGCAAGAGACTGAGGCCCGGCAGATCCCAGAAGCTGGGGGGCTGCTGTGCCTGCCATGGGCCACTTCAGACCTTTGGCCTTTTCCTCTTGTAGGGGTCAGGTGAAAGCCAGACCAGCACTTTTTCCTGACATTAGGGGTCTGAACTGCTCCATCCCCCGCCTTCTAATGCAGTGGGGCTCCCTGGGTTTCCATCCTGGGCAGTGATATTCCCAAGGCCGAGGGCAGGCAGGGGGCTGGGCCCCAGTCTGGTTTCAACCTGCTCAGCATCTGGGGGCTGTGCCCAAGGCCCAGGGCTCACTCTGACCCCTACGTCTGGAAGCAGGGCAGAGCGAACCTGATCTCAGGGAGTTATCAATGGGAGAAGCAGCCACCCGAGATTGTGGGGGAGAGGGCAGTGGGACTAGCCGGCTTCTCCCAAGTCTTCAGTCGCTGTGAAAGCCTTCAGCCTGGGCCAGGAGGGGAGGTTCAGCACTCCTCCAGCAGCCCAGCCTGCTCTCTCTGCCAGGTGGCATTTAGATCTGAAGATAACCCTCAAGGGACTCTCAGTGATGGAGACACACCAGGGAGTGAAGTTGGGAGGATGAAATTTTACTTATTCCTGCTCCTCTCCAAGGGCAAGCCTTGTCCCACAGTGGCTGTTGCTGAACACACTGTGTCATCCCCATCTCCATGTCTTAGCAGTGGCCGGATACCATTTGCCTTAAATACGTTCCCTTTTCTGCCCATCAGTCAAGGCCCAACTCTAGGCCTGTCTTTCTGGGAGCTCTTTATGCCTTTCCCAGCCCAAAGCCTTTTTCTGCTTGGAATTCCTCCTGGAATGTGTGTCCAAATGATACAGCATTCGGGCCCATGGCTTGTGCACATCCCTTGCCATTCCATGAGGGTGTAGTTTCCATAGCCCCACAGGAGCCTCCCACAGCACCAAGATCCATACCCACAGCAGTGAGCAGGGACCAGACCCAGTGCTGACTGTGGCATATGGGAAGCCCCAGGATTAGAGGGGTCATGGGCAGAGCTGTGGGCTGGGCACATCCTCAAATGGGACCTCTCAGAGGTGCCTGTGCAACCTCAGGCCCCGTGCTTGGAGGGGCCAGATTGTTTTTATTCTGTTCAGCATTTGTCACTTGACCAGTTGGCTTATGGGGTTGGTAGCAAACACAGCCCCATCCTACCCAGTGCACTGAGGAATGAACCCACCCTGTCCCAGTTCTCCAGAGGGGCCATTTGTCCTCCTGGACCTGTGCTTGCAGTGCCTCTATTGTGGTATCAGTGGCATCAAGTTGGCCAGCTGCTCTGCCCTTGAGAAAAGGGTCAGATCACAGGGGTGAAGAGCAACCTTGGAGAGTGATGCTCTGGCTTTAGAGTTCAGGGTTTCTTGGTATAATTAAAGGAAATTAGTTTGCTCTGTATGGGTCAAATATAGGCATATTCTCATGATTGTCATGTTTCTTTCTCCCAGCATTTATCAGCTGCCGCTTATTCATTGCCTTGATTTTCTTCAAAAGACAACTATAATCATTCAAAAATTCCAAGTTGGGTCCAAAATGTCAAAGGTAGGTATTGGACTCTGCCATGTGCCAGGTCATATGCCTGAGTCTGTGTCCTTCAACAGGCTGTCCTTATGATGTTCAGCAGGGCTACAGCCAGGATGCAAATGAGCTCCCGGAGCTCCTCATCTAAGAGTGTGAGGAGTGCTAGGTGGAGGAGCTGCTCTTAGCGGGGCAGCCCAAGCATTTCTTAGCATAAGCACTTCTGGGCCACCTGGAGCTTAGACCATCTGTGTCCTGGTCTCTAGCCCCTCTCTTGCCACGGAAATGGTCTCCTGTACAGAGTGCTTCAAGTGTGAGGCAAGCAAGGAACCCTAGCCTGATCCATTCGGAGCACGACCTGCTCTCCAGGCCTCACTTTATATGACAGATGGTGGTGATGGACATGTTCATTTGAAAGGCCAGGGGGCATGGTGATTTTATTCTGCCTATATCTGCCATTATTTCTCCTGGGAATACCCCCAGAGTATGCCTACTTTCAATGCTAACACACCGCAGACTGATTAGAGGAATATTGTTGACTGCTTTTGGAAAAGAGGAAGAAAAGCACATTCCAGAGGATACATACCTCTCTTGATATCAAAGTTTTTCCTGTGAAGGTTACCTTGGTTAGATTTTGGTTGGAGAGTTGAAGACATTTCAGTCTACAATGTTGTAAAAGGCTTTAAAAAATCCTCTTGTGGTATGTTTCCAATTTAACACTGAAAAAATATTTCTATTGTGCCATATATAGTGTAACTTAAAACCTAATAAAAGCTCCAAATTAGGGTTGAGCAGAATGGTTTGAATTAAGTTCAGGTAGAGGCAAGGACACTGTATCTGTAGGCTGGGGCTGCTGGCTCTCAGGCCAAAAGGCAGGTTCACACTGGGAGACTGGATCTGCCAAGTCTAGAGAGGAATTGTCTCTTCTGCCAGATTCTGATGCTCTTGGCCCTTGGCCCACAGGACTTTGATGCTGTTGGCACCTGCCCCCGGCGCAGGAAGGGCCTGGCTGTTGCTGTTCATGTCATCTTGGTTGCTTTGCAGGTTTCTCACTGGGGCCGACTTTATTAGATTTGCTGGTTACGTTTTCACTTTCAGGAGGTGTCTTTCAGCTTTTGCCTAGCCACGAAGCTTCCTTTTGAGAAGCTGCTTGTGTTCTGGGCCCCCACCCATGCAGCGAATGAATGAGCGTTGAAGTTGAGTTTGGACGTGGTTGCTTCAGTATCCAGCGGTCCTTCCCTAGCAACACAGGCCATTTAGGAGCACCACCTAAGGCTTCTTCCCCTTCCTACAGGTATGAAGAATGGGCAGGGTTTCATTTCCTCTGCAAGCAGGCAGCGTGGCTGGACACTGTATTCTGGAGCCTGGGGTGTCATCATCCTCAGGCTGCAGAATCAGCAACACTGTTCCATCTCCTCCTGTTCAGCCACAGCAGCCTCCTGGCTTCCAGGGCCTCCTTGTCCCTTGGCTTCCTTACAGAAGCCCTCTGTGTACAGCTAGTCTCCCAGACCCCTGGGAAAAGTCTCCTTTGCTGAGGAGGGATTAGTAATGCTCTTCCTCCTCTTAAAGTCCTCTGCCATGATCAGTGATAGTATTTCTGCTCTGTTACACTGGCTGGAAACATTTGAACCTGAAAGCATTAAGTTCTTTTTTTCCTTTTTTTTTTTTGAGATAGGATCTCACTCTGTCACCCAGGCTGGAGTGCAGTGGCACGATCTCAACTCACTGCAACCTCCACTTCCTGGGCTCAAGTGATTCTCCCACCTCACCCTCCTAAGTAGCTGGAAATACAGGTGTGCATCACCATGCCCAGCTTGAATTTTTTTTGTAGAGATGAGGTTTTGCCATGTTGCCCAGGCTGGTCTCAAGCTCCTGAGCTCAAAGTGATCCTCCTGCCTTGGCCTTCCAAAGTGCTGGGATTACAGGTGTGAGCCACTGCGCCCAGCCTGAAAGCATTAAGCTCTGACAGATCTTCCCATAGTCTCTAAAAGGCAAGGAGGGGTTCTCCTGCTTGGGATCCTATGTTGTATTTAATTATTTAAAAGGATGTGGTCTTACCCCACCCATGTAAGAGGGATGGGGCAGAGTTCCCAGTGTTGAGGGAGAGGGACTGTCTGGGTTTTCCATCCCCTGTAGGGTTGAGAACTATCCTGGCCTCTAGCAAATAGCCTTCCTGACCATCTTAGAGCTGTGAACCTCCTTGGTGCTGCTGGGATTTTTCAGGCATCACAGCCAGAGACCTTCTGGAAAAGGCTGTTTAATCTTCACAGCAACCTAGTCACAAAGACATTCTCCCATTTCACAGAAGAGTAAACTGAGGTTCGGATGTAGGAAACTACAAAACTGGGGAATAGCTGAGCTAGAATCTGGCTAGAGTCCTCCCCATGTTTCCTGGAAATGTGTGACTGAGTCAGAGACCATATGCTGGGGTAGAAGGGGCTGTAGCAGGACCCCAGGGGGCCAGAATTTCACAGGGCTGAAGGCAGAGAGCAGGGATTTGGGGATGTGTTGTAGATAGAGGGATGGTGGTGGTTGGGCCAGTTAGCCTTGTGTACAGGTGCGAATTGAGGGGGGCAGTGAGACATCCCAAGGTAGACAGAGTCTCCCGTTATTGCTTATTTTGTATTTTTCTTCACAAGAAGCAGCCACAACTTTCACATCTCTGGATCTTAAGACCATCTCCCTGGGGCTCGCGGAGGAAACCTGTGAGGGCAGGACAGACCCCGGCTCCCACTAGATGGCACTGTTGCAGGACGTTTTCACCCCGGAGCTCTTCTCCGGGTGTGTGTGTGTGTGCACGCGTGAATACCTGAGCTGGACAGAGAGCGTGGGTGTGGTGTGCGTGTGTGTGTTGGGCAGCCCTGGGGTGGGTCTGGCAATGCCCTGGCCCACACTTTGTGCCTCCACTTCTCTGGAATTTTTCCTTAGGACAGAAGTTTCTGCTTCTGAGACATCTTCCAAGGCTTCTGTGGGTCCTGGGTTGTGGGCACCAGATGCCAGGGAGTTATGGAGTGACCAGGACAGGTCCAGCTTGCCTGATGGTCCAGACATCTGTGGGAGACGAGTGAGTCCTGAAATCCAGCCTCAGAGACACTGCAGAGCCCCAGCAGGCCCCACACCTGGGTGGGGCAGTATTGGAGGATCCTGATGAGGACAAGCTTTTAGGGTCTTGAATGTTTCTAATACAAATAGTTGTATTTATTTGTACTGGTTGATTGGTAGTAGCTACTGGAGTGCTCTGTAGAGAAAGCTTCTGAGGCTGGGTCTGTCTTAGAAGGAAAGAATGCTGTTGTCAACCAGTGATGTCTGCCAGAGGCTTGGGACAAGAGTAACACCCATGATATAGATTTCTTCCTTATGTAAGTGATAACTTATATATGAGGATGAACCAGTATGTCAGAGAATCCTAGATATTTAGGACGTTAGAAATTATCCAACTCTATCCAACTCACTCATTTATTTCATAACTGGAGACATTGAAGCACAAATAGGCAAAATGAGTTGCCCAAGCCCACCTGGGTAGTAGCAGAGAGAAGAGTAGAAGGCAGGTTCTTGACCACCTTCTGGACACACCCTGCCTGTGTCCTTCTGGACACACCCTGCCTCTCCAGTTGGTCCAGTTCCATGTTCAGACAATGTCCTAAATACCAGATTAACTTATTTTATCTGTTGTTTGGGAGTCTTTACACATGGTTGCCAAGAGAAAGCCTCAAGTGAAGAACTGTTTGTGTTTTTATTGTGTCCCCAGAAGATTCTGGCTAGGGCAGATTTGTAAGGCTGAAGC
The DNA here is from genome assembly GCF_000001405.40 of Homo sapiens. NCBI lineage: Eukaryota > Metazoa > Chordata > Mammalia > Primates > Hominidae > Homo > Homo sapiens. The sequence continues at coordinate 139,113,066 of NC_000003.12, forward strand.
TTGGAGAATAAATCTTAAGAGAGAAGAAAGGAAAGAAACTGGGCTCTGGATATTTGGGAGAATACAAGAACAGAGACATGGAATAGATGTGGTTAAGGGTGGCAGCTCCAGTTAAGTCCAAAGAAGCAGGCTGAGCAGACCAGGAAGGTCTGGGTTAGAGGTAAGGAAGCCTTTCCTGAGGGTGCAGGGAGCTGCCTCTGGCATGGGCGGCCTCACAATCCCTTCTGCACAAGTGGACCCAGTGGGAACCTGCAGAGCCCTGCTGAGTAGAGGAGTTCTTAGGAGTTGGAGCCAGGAGCTGCAGGTTCCAGCTCATCTCACACAAAGTGTGTCATGGGCTGTGCCTGTGCTTCACTTTCCTTCCTGGTGCATGGGGTTAGCCACCTGCTACTGCATGATGCAGTGAGAGTCAAAGGAGATAACGGTGGTCAGTCTGTGTGGGAACAAAGAGTTGATTTAAAAGCAAGCATGGAGACTTCTCCTGAGGCCTCTGTGAAGCGAACCGTAAGCCCTGTTTAACAGTCTTTTTGTTTATAGATTGGACAGTGTGGACATGGGTGTGTACCATAAGAGGGAATAACATTGAATTACTGGAACTGTCCTGTTGGGAGTAGCGATGAGCTGCGTTAGGCACTCTATCTCCTTTCATTCTTCTAATAATCCAGTGACACATATAGTATTATTATCCCCATTTTCCAGAAGAAAAAGCTAAGGCTCAGAGAAGTCAAGTTGCATGTCCAAGAATATGCACTCAGTAGGTGGCAGAGCACTTACCCCACCTGCCTGCCGTCAGGGAGGCTGCCATCTGTAAATTAGTCTGAGGGAGGACTGGCATGAGGTCACCTTGTCCAGGACCTTGTACCCATTTCCAACTGTATGTATCATCTGGACTTACCACAGGTGTCTGTGGGTGAATAAAGACCTAAAGTTTACTTCTGGGTGGGTATCATCTGTGTGTGTTTATGCACCCATGCACCTTAGGAAAGGGTGGCCAAGGTAGAATCCAGAACAGGGAGAGAAATTGTATTAGGGCTCTCCAGAACAATAGCGTCAATAGAATGTGTGTGTGTGTGTGTGTGTGTGTGTCACACACAGTGATGTGCTGCGTAATGATGTTTCAGTCAATGGTGGACTGCATATAGGATGCTGGTCCCATAAGATTATAACGGAGGTGAAAGATTCCTATTGCCTAGTGATGCTGTAGCCATCATAATGTCGAAGCACAATGCATTACTTGTGTGTCTGTGGTGACACTGGCATAAACAAATTATATAATATATACAAATTATATATTATATATGAAATTTATATATAATATATAATATATATAATATATTTAATTATATTTAAATATATAATTTATATATAATATATAAAACAAATTATATAATATATAAAAATATATATTATAGTATATTATATATTATACAATATAATATATTATATATAATATATAATATATTATAATATATAAATATATAATATATTATATATTATATTATAATATACATTATAATATATATAATATAAATTATATATAATATAAATATATATAATATATATTTATATTTATATATTTTATTTATTTTTTTAAAAAATATATATATTTATATATATTTAAATATAAATATATAATTTTTGTATATTTATATTTATATATTTATATTTATATATAATATATAATTTATATAATATACATAATTTATATAATATATATAATATATTATATAAATAATATATAAATATATAATAAATATATAATATATATTTATATATTATATATTATATATTTTAATATTTTTTTATATTTTATATATAAAAATATTATATTTTTATGTATATTTAAATATAAATATATAATTTTTATATATTTATATTTATATATTTATATTTATATATAATATATAATTTATATAATATATAATTTATATAATATATAATTTATATAATATATATGTAATTTATATTTCTATAATATATAAATATAATATATTTATATATAATTTATATATATAATATACATAATATAATATATTAATATATTATATTATGTATATTATATATATGAATTATATATAATATAATATATTAATATATTATATATATTATAGATATAATATATATAATATAAATTATATAATACATATAATGTATATAATTTATATATATAAATATATATAAATTATATATTACATATAATTTATATATAATATATTATATATTATATATATTATATTATAATTATATAATTATATATTTTATAATATATATATTATATTTATATTTTATATAATATATTATATAATATATATTATAGAAATTAAAAAATATATGTATTTTAATATATATATTAAATATATAAAAAATATAAAATATATATTTATAATATATATATTTTATATATTTATATATTTATTAAATATATATAAATATATATTAAATATAAAAATATATAAAATAAAAAATATATATATTTATAATATATATAATATAATATATATAATAATTATATATAATAATTATATATAATAATTATATATAATATAATATATTATATATATTGTATATAATATATATAATATATTATATAAATAATGTATAAATATATATTACAAATATATATTATATATTTATATATTATAAATATACAATGTATATTATATATTATAAATATATATTGTATATTTATATATTATAAATATATATTGTATATATATTATAAATATATAGTATATATTATAAATATATATTGTATATATATTATAAATATATATTGTATATATATTATATATTATAAATATATATTATAAATATATATTATATATTATAAATATATATTATAAATATATATTATATATTATAAATATATATTATAAATATATATTATATATTATAAATATATATTATAAATATATATTATATATTATAAATATATAATATATATTATAAATATATATTATAAATATATATTATTTATATATCATATATAAAATATTATATATTTATATATTATAAATATATTATATATTATAAATATATAATATATTTTATAATATTATATATTTTCTATATTTATATATTATATAAATATATATAATATATAATATATAATATATAATATAAATATATAATATATAATATATAATATAAATATATAATATATAATATATTATATAAATATATATAATATATTATATATTATATATAATATAATATATTAAATGTTAAATATAATATAATATAATATAATATATATAATATATAAATATATATATTTATATAATATATAAATAGAAAAAAATAATATATATAATATATAAATATATATAAATATACATAGACACACATACTGTGCAGCGATGCAAAAATATTTTCTATCTTTATATTCTTATTTTGTAAGCCTTTTTCTGTTTTTAATTTTTTTAACCTTTTAATCTATTTTGTTAAAAACTAAGACACGAACACACGCAAAAGGTTAGAGTCACCAATATCACTGTCTTCCACCTCCACATCTTGTCCCACTGGAAGGTCTTCAGGGGCAGTAACATGCATGGAGCTGTCATCTCCTACATTAACAATGCCTTCTTCTGGAATTCCTCCTGAAGGACCTGCTTGAGGCTATTTTACATTATATATAATATACACAGTTTTTTGAGATGGAGTCTCGATCTGTCACCAAGGCTGGAGTGCAGTGGTGTGGTCTCGGCTTACTGCAACCTCTGCCTCCCAGGTTCAAGCAATTCTCTGCCTCAGCTTCCCGAGTAGCTGGGATTACAGGCACCCGCCACCATGCCTGGCTAATTTTTTTGTATTTTTAGTAGAGATGAGGTTTTACCATCTTGGACAGGCTGGTCTTGAACTCCTGACCTCATGATCCACCTGCCTCGGCCTCCCAAAGTGTTGGGATTACAGGCTTGAGCCACTGCGCCCAGCCCAATCTAAGTGTTATTACAAAAGCGTCAAAAAGTTAAAAAATTGAAAAGTTTATGAAGTAAAAAAGTTACAGTAAGCTAAGGGTAACTTATTATTGAAGAGTGAACAGTTTAAAAAATAAATTTAGTATAGCCTAAGTGTACAGTGTTTATAAAGTGTACAATAGTGTACAGTAATATTCTAGCCTTTCACATTAACTCACCACCCACACACTGACTCACCCAGAGCAACTTCCAGTCCTGCAGGCTCTGTTCAGGGTAAGCAAACATTTTAAATCTTTTATAGGGTATTTTTACTGTACCTTTTCTATGTTTAGATACATAAATTCTTACTGTTGCATTACAATTGCCTACAGTATTCAGTGTAGTAACATGCTATACAGGTTTGTAGCTAGGAGCAATAGGCTATACCACATTGCCTAGATGTCTGATACACCATGCAGGCTATACAATCTAGGTTTGTATAAGTACACTCGATGCTGTTCACACAATGATAAAATTGCCTAATGATGCATTTCTTTAGAAGTATCCCTGTTGTTAAGCAATGCATGACTGTGTGTGTGTGTGTGTGTGTGTGTGTGTATGTGTATACACATACACACAGGGGGAGAGAGAGAGACAGACAAGAGAGAGCAAGTAGGCTGCAGGCTAAAGACCCAGGGAGGAGGTGATGTTTCAGTTGAGTCTGAAGGCAGTCTGCTGGCAGATTTTCTCCTCCTTGGGGGATGTCAGTCTAAGGCCTTCAACTGATTGGATGAGACCCATTCACATCGGGGAAGGTAATTTGTTTGATTCAAAGTCTAGTGATTTAAATGTTAACATCATTCTAAAAATACCTTCACAGCAACAAGCAGACATGTTTGACTAAAGATCTGAGTACCATGGCCCAGCCAAGTTGACACATAAAATAAACCGTCACAGAGACTAACTGACGTCTCTCCATCCTGGTCATTGGAAAGCTTAGGAGCCTCTTGTTTGTGGACCATGGGTGGGCAGTGGGGAGATTTCTCCTGCAGACAAAAACCCAGCATGCTGGCTTCCCCCTGCCCAGCACAGAGCTGAGCCATACTCATGGGTCAGGAGGAAGAACCACTCACAGGGGCATGCACACTGTAAGGTCCCCTGGACTGGGGCTGCTGTCTTGGGGGTGGATGGGGTGGGTGGTTTGGTGGAATATCCCTCTGGATCAGCAGAGCAGCAAATGCATTCCTAGGGAGCCCCACTCTATTAATGGGATGTCCAAAGGAGACTCCTGGGTGTTGGCATGACCCGCAGCCCTTTCTTCTTCCCAGAGAGAGTTAACAGTACATAGGATTTCTAGACCAGGAATGTCTTCTTTCCAGAATGTTCTCAAGCCTTTCCTGTCAGTAACTGTTCATCTAGTAGAGTTCCTGCAGGAACCTGCAGGCTCTGGTTACACCCTTGTGGGAACTGGCTGGGTCCTCCAGGTAGAAAGGGAGGCGCTGAGGAGTGGGGAGAAGCTTTAGTCGTGGCATCTCTATGGAGCAAGGAGCCCTGCAGTCTGGCTGCCTAGACCAGCCCAGTTTCTTTGGTTCTCTGAGCCCAGTGAAGACAGGCCTGGTCACACAGATGGCATGTCTTTGACCAAAGGCTTGATTGTGTCCTCATCTGGCAGAGACCAGCACAGCCCACCAGTCATCTCGTCATCTGTTTCTACCTCTGTGAGCTCAACTCACGGAGAAAGGGTATGGTAGCATGGGGAACCCTGGAACACATAGAAGGGAGACATCTAGTGCAACCCAGGGGTTCAGGGAAGGACATTTGAGGAGACATCAGGATAGTACCTGGTGAAGTTGTGTGTGTCTAAGTGTCTATGTGTCCTTTGCAGAGGTCCCAAATTAAGACAGAATATGGCCCAGTCAAGGCCCTGCAAGTGTTCAGTGTGATTGGAACCTTGAGTCGTGGATGGAGGCAGTGGGAGGCAGCACAGAGAGGCAGGTTCTTAGCCTCGCAGGTTACAGGCCAGGCTTGTGAGCAAGACTAAGGAGTTCAGACTCCATCCTATGGACAGCAATGGGGCAGCTTTAAGTTTTTGAGAGCTGACAATATGGAATGGAGGGAGTGAGGCTGGGGGCTGGGGCCATGAGGAGGCTGTGGTCGTTACCCGGGTGACTGAAAGGAGGACTGTGGCCATGGAGGTCAGGTGGAGGGTGCAGAACTGGATGCCACTGACAGGATGTATTGGTTGGATGATTGAATGTGCAGCATGATGAGGAGTGAGGGGCCAAGCATGATGGAGGCCAGGTCTCTAGCTTGGGGGCTACTTTAATGGAAAGGCCACCACCTTCTTCAAAGGTGTTGGGCTCCCCTTTTCTGAGGCTCCCATCCAGTTCCCATGAGCCCCCTTACTGTAATAGCCCATCACATGAACTTGAACTTGGCTAGGATTGCCCAGTGCCATTGTCAGTTTCTTGGCACACAGCCCCAAGGTCAGCCTGAGATTGGGGGCCTGGCCCAGGGATGAGTGGGTGGGAATGTGGTGATGGGCAAGTTCAGCTGAGGCTGCATAACTCTGCCAGGGCACTGGGGCCGGAGACTGGATGCCCTTTGCAGGGGCTCAGACCTCTTCCTTGACTCCTGGTTCTGGTGCCCCAGGGGTTGTTGCATCTCCCAGAAGGGGGCTGACCTGGCTGTTCTCAGAGATATTTTCTAAACTGCTACCTTGTGGCTGCAGTCTAAAGGTTGGCAGTTACATGTCAGAAAAATCTGCATGGAGTGCCTACTATGTGCTTGGCCCTGTGCTGGGTTCTGAGTGAGAGAGGGAGATGCAACACCTGTGAAGTGTATAGGGAAACCAAGCTGTGAGGCAGGATACACTAGGAGACCAACTGCTGACACCCAGTGCTCAGAAGTGTATTTGGTAGCAGCTTAGGAAAGGGGAAAGGCAGTGTGGACCAGAGTTAAGGAGGTCTCAGGTAGGAGGAGCAGCTTAAGTCTTGTCCAATGCTCATATAAAGTAAGGGAAAGGGAGGTGTTGTCCAGGATGGGGGAATGGTGAAAGAAAGGCAGGGTCCAGGAGTGAGCAATGAGAAGAGTGGCTACATGTGTGTGTTTAAATTGCACAGGTCTGGCATTGCTTCTTTATATGTTCTCTAAAGTCTACAATGTACAAATTATGCATTTCTGGTTCTAATGGGGTGGAGGGACAACTGGGTACATTTTCCCTTTTGCATCATGAGTTGAGGCAGACAGCTTGGTTTTGCATGGGCAGTGGGTACAGCTTATCTCACTGTGCCACAGATGAGAGCAGGGTTGGAGAGTGCAAAGCACTCCTTGGCCCAGCCGGTGGGAGCTGCTCAGTGCTCCACCCTAGGCTCTGTTTTCATCAGGGCTTCATAACCCACTCTGTCCCCAAGGCCTCTCAGTCTAGGCCAGGCCTGTAGCATGTCACCATGGCAACCTTCTGGAATCTCAGCATGGTTAGAGGCACAGTGAAGTCATTAGATGACCAGTCATGAAAATCGACACCAGGGAACTAGTTTCCAACACCAAGTTCGTGGGTGGGGCATTGGGGTACACAGTGTACAACCTAGATGGCTGTGGTCAGCACTTCTGTCATCAGGCAGGAGCGAGTGGACATCTGGCTGAGGGGCGGGGGGCTCGCTCAGCCCATAGTAGTGGCAGGCAGAAGGATAGCAAGGAGAGTTCTGTGTCATTTCCGAGATGGGGGAAGGTCTGGCCTGGGCCTGACGGAGTGGATGGCTCAGCCAGCTGACAGTTGTGTTGGGTCAGATGTGGCAGTGTTTCCCCTGCTGTTTCCTGAGGCCCATCTTGGCCTCTCCTGACCACATCCTGCCCCTGCAGTATACAGTATAGTGGCCCACAGCATGGGCTGGGGTAGCTTGGCTGGCCCATGGGGGCTTGCCTTAGGAGGGCAGCCAGGGGAAGGGCTGTGGGATATCCAACTTGTGTGCTAGGTATGCTAGGTAACTTGATTCCTACACGTGAGGGTTTTTCCATTTGTCAAATTGGTTTTTCCTTCTGGTTGCACAGTACAGATAAGCCTGGCTCAACTGTCAGTGGGCCACCAAGCTGCCCTCCTTCCTTGGATGGCTGCCTCTGCGTTCTTCTGAGTTTCACCTGCCCAGTCTGTTTTCCTCACTTGGGCTGGAGTCATCTTCCCAAACCTGCACCTGGAGAGTGAGCTCCTTAACTCTGCAGCTGGAGACCTGGTCTTGCCCACAGCTCCCACCTCATCACCTCAGCCTGTGCTCCTCCCATCCCATTGTTTGGAAACTTCTCCTCTCACCCCTCTGTCTCCTCTTCCAGGAGGCTCTCCCTGATCTTGCCTCTGTGCTTCCCAAAACATCAGTGCCACTCATTTCTCATTGCCCTGGTCAGGCGGTGCAATATCACCTGCCCTGATCAGGTGATAGACTTGCCTGTCTATCACCTCTTTTCAGAGTGAGCTCTTTCAGCAAGTAAGCCCTATGCTTAGGGGGAGTTTTCTGAACCAAACCCATTGTGAACGGGACCCAGGAGGGATGGGGAAAACCCTCTGTGGCTGGTGATTGCTGAGCAGCCTGAGGAAAGGACTTTTGCTTCTCCAGAGACTCCTGGGCAGACCATGCCACTGAAGAGCCAGTAGAGTCAAAACTCACACTGAAGTTGGAAGGCAGATGATAACACTATTAAGCTTCCACACAGAATGCTTACCGTGTGCCAGCACTGTTTCGCAATGTTTGCACATCTTATCTCTAACCGTCACAGGGCTCTGGAAGGTTGGTAGTATCATAAACATTCCTCCGATGAAGAAACTGAGGTTCGGAGAGGTTAGTTGACTTGCCCAAGTTCCCACAGCTGGTAACAGTTGGAGCAGGGATTAGAATCCATGTTGGTGTCATCTCAAAGCCCATTTCTTTCCATCACTTCACCCTGGTTCTTTGTGAGCCTGGCCTGTGGGAACAGACCTTCTCCAGAAAGGTCCACTGAAGCCTGAAGAGCATGTGCTGTTTGTTTCTTACCCAGCATTCTGTCAGGGTCCCTGGCACGAGCATCTGAAAACTTATGTAAACTCTTAAGGGCATGAGCCCTGACATCAGGGCCCAGCTCCTTCTCTGTTAGTGTTTCCTAATTGATACTATCCCAGTGATTGCTTTAGAAATTGACTTTGATGAAAAAGCTTTTAATTACATAATAAATTACTCTCAGAGGAACAGGCCGTTGTGTCATGGCTCTGCCACGTGTGGGGCAGGGAGCTGGCTGAAGGGAGTGTTTGGGATGAGTTGACATGCATCCTCCCACAGCATGCCTCTGCATTTTTCCGTGGTGACTACAAGATGGATTTTGGGACTTGAATGGCCCACCGGGATAACACACAAGTATATGGGCCACAGGGAAATATCTGCACCATTTTGCTCCTAGTGGACCAGAGAAAGCTGAATGTGAAAGAAGCCTTGTTTTGAAATGTGTTTTCAAAATAAAGGGTTTCATAACAATCACGATTGCAGAAATAACTGCTGATGGGAATAACTTCCTGGAAAGCAGAGGCCTCCATGACAGTTGGGATTTAAAAGGCTAGACCATGTTACAAAACAGGTTTACCTAATTGAAACTCAGCATTGCTGTTCACACACACACACGCACACGCACCCCTCTCTTAGGCTGAGGCTTTATTGTTAGCCTCTGATGCCCTTTCATTGGTAGCCTCTGATACTCTGCCAAGGACCACTGGGCCTTTGTTTCAAGGTTTAGGGCAACATAGGGTGCTGAAGTGGACTTTCCATTCTCCTTCTGCCTCCATGTCCCTGGTCTAAACAAAGTGGCTGGAGGTAGCTGCTTGTGTATTGGTTGCCTTGAGATTAACTGTATGTCTCTGCCTCCTGGCCACAACTGATTGGATCAGGCATTGAGGCCCAGCCAAAGGCAGCCCCTCAAAGGCCAGCGAGATGGGCTGTTGCAGGATGCTGTTTAATAGAAACTCAGTGTTTGGTATTGTGGTTAATGGGCCCGATCAGATCCTCTCCTCTGTGGTACCTAAGAGAGATAGTTGAGAGCAGGCAGGCAGATAAAAGGCAGAAATCAAGAGTTTTAGAAGCAATGGGATAACAGGATAGTAGGGACTATTGAGAGGGCAGCTGATAGCAACCAGAGGAGACAGAGGAACACCAGGTCATGAGAATGTCAGAACCATGGGAAAACAGTGGCCTCCTGAAGGTAACTCTTGTTGTTTATGGGGCCTGGCTGAGCACCTACATGCAGCCTTACAATAAACATTCATCCTCTTTGGGTCGAGTTTGATTGGTGACTTTATGTAGAATCTAAAACAGTTGATCTCGTAGAAGCAGAAAGTAGAATAGTGGTTACTAGTGTCTGGAAAAGGGAGGAGAAAGAGGGAGGGGGAGAGGTTGGTTTAGAAAGCCAGAATACGAAATCCTTCCCCAAAACCCCACACATCCCTGGAGAGCCTCTGAACCTGTTTAGCTCCTTGCTTCCTAATGGAACCTACCCAGCCAAGGGCCCGCACACATTCTTGCCTCTGTTGGGCACCAGAGACAAGGAAAGAGAAGATTCTGCCGAGGGGAATTGCCAGCCTTGGCACAGTCTCCCTGCCCCCCTTCAATGGGCTTTTGGGTTAGGGAGGGTGGCTTTGAGACCATCTGCTTCTCTGTCAGAGGAAGTAGGGGGAGGTACTCTGCCGAGGCTGGAGACTCTTGGCAGCCCCAGGAGACCTGGTTTCCAGACCAGAAGAGTTTTCCACAGAGGTGGAAGGACACGGTTCTGCTTTGGATTTGGAAAGGGTCTTGCTGCATTTTTCCAATGTTGGTTCAACGAAACTCAAAACTGTTTTTCCTAACGCTTTCTTCCCTTCGTATTTAAGCCACTCTGTATGCGTGGAGAAAGGCAGTACATGTGCTTTTGATTCCTTTACTCTGAAATCATCACCCTTTCTCTCTTGAGAAATCCTGTGTCTCAGAAACCTTCGGAGACATTTAAGCCCTCTCACCCCCTCTTTAAACCAGGACTCTGCATGCTGCTGAAAGCAAATGAATGTGGAGGGTTTCAAACAAGACAAAAGGCATTCCTCCCTGCCCAATCCCAGTGCAGTCAAGGCCAACCTAGGCAGCAGCCACCTTCTCAGGAAACAAGGCCTTGGAGAAATCAGTGCCTGTGTGAAGATGGTGTCGGCTGAAAAGAAGAGCAATGGCGTCAAGTACTAAATGATTATCAAGGGTCAACTTCTGTATCTGTATCAGCTGCAACACACTGTCTTTAATACCCCCAGCCCAGGAGCTCGTGCCTTACATGCTGGGCCCACATTCTGCCCCAAGCAGAAGCTGCAGGGACCTCAGTGTCCACCCTTCCTGCCTCATGTCTCAAGGCAGCAGCTCCTCTCTGGTAACCTGATGGTGATGTGGCCAGGGTGCCGAGATGGGACAGCAAAGATGATGGGCTCTGCACACCAACTCCAGGAAACTCATTCTGGGCCAGCTCTATGCAAAGGGAAAAGCATGTTGCATTCACCTAGGCCAAGAAACAGTGTTGTAGGTTAAGGGCATGGACTGCTTGAGTTCAGTGCCAGCTATGCCACTTACCAGCTGTGGGACCTTGGGCAAGTTGCCTTTGTGCCTATGCTTCCACTTTCCTTTTCCCTCCACCATGAAGATGGGTTAAGAGTCTCAAGGTTGTGGTGACTGTAGATATATGAGTGTGCATTTGCTATGCTTTACCTGTCTGGCATCTAGCAAACATTCTTCACATGTTTGCTGTTATCAAGATTGTTGTATATGTGAATGAAATGATACGATGTCTCAGATTTGCTTTAAAATAATAGGGAGGTTGGGGAAGTGGGTTGGGGTACAGACGAAACAGGAGTAGGTGTGAGTTGATAATGTTGAAGTTGAGTGATCAGTACGTGGGTTTATTACACTATTCTTTTCACATTTGCTTTGAAACTGTTCATAAAAATTTCCATAATAAAAGTTCTATATATATATAAATATATACATACATATGAGAAAATGATGTTTATAGCAGAGCTTCACTAGACATGGTATGTAGCATGTAGTGCACAAGCTGATTTTAAGTGATATTCAGATGGCCTTTTAAATTTAATTATTATGTATTTAAAATTTAATTAATTATAGCAAGTGATATGAACTGTGATAATGCAGAAGGTTTCCTTTTAAAATAAAGTTCAGTCAAAAAAGTGAGATGATTTGATGAAAGCAATTGGGAGATAATGTAAAAGGAAAAGGTATGTGGATGTTGCAAACATTGTGGAGGTAGAAATTGGACTGCTACAGCTTAGGAAACATCATTAAAGTACTGATGAGAAAGGGCTCATGTTCATTACTCTGAGTGCACATTGTGTTGGCCTTACAGGGTCATTTATCTAGACGGTTTAGCGTGGGGGTCATGGCAGCAAGAGGCAGAAATGAGAGTGTGGGCTTTGGAGATGCACAGACCTCTCTTCAATTTTTGACTCTGCCATATAATGGCTGTGTGACACTGGGCACATGACTTACCTGCTCTGTGCCTCATTTCCTCATATACAAAACATCTTAAAATGTCCTTGGAAGAATTAAATGAGATAATGCTTGTCATGCACCTAGCACAGCGCCTGCCATGTAACAGGTGCTTAATAAATGGAATGTGCTCAAGAAAGAAGTAGAAAGTACAGCTTTGAGCCTCAGAGTCCATGGTCTGAGCATGATCCTCACAAGTTCAAACCTCATTCAGAACAATTTTATTCCTACTTTTGACACAATTCTAACGAGTGTGTTTTTTGTTCATTTGGCCGTTTTCTCAGTCTGCGGCTCTTGAGAAATGGACAGGAGACAGGTGGGGGCCTGCTGAGCAGACAGAAGTGGGGACCTATGGATTGGCACAGTCAATGCATCATTAGCTACAGGATATATCCTGTGGGTCCTTGGCTTGTTTCAATAACACTGTTGGTGGGTTAGTAATTCTTTGCTTAAAACAGCTCTCATCGCAGTCAAGCCAAAATGTGTCTATAATTCTAATAACAGTTTTTATGGAGTGTTTACTGTGTGCCAGGGACAATGCTAATTACTCCACATCCATTTTCTGATTTAACTACTGTGACAACCCTCCAAAAAGTGTCACTGTTCTCATGTTTGAGGACACTGAGGCTGAGGAGACTGAGGCTGAAAGGATGTAGTGACTTCCCTAGGGTCACACAGCAAGTAAGTGGCAGACCAGTTTAGAACCAGGTGTGATTCCAAAGCCCATGTGCATGGCCACAGAACTCTATCAGCTCTCTATCCAGTGGTCCCCTAACCTTCTAAAGACCCCCCCTTGGCTCCTCAAGAGCAGTACCTTCCTTGTCCCAGTATGTGGACCTGGTCTTGGGATGGTGGTACAAGGTCCTCATTAGTCCAGCTTGTGGGTACAGCTGCCTGCTGGGAAGGGCACCAGCCAGAGTGTGCAGGCACCAGCACCCAGCCTGACTGAGATATGGCTCTTCCCAGGCTGGAGACCCTTTAGACATTTGCACTTAAAAGTGAAAGCTCTGCACATCTTCAGAGGAGATGTAAAGACAAGCAGGCTTTGAACATTTGCAGACTATATTTTTAGGTCACAAGGACCTTCCTTTTTTGTGTGTGTGATGGGGTGCAGGGATGGAAAACATATGCCTTAGTTTCTGTCACTTGTGCCCCAAACCCCAAAGATAATGGTTAGTTGAGTTTCACAGTAGCCTGTTAACAGATTTTCAAGTAATTTTCCACTAATCCAGCAGTCCTCTGCAGATATCCATAGGCATCTAGTATTTCCAAAGAGAAAAACATTAGCCCATGGTTTAGATATGGTGATGTTCATTAATTGTATTCACATAGACTTCCGTATTGGGCTATCTCTGGTACAGAAAAAAATGGTGCTTCCAGAAGTCACACTAGGGGATACTCAGCAAATATGAGGTATTTTCACAGGTAACAGGCAAAAATGCCAGCATTTACATGTTGCCTTTTTAAAGTAGTTCCCCTTAGGCTCTACACTTGTTCAAAGAAGTTGTCATTATGCTATGCTTTTGGGTGGTTTCCCCTAAGTGACCACCTTCAGAACCTTTAACAAATTCATTTCAGTGCCTTTAATTGAGGCAAATCTGGCAGATTTGGCCTTTATGAAGTCCCAAAGGTCAGATCGATTAAGTCTGTGTGTGTGTGTGTGTGTGTGTGTATGTGTATGTGTGTGTGTGTGTGTTGATTGTTTTGGGTATCAATTACCACAGTATTGATGCAAAAGAAACCACAAAAGCCTCAGGGACATACAACAATAACATTATTTAGCTCATGAGTTTGCAGTGGTTCAGCTGATGTGGGCTGGACTTACTCATGCATCTGCTATCAGCTGATCTTGGCTGAGCTTGCTGAGATATCTAGGGTGGAGCTGGATGATGCCAGGCAAGGATGGCCTCATCTGGGTTATCTGGGCTACTCAGCTTTCTTTGATTTGTCTTTCATCCTCCAGCTGGCTAGCTGGGGCATGTTCTTTTGGCAATGGCAGAGGCATAAAGAGAAGGAAACTCCAGTTTGCAAGTTCATTTCAAGCCTGTGCTTCATTCCTGCTAGCATCCTATTGGCCCAAACAGGTTTCATGGCAAAGGATACAAGGAAGAGTGAAGAATTGTGACTTTCGTTTTTTTTTTTTTTTTTTTTTTTTACAGTCTGCCACATTGATTAAACTATGGGACATATTTCACTTTGGGAAGCTGAGGCGGGAGGATCACCTGAGGTTAGGAGTTCGAGACCAGCCAGGCCAACATGGCGAAACCCCATCTCTACTAAAAGCACAAAAATTAGCCAGGCGCGGTGGCGGGCACCTGTAATCCCAGCTACTCAAGGCTGAGGCAGGAGAATTGCTTGAACCTGGGAGGCGGAGGTCGCAATGAGCCAAGATCACGGACGATAACGAGCGTCTATAGATCAATAGCAAGATCTATGGACAATAGCAGCATCTTTAGAAGGAAGGGAATGACCTCTCAGGTGACTCCTGGGGAGGCCAGTGCCCTTTTGGATGAAGAGCTGAGAGTTCTATCTTGGGCTTGTTGGATTGAAATAATTTTGCATCAAAAATTTTACGTTGCAGTCCCCAAATGATAAACTGGCCTCTGATGTGTACATTTTTTTTAAAAAATGGAGTCTCACTCTGTCACCCAAGCTGGAGTGCAGTGGTGCAATCCTGGCTCACTGTAACCTCTCCCTCCCAGGGTCAAGTGATTCTCCTGCCTCAGCCTCCCTAATAGCTGGGATTATAAGATGCATGCCACCATGCCCGGCTAATTTTTGTATTTTTACTAGAGACGGGGTTTCACCATGTTGGCCAGGGTGGTCTCAAACTCTTGACCTTTTTTATTTCTTCTGCAACAGCCAGGACTTCAAACAACAAAGACTTGATCTTGTTCAATAACTCTCATTTCCTTGGCTGTGCCAGTTAAACCATACCATTCTCCACTTTGGCTGACTGATGAAATCTCCAAGGGATGGGATTAAATGGGGTGTATGACTAATTTGTCATCCATCTCCTGCACCCAGCAGCATTTGCTGAGCACCCTTCTGTGTGCTGTGTTAGGCCCTGGGCACACAGAGACAAATAGGAGGAGGAGGGGAAGGAGGGTGGGAATAGGGATAAAAGAGAGGCCTTCATGGGCCAGTGATGATGGAGTTCCATGAAACCAAGAAGCACGTTTAACACAACTGTCTGCACCCAAGGTCAAACATGCATGCCTGCATGCACACACACAAAACAAAATGCCAAAGACAGATAAGAGATAGTCAGAGAGTAATAGGGAAGACACATACACATACACTAAATGATTGCATTAGTGTGTGGCAAAGGACATGAGACAGGGAGGGCTAAGTATAAGGATACTGAAAAAGGTCAAAGGATGGGCACCCATCTCTGCCTGGGAGAGCTGGGGCGGGCGCTTCTCAGCAGAGGTAACATTTGAACTGAATTTTGAAGGATGACTAGGAATTCACAGGCAGAGTGTGTGGGCAGCATTGTTGTCATCTGCAGAGTTGTGAGACAGCAAGGCTTACTTAGGAGGGGCAGGACTAGTACAGAGAGGCAGAAAGTCTGAGGTTTTGTGGGGAGGGAATGAATGGGGTGATGACATTGGAAGGGTGGGGAGGGCAGGTTGTGATGGTTACACAAGGAGAGCTGGTGAGGACTCTCCCATGCAGAGGCAGTAGGAATGGAATGAGAAGGATGGGAGAGGAACTGGAGAGGTGTCTGGAAAGGACTCAATGACTGGCATGAAGAAGACTCAGAGTTAGAGTTGCCACCTGACTTTGGGTAACAGAGCAAAGTGAGAGGTGTGTGGGAGGAGGTCTTGGTGCACAAAGAGGCAGTGGTGGTCAGTTATGTGTGATGTTTAAATGTAATTAGGGCAGTGTAGTGGAAAGAGCAGTGGTTGGAATCAGAGGACCTAGTTTTAAATTCTGGTTTCACCACTGTGTACCTTTAAGTAAGTCACTTAACCTCTCTGAGACTCGATTTTCTTATCTGTTAAATGGAGCTAATACACAGAGTACTCTTTTTGAACACTAAATTATTTAATATATAAACTTTGAGCACTAAATTAAATGGGCATGGTGTCTGGCCCATTTCAGGTGCTCGATTTAATCCAGATAAGCAGGTAAGCAATTTAAGGAGACAGGGGCTTACTACTGGGAATGATGGTGAGGTACGATCACCCATGAATGTGCTGAGCTACACCCCTGACTTGAGCTGAGCAGGTAGACACGGGTGGGGTATGTTGAAAACTGGTTAGGTGATGAAGACAAGTCAGAGGAGTTTGAAGGCAGTGTGTGTGTGTGTGTGTGTGTGTGTGTGTGTGTGTGTGTGTGTGTATGTGTGGTTCCTGCAAAACAAACCATCTGAACAGGTAGACTCAACGGTTGCTACAACTTTTGGTGCTTCCAGTGGCCCCCCTTGAACTAGGTTCTTAACTCTGTCTTCAAATTTCAGTCTGAAACCAGAGTATTGCCTAGGGGTGGAATTTGGTCTTCTCCGTATACACTGAAGTCAGTGAAGACTGCAAGGAACAGTAAGTCCAGTCTGCTATGAGCATCTGTCAACTCAGTTAAGCACACTCATGAGTAGTCATTATTCCCCTTTAGAACATCAGGCCCCAGGGAACAGAACAGCTGCTCTGCTGGCTTCATCTTTGTGAATATGGATGGGACCTGGTGCCTACAGAGGGCCAATGAGATGTGTGGGGAAGGGAGTGGGTGAAAAAGCTGGAGATGCCCCAAGACAGATAGACGAACAGATGAACAGGTATGCCAAGACCACTATCATTTAAGAGGTGCAGCCAGCTGAAATGGCAGGTGCTGGCATCTCCCAACACAAGTTCCACTCCTGATCAGAGGAAACAGTACAGGAACTCCTCCAGCTCTGCCCAGTGTACTTGACCCCCTACCTCTTCAATCAGGCACAGCCTTGACCTGCAGAGAAGCAGCCACGCTGGGTGCTGGGCTCAAAGGCAGCCACTGATGCAGATCAGGGTGTGAAGTATTTTAAAAAGCTGCAGTCGTATCTGCTATGCTCTAGGGAGCCTGAGAAAGTTTACTGCAGGCAGCAAGTGTCCTTAAGCATCCATTCAAAGCCTTTCCTGAGCACCTACAGTGTGCCCTGCTGTGTGCATGTGCTCAGCACTGTGGGGAAGACCCAAAGAAAGATCCAGCCTCAGTTTTCAGTTGAGCTGGTAGTCTGGCTAGGGGGAGGGGCATCAAAAAATACTACATGGATAAATAGGTAAGGAACAGACAACAATTAAGGTGCAATTAAACACCATTTGCCCATCCACTTATTCATCTACTCAGCAAATGTCTTGGAGCCTCTTCTCTCTGCCAGGCCAGCAATGTCCTTGGCGCTGCCTATTGGAGCTCATGGTCTGGTTTGGAGGTGGAGGTGGGTGCATGCTTGGTATAGGAGTAGACAGAAGCACAAGGTTCTTTTTGGGGAAGATGACACAGCCTCTGGGGTGATGACATGTGTTGAAACTGAAAGGTAGAGCAAGAGTTGGTCAGGCTGCTGGAGAGGGAGGTTGTTGGTGGGAGAGCAGTGCCTGGGTTTGAGGACAGTGGTCCCCTCATTGAGGCCAACCACATCCATAATCACAGACCAACTGCCTTCTTTCTTTTGAGAATGGGGACAAGAGTGGGAAAAGAGTAGGGTGAAAGTCCAGAGTCCCAGAAAAACTCAATCATTCCTGGGCAGGCTGGGATGATTGGTCATCCTAAAAGAGCGGTCTTGCCCTCACAATCATCGGGATGCTCCTAAACCATCCTCCAGGGCTTCGCTGAGCTATGCCTGAGCCAGATAGGTGGCCACACAAGACCAAGAGAGTGAAGGGACAGGGCCTCAGCCCTGGGAGCTCACACTCTGACCAGGTAGGTTTTCAGAGTGCAGTGCAGGTTATGGGGGAGTCGGGGGAGAAAATTTAGCTGGAAAGTCATTTCACTTTTTGGAGCCTCGGTTTCTTTATCTCTAAATGGGAACAATAATAATGCTCTCAAGGGATTGTTACAAGGGTTAAATGATATCATATGTGTGGGGTGCTTGGCTTAGGGCTCGGTGCAAGGTAGAAGCTCATTGTCTGGGGAACAGCAGAACTTCATGTGCTGTATGAAGGGTAGGTCCTGTCACATTGTAGGAGATAGTGAAGGGAGCACCCAAACAGTGTTAGAGTCATAGGCATTGGGAGGACACCCGGAAGAGGGGCCTTTAGCCTGGATCTTCCCGTTCCCTAGTGAAAACGCTGCAGGGAGCTGTTAGTGGCAGGAGCTTCTGTTTACCCATACGTGTGGGGACAGAAACTCCCAGTGCTGTCTCTCGCCCTACCTATACTGTGATTTCACTCAGAGACCAGTGGCCCTAGTATCTCCATCTGGATGGCAGTTGCTTAGGGATAAGTTCCTGAAATCCCACCAATCCCTAAAACCAAATGTGCAATTACCCTGTGGTTTGTAGGCCAAGGCCCCAGGGGCCAGGAATCCACAGACAGCAGGGCCTTTAGGGAGTTGGGTGAGGGAGGCTGAAAACTGGGATGAGCCCTGGAGCCACATTAACCCCTGCCATCACAGACTCCTACTGACATTATTGTGGGGTGCCATTGTGCTCCACCCAGATCTCTTCAGGGCTGACACGTCATCCCCCAGCTGCTGGAGATATTGCTGCTCATGGCTCACAGCTGCATCCCTCACTGAGCCTTGCCCTCTACTGTAGAAAACTGTCTTATCTAAGGGTATGTCCCCTCCCAGGGTGGCCCATGGGCCAGTGACTAGCTGGTATGGAAATACCAAGGCCCAGCTGATAGGATCAGCTGAGGCCTTGGTTGCAAATTGCACTGTGGTCAGTTTCTTTCTCTGCCTTATTCTGCCTTCCTTCCTTACATCCTTCCTGACATCTCTCTTAAGAACACCCCCAAGAGAACTTCTGCATACAGCTCTGTCTCAAAGTCTTTTTAGGAAATCCAATCTAAAACCATTGGCTCCCAGAGTGGTCCTGTGACTTAGACTCTAAAATATGGTCCCTTGTCAGCTGGCTGGCAATGAGGACCCCATCACAGGTGGGCCCACAGATGGCCCCTGGTGTGCTGTAGAGGTGCAGTTGCTAAAACTTGCACATTGGTGAGCTGGGGTAGAATGTTGTTGGCAGGCAATTTGGGTTGATGTATTATTTCTGGCACTTAAGAGGAATGAGGGAAATGATAACTATGGGGACTATAGAATTGTGTGGTTGTTGTTGAGTGCCGTTCATTTGTTGAAGAGAGATAATGGCAGGCTTTGGGTAACTAATTACAAATTTAAGGCAAAATGGAAAAGCAAGAGAGCCTTGTTAGCATCATTTAAGCAAACACTAATCTTATGCAGCCAGAGGGCAGACAAAGCAGAAGACTAGGCTTAATTATAAGAGTAGCAGAACTACAGAAGTCAAATTCTCAATCCCAGTGAGCTTTGCACACCAAGCCTCAGGTTCTTGAGATGGGGAAATCTGGGTAGATACAATTGAGAACCTTGAACTTCCAGATTCTCCTGAAGCTGCTAGGCAGAAGTGCCCTCTCTCTGTTATTAGAAGGCAGTTATCCTCCCTCCCCTCCCACACCTTGTTTGAGGCTTATGTAGAAGCCTCCAGTTAAATGAGGCAGATGCTGCATAAAACAATGCTTAATCCTCTTGGGATTCATCCACACTTCTTCTCCTCCAACCAGACCAATAACAAGGGTAGAATCTCAGAGGAGCCAGACTAGGGAGGAGCTGGGCCTGCTAAGGGAGGAGAGGGACTGTACGCTGGTGGCAGGATCTGGCTCATTTGTTCCATGAGTGGAAGGGGGTGGGAGAGTGTGCATGAATTAGATCAAGGTGCTACATTATGGGAGGCAGAATATATAGCTAGATAGGGGAGAATTTATTGATATGGCAGCACATATGGGATTTAATATACTGGCAAAGAACCCAGGAGATGATGCCAATATGCTGCCAGGATGGCTTTTGGAAATTTGGCAAAAGTGACAACCCCCACTAAGTTAAGTAGACATGGCAAACTGCTGTGGCAGACAATGCAGAAGGAATCAAAAGGCTTACAGAATAGAGTGGATGTACTATGTAAAGTTGGAAAAAGTCAACTATGTTCCATGGGAGGGCCAAGAGGACATTCTCTTTACCAGAGTGATAAGGAATGTGCTGAGAGGGACATTTGGCATCACTGAAAAGCTCAGTGGACCAGACCAGGGCTAAGGCTAGCAGATGCTGTTACAGCACTGGGCCCCCTTGTAGCAGTGGGGAAGGATAGAATCCCAAATGCTAGAGGCCAAACAGCAGTGCTTAACTATCAGAAGCAAGATGGACCTAACTATGGCAATGAGCGGCAAAGCCCAAGTGGCACAGGAAGGCCCTGCCTGAGTAATACTATGGAGATGGTTAAAGGACCAAGGTCTTCCTTCCAAGACAGAGGGGCAGCAAACGCAGGAATTCTTTAATGTATATACACTGTATATCAGTATAAATTTAGGGGTTGATTGGGAGGTGGAGAGCAACTGGCCCAATAAAAAGTTTTGATTTTGCCCGTTTTTCATACCTGAGCTACTTCTCAGGGCCAAACTCCATTGACTGAAGGAAAGCCTGTGTCCCTGTGAGTAAGGACCCTGCAACTCTGAAGCAGCTATACTCAGTAGTAATGATGCCAGATCTTTCTCAAAGTGGCTTATGGCCATTTACTGAGGTAACCATGCATTGGGAAGAATACTCAGACTTCTCAAAAACCTGAAAACATTTTTCAGCCTTTTCACAGGGTCTGAACTGACATTGATACCCAGGGACCCAGTGGGCCATAATAACTCTTCTAGAATGGGGACACATGAGGTCCATGCATGAAGTCCATCTAATAAAGGAAGTCCTTGCCTAGATCTAGCTCACAGTGGGTCCACTGGATCCGTGGATCCAGCTGATGGCCATTTCCCCAGGCCCTAAATGTATAATTAGAGTGGACCTCTTGGTAGTTTGCAGAACCCTCACATGGGATCCTTGACCTGTTGAGTAACAACTCAACTAGTGAGAAAAGACAAGTAAAAGGCTCTGAAACTGCCTTTCTCCCTGACCAAGATAGTATATTTAAAAAAAATACCTCATCTTGGGAGGTACTGACATTTGACTGAGATTGTGCTAAGACAAAGAACCTAAAAAATGCCATACCCTATTTTATTCACCAGCCCAACACCTACTATAGTATGGATTGCTGGATTCTGAGGGACAGTACTGTTACCACACACTTAACCAATGATAAAGTCTGACCGGGCCACCTAGCCTGTTGAAACTGGTCAGACCTGGGGATGAGATCATCCTGACTCAGGAATATCACAAAGCAAGGGGACATCATGATCCTGAGGCAGGGTCCACAGGTACTCAGCAGAGCATACAGCAAACCACTTCTAATGCTTGCACAACAGAAGAGCCCAGTTAGTTTCCACCAATCAGCCTCACTCAAATTTTGATTTCCTAATACAGGACAGAAACAATTCTCAGTCTGTTGGCTTTGACAGATCTTCCCTTTTTCTCTTCTTTCCTACAACTCACCTAGAATTTGTGCCAGAGCAGGTTCCTTGTTTGGCAGTAAAACTCAGTCATCAAATTGTGGTCAGATAGTCTTATTTTTATTTCAACACTAAGTATAGTTCCCATTGCAGCTGCGGAGCCAGATGTGCTGTCCTTGGTAGATAAGAAACACAGTCTACAGTGGGTGATGTATGAACATCAGTCTGGCAGTCATGTTGTTCTCCATAGCCATCATGAAGCAGGAGTAGAGTCAGTTTGGATTGACATGGCACAGTCAACAGTATACATTTATGGTCTTGCCTTAGGATGATGTTATTTCTCTCACCTTATGTTATAGTATAGTCCAAAGGGATGTGGGCATTCTGAAGAACATCATGTTGGTTCACTGTATTGATAACAACATGTTAATTGAACTGGATGAGCAAGAAATGGCAAGTAGATTGGAGGTGTTGGAATGACACATGGAGATTAATTCTATGAAGGTACAGAGGCCTTCTACATCTGTGAATTTCTAGGGGTTTAGTGGTCAGAGGCATGCTGGAATATCCTTCCAAAGGACAATTGTCTCTTGCACCTCCTGGCAGAAACAGTACAATTCTTGGCAGGCTCCTGTTGGTTCTAGAGGTAGCTTTTGGTGCACTGAGGAATACTAGCCTGATCCAGTTATGGGGGATAAGGGAAGCCCACAGCTTTTAGTGGGGCCCAGAGCATGAAAGGGGTTTGAAGCAGGTCCAGGCTGTGATGCAAGCAGCCTGCCAGTTGCATCATTTGACCTGATAGGTTCTGTGGAGCTAGCAATTAAGCAGCCAATGACAGAGACTGGTTCATGCAAAATGGCCAAGTAATTCTGCCACTTGATTGTTCAGTGTCTCTTTGGTGGTACCCTGAGCCAAACACAGCCATGAACTAGGGCACATGGTTTGGTAGGCAGAGCTCAGGCCTGATCCTAGATCCCACACACCATCTTGTTCAGATACTCTGGGAAGTACACCACCTGCATGACTGTATCCTTTGAAAACAAGCTGTTCATAGCCCTCTTGTAGTTGTTCACAGTACCTCTCTAAGGGATTCCAGCAGGAATATGTATTCCTGTTTGATAGATAAGAAAATTGAGCCATAGCTGACTTGTAACAAAGAGATGTTAAAGGTCATCTGGTGAGTAATTAATTAATTCATTCACCAATTACTTATTGAGCAGTTATTCTGGAATGAACACTCTGTCTGGTACCAAGGTATCCTGCCAAATTAGACATATTCCTATTCTCAAAGAACTCATGGTTTGGAGTGGATGTAGGAGGAAGGGAAAGTGGGAGAGTCAACAGATAATTCCAACATTGTGGAATAAATATTAGCAGAGATATAAGTATAGAGTGCTGGGTGAACTTGGAGGAGACTCATCTGACCCAGGGAGAAAGAGGGGAGGTAGGAGCAGGGGAGAGAGAGAGAGACAGACAGACACAGGGCAGGCCAGGGGAACTTGGTGTGGTTCTGAGTGGCTGGAGCCAAGGTGGGCAGTTTCCAGCCTCCTTTCCTATCAGTAGCTCTTGTTCCCAGGGCAGCTGTCCCTAGAGCTACAGTAGTGGGCGAGGCCCTGGGCCATTTCATTAGGGAGGTTTGTTTTCAGAATCATCTCCTAAGCCTTATTAAGTCTCTTACTTAGTGAGGAAGCAGCAAATCAAGATGACATTTCAAAAGCGGTGGCCCAGCCTGTTCCTGGAGGAACAGCTAAATCCTCACCCATATTAAATACCTTCTCCTCAACAGCAGCGGCTGGGCCATTTAGGGAAATTAAAAGGAGAGAGATGAACAGAGAGTAGGGAGATTAAAAACAAGTGTAATAGTGTTTCCAGTCTGTGGCAATTAAAAGCCCTCACATATGGCCTTTTCACTTTATCCTTCTCTTGGCTTATCCTGCCTGTATCTGCATCCATTCAGGGGGCTGGTCATTATGAAAGTGGTTTTGCAAAGAGGTACTCGGGTTTCCAGCTCTCCATCATTACACCAGCCAGGTACTTGGCTGATGGCTGGCTCAGGACTGCGTGTGTCACAGCACGTATGCTCTGGAGACTTCGTACTGAGAAAAATCACCCTGTAGAGAGATTTCTATAAGGCAGCATATTTCAGAGTTTGTCTTCACTCAAGTAAAGACAATGCATAGCAAGGAAACTGGCTGTCAAACATGGGAAAGAAAGTTTACCTCTGCTGCTTATCAAACAGTGCTAAATTAAAAGAACAACATGATATCACCATTTTTGACCCATTGCATTAACACGGGTTCAGAAAAGAGAACACTTAAATGCTACTAAGTCTGTAGTAGAAAGGGCATGCTTATGCACCACGGGCAGAAGTATAATACGATGCCAACTTTTTCAAGAGCACTTAGGCCAAATGCATCAAGATTTTTAACGTGTATTAAGAATTCAAACAGTGTAGCAATGGTTGGTATAATAATTTTACTTCTAAAAGTAGGTCCTAAGGAAATATCAGAAATATGAACAAAGAATTAGCCAGGACTATGTTTATTGCAATATAATTTTTAGCATTGAAAAAGAGAACTTAAATACCTAACATGAAGGGATTAGTAAATCAATAATGGTATATGCATAAGAAGAAGAAATGGTAGCCAGTTGTTTCAAATGATCTTTATGAAAGATAAGCTTATGTGAAAATATTATGTTAAAAAGGGTATGAATTACTTTATACAGCATAAATTCTTTCAACTCTCTCTCTATCACCCCCAAGCCGTGCACCCCACATACACACACCTGCATACGTTAACTCTGTTTTAATAGTACACTTGGTTGACCAATCTGTGGAACTGAGTAGTTGGATTAACTGACACTCTATTTCTTCTGTTAACAAAGCAGCTGATGCCCAGGACATGGGAAGACTTATGGCAAAACAGCCTCTCAATTCTGCTTACACCAGCTCCGCTGTCTGCTTACCACGAATCCATTGTTTATTATTCTCTTAATAGTCTGCCAAATTTGATTTGATAATATATTACAGTGGATTTCTGCTTCTATGTCCACAGATGTGGTTGGTCCATTTTTGAGTGTATGTGTATGGGGGCAGATTTGGTATATGGGTTAAACCTAACCTTGTAAAAGAGCTGGGCAACTTTCTTTTCTTTTTTTTTTAATTTTTATTTTTATAGAGATGGGGTCTCACTATGTTGTCCAGGCTGGTTTCCAACTTCTGTGCTCAAGCAAACTTCCTGCCTTGGCTCCGAGAATGCTGGGATTACAGTCATGAGCTACTATGCCTGGCCAAAACTTTCTTTACTATACTCTGATTGGATAGCCTGAGAATAATCTGCTTGCTGAAGTCTTGGGACTATTTATCTACGCATACTATCTTCTTGGCCCATACCTTTTTTTTTTTTTTTTTTTTTTTTTTGGGAGAAGGGGATAGATCATTGACTATCTTTTCTGTAGCTTCTATGGATATTGGTGTATTAATATCTTGTATATTTTCCTGATCCAACATTGTGGTTATATTTTTTCTAGAAAAACATAAATTCTTTGGTTTCCTTTTTTATTTTATAATTATATTATTGTTTACTTTCTCTCGTGGTAGCTTGTATTCATCCTCAGAAATGTGATTTTAGATTCTAGAAATAATGATAGCTACTTTTAATAAACACAAACTGTGTGTCTGGCACCAGGCTAAGTAGTTTAAGTTCATGTTCTCATTTACTCTTCACAATAGCACAATGGTGTAAGAACTATTATCATTCCTACTTTCTAAGTGAGAAAACTGAGAATAGTAATTGTTCAACACGATCTAATTTGTAGGTGGTGGAGCTGGGACTCAGTTCTACATTTGTCTGATTCTGAGCTTGTGTTCTTATCAGTGAGGTTATACTCTTGAAAAAAATAGGACAAGCAGACAATAAATAAACTCATATGCCACACTGTGATCACCCTTTATTTTTCGGAATTTTCCCTTCTTCAAGCCCGTGCTCTGGATATTTTTGCACAATCTTCCTTGGCCTGTTTTCTGAGCAGGAGCTGACTGGGGAGGCCTGTGCTGGCTGCAACATTAAGTGGACATTTCATGCTTCCACCATTGTTAAGGCAAAATTTATTCTGCATAAGTGAATATTTCCCAAAGAAATGCAGCTTACTTTTGAAAACACCAAAATATTTAGCCATTCTTGATGGAAGTAAAAAAAAATTAACTGGCAAAATAAAATTATATGTATTTATGTTGTGCAATACGATATTTTGAAACACGTATACACTGTGGAATAGCTAAATTGAACTAGTTAACATATGTAGTACCTCACATACTTATTATTTTTTTGCAATGAAAATACTTAACATCTACTTTTTTAGTGATTTTCAAGTTTACAATACATTGTTATTAACTACAGTCAACATGTAGTACAATAGAATTTTTGAACTTATATCTCCTATCTAATTGAGATTTTGTATTTTTTTGTTTTTTTTTTGAGATAGAGTCTCATTTTGTCGCCCAGACGAGTGAAGTGGTCAATCTCGGCTCACTGCAACCTCTGCTACCTGAGTTCAAGCAATTCTCCTGCCTCAGCCTCCTGAGTAGCTGGGATTACAGGTGTGTGCCACCACGCCCGGCTAATTTTTTTAATCCTTAGTAGAGATGGGGTTTTACCATCTTGGCCAGGCTGGTCTTGAACTCCTGACTTTGTGATCCACCTGCCTCAGCCTCCCAAAGTGCAGAGATTACAGGCGTGAGCCACTGTGCCTGGCCAGTATTTTTTTATCCAACTTTGTATTTTTTTATCCAACATCTCCCTCATCTCTACTCTTACTCCCAAGCCCCTGGGAACCACCATTCTACTCTCTGCTTCTATGAGTTTGACTTTTTTGATGGAAATTTTGGAAAATGTTTTATATAATTTGTTTTCGTTTTCTTTTTGAAGTTGAGAATATAATTTAACCTTTTCTTTCTCCTTTTTTTTTTTTTTGAGATGGAGTCTCACTCTGTCGCCCAGGCTGGAGTGTAGTGGCGCATCTTGGCTCACTGCAAACTCCGCCTCCCAGGTTCAAGCGATTCTCCTGCCTCAGCCTCCTGAGTAGCTGGGGCTACAGGGGCCTGCCACCACGCTCAGCTAAGTTTTAAATTTTCAGTGGAGATGGGGTTTCGCCAAGTTGGCTAGGCTGGTCTTGAACTCCTGACCTCAGGTGATCTGCCTGCCTTGGCCTCCCAAAGTGCTGGGATTCCAGGTGTGAGCCACTGCACCCAGTGGCTCCATTTTTTAAGCTGAATTTTTATTGAGATAGTTGTAGATTTACATGCAGTCATAAGAATTAATAAAGGAAGATCTGTTGCATACTTTGCCTAGTTTCCGCCAGTAGCAACATTTTGTAAAACTATAGTATAGTATCACAAGGACACTAACACTTATACGATCCATCAGTATTATTCAGATTTCCCTAGTTTTATTTGTATTCGTGTGTGTGTGTGTGTGCATGTGTGTGTGTGTGCGTATTAGGTTCTATACAATTTTATCATCTGAGTAAGTTTGTATTTCCACCTGAACATTTTCAACATCACAAGGATCCTTCATGTCACCTTTTTATAACCAGAGTCACATTTGTTCTGCTCTCTCCATGTTTTTAAATTACACAGATGTATAAAGGTCATCTGATTATGTAGTAAACCAGTTAATTGGAGTATGTAGTAATCTAATTGTCAGACACCTGAAGTCTGAACCAGTGATGATGTTACTGCCATATATATGACAGTACATTGTGTACACACAAACCCACATATAGACATTCATATGTCATCTACAGGAAGCAACATGGCATCATAGAGCATGTCTCACATAGCTAAATCCTAATAGCAGTTATATAAAACAAAAAGTGCTCCTGTGTAAACAACTTGGGGAAACTATACTATGTTTGCCTTTTGGAGATCCACAAGGCACAATAGCATAGTAAGGTCTACAGAGTCCCACAGTGAACAAACGAATTGGGTTCTTGCAGTATTTCCCAAACCTGCTTGACCACAGATTCTTTGGTTATGGAACTCTTGCTTCATCTCTAAAATGTTTCCCACCAAACAAAGTCTTGGGAAAGGTAGAAAAGGGGAAAAGAACAGAAACATGATTTGGCACCAGAAGACCTGCATCTGACTCACATTTATTAACTATGTGGCCCACGCAAGATACTTAAAGGCATATCTTTGAGCATCGGTGGAAGCAAGGGGCAATGGCAATTCCTGGAGGTTTCTCAGCAGTAAAGTGAAGATATGAAAAAAGTCTTTTGGTAAAACATTGTGTTCAACATTTGCAGAATACACATTATTTTCAAGTACACGTAAGAAATTTGTGAAAATTGCATACAGTGAGATTTAAAGCAATTTAAAAGTACTGAAATCCTCAAAGAATGTTTTTTGATTACAGTGCAATTAAGCTAGAAATCAATAGCAAAATGATAGCTGTGCTTACAAGTTAGTATTATTATTCTAAATACTAAAGCAAAATCTGCAATGGATATTAAACAAAATCTCTTTAACCGAGTGATAAAAATATTATATTCAAAACTTGTGGGAAACAAACCTGCATTTATAGAGAAATGGATATCCTTAGACGCATATAAATATGGAAATTAATGAGCTTAGCATCCATCTCAAGAAATTAGGAAAACATCATCATAAAGAACAAAATAAACCCAAGGAAGTAGAAGGAAAAACTTATAGCAAAGATAAGAGTAGAAATTAATGAAAGAGAAACCGAATGTAAAATAGAAGGGATTAGCAAAGCCAAATTTGGTTTATTGAAAAGACTAATAAAATGGATAATACCCTGGTTTTAGAGAAGATGTAAATAAGCAATGTTAGGAATGAAAAAGAGGACGTCAACTTCAGAGCCAAAGACATAGAGAAAAAGAAAAGAGGGTAAACACAACAACTTTATGACAGAATACTTGAGAGTTTAGGTAGAATGAACAAATTCTTATAAAAACCCAACTTTCCAAAAATGAATATAAGAAATAGAAATTCTAGTAGTCCTATAATTATTCAAAATATTGAATTCAAAACCAAAAAATGTTTCCACAAAGAAAACATCAGAGGCATCTTCTATAAACATTTAAGCAAGAAATTACATGAATCTTACAAAAGCTATTCCAGAAAATAAAAAAGAGGGGACTCCCTAACTTGTTTTAATGAGACTAGCATAACCTTGATACTAAAACCTGACAGAGACACATGAATAATGAAAATAACAGGCTGATTCCAGTCATGAACATAAAGATATAAAACATAGTATTAGCAAACTGAATCATGTAATATACATTATGCATAAAACATTTTGATGGAGTTGGCTTTATTCCAAGACAGCAAGATTACCTTTATATTTGAAAACAAGTCAATGTAATTCACCAAATTAACAGCAAGGAGAAAGATCATAAGATTGTCTCAATAGATATAGACAGAATATTTGATAAAATTCCACTTATGATAAAAAAGCTATTAGCAGAGGCCGGGCACAGTGGCTCACGCCTGTAATTCCAGCACTTTGGGAGGCTGAGGCGGGTGCATCATGAGGTCAGGAAATCAAGACCATCTTGGCTAACACGGTGAAACCCCGTCTCTACTAAAAAAAATAATAAAATTAGCTGGGCGTGGTGGCGGGCGCCTATAGTCCCAGCTACTCGGGAGGCTGAGGCAGGAGAATGGCGTGAACCTGGGAGGCGGAGCTTGCAGTAAGCCGAGATCGCGCCACTGCATGCCAGCCTGGGCAACAGAGCGAGACTCCGTCTCAAAAAAAAAAAAAAAATGCTATCAGCAAACTAGGAATAGAAGGGAACTCACTCTGATTAGAGGCATCTACACAAATTACAATCAACACTCTTTAATGGGGAATTACTGAATCCCTTCATCCACTCTTCCCAAAGATTAGAAATGAGGCAAGGATGTCTACTCTCCCCACTTCTATTCAACATTGTTGTGGAAGTCCTAGCCAGAGCAGTAGGGTAAGAAAATAAAGAGAATGCATGAAAGGAATAAACAAAAGTCTCAGTATTTAAAGAGGATAGGATTATGTACATAGAATATCCAAAAGAATCTGCAGATAAAATATTAGACTTTTTATAAGAGTTTAGCTGGACACAAAGACTATGTATAAAACTCAATCATGTTTCTATATACCAGCAACAAACCTCCCAAAATTAAAGCATGCTACTTAAATATATCTGGAAATATTAAACACCTAGAAATAAGTCTAATAAAACGTCCACACAACTCCTGCAGAGAAAACTATTAAATATTATTGAAAGAAAACAAAGAAGTCCTAAATAAATACAAGGACATACCATGTTCACAGCTTGAAGATTCAATATTATAAAGATATTAGTTCTCAAAGTGATCTATAGATTCAATGTAATTCCAATTAAATCCCAACTGGTTTGTTTCTGTTTTGTAGAATTACAATGTGATTCTAAAATTTTTATGGAAATGTGAAGGGACAAGAACAACAAATACAACCTTGGAGAAAAAAAAGTATGTAGTGCCTCCTCGAGGCCTATTATAAAGCTACAGTTATTTTATTTTATTTTATTTTATCATACTTTAAGTTTTAGGGTACATGTGCACAATGTGCGGGTTAGTTACATATGTATACATGTGCCATGCTGGTGGGCTGCACCCATTAACTCGTCATTTAGCATTAGGTATATCTCCTAATGCTATCCCTCCCCCTCCCCCCACCCCACAACAGTCCCCAGAGTGTGATGTTCCCCTTCCTGTGTCCATGTGTTCTCATTGTTCAATTCCCACCTATGAGTGAGAATATGCGGTGTTTGGTTTTTTGTTCTTGCGATAGTTTACTGAGAATGATGATTTCCAATTTCATCCATGTCCCTACAAAGGACATGAACTCATCATTTTTTATGGCTGCATAGTATTCCATGGTGTATATGTGCCACATTTTCTTAATCCAGTCTATCATTGTTGGACATTTGGGTTGGTTCCAAGTCTTTGCTATTGTGAATAGTGCCACAATAAACATACGTGTGCATGTGTCTTTATAGCAGCATGATTTATAGTCCTTTGGGTATATACCCAGTAATGGGATGGCTGGGTCAAATGGTATTTCTAGTTCTAGATCCCTGAGGAATCACCACACTGACTTCCACAATGGTTGAACTAGTTTACAGTCCCACCAACAGTGTAAAAGTGTTCCTATTTCTCCACATCCTCTCCAGCACCTGTTGTTTCCTGACTTTTTAATGATTGCCATTCTAACTGGCGTGAGATGGTATCTCATTGTGGTTTTGATTTGCATTTCTCTGATGGCCAGTGATGGTGAGCATTTTTTCATGTGTTTTTTGGCTGCATAAGTGTCTTCTTTTGAGAAGTGTCTGTTCATGTCCTTCGCCCACTTTTTGATGGGGTTGTTTGTTTTTTTCTTGTAAATTTGTTTGAGTTCATTGTAGATTCCGGATATTAGCCCTTTTTCAGATGAGTAGGTTGCGAAAATTTTCTCCCATTTTGTAGGTTGCCTGTTCACTCTGATGGTAGTTTCTTTTGCTGTGCAGAAGCTCTTTAGTTTAATTAGATCCCATTTGTCAATTTTGTCTTTTGTTGCCATTGCTTTTGGTGTTTTAGATATGAAGTCCTTGCCCATGCCTATGTCCTGAATGGTAATGCCTAGATTTTCTTCTGGGGTTTTTATGGTTTTAGGTCTAACATGTAAGTCTTTAATCCATCTTGAATTAATTTTTGTATAAGGTTTAAGGAAGGGGTCCAGTTTCAGCTTTCTACATATGGCTAGCCAGTTTTCCCAGCACCATTTATTAAATAGGGAATCCTTTCCCCATTGCTTGTTTTTCTCAGGTTTGTCAAAGATCAGATAGTTGTAGATATGCGGCATTATTTCTGAGGGCTCTGTTCTGTTCCATTGATCTATATCTCTGTTTTGGTACCAGTACCATGCTGTTTTGGTTACTGTAGCCTTGTAATATAGTTTGAAGTCAGGTAGCGGTGATGCCTCCAGCTTTGTTCTTTTGGCTTAGGATTGACTTGGTGATGTGGGCTCTTTTTTGGTTCCATATGAACTTTAAGGCAGTTTTTTCCAATTCTGTGAAGAAAGTCATTGGTAGCTTGATGGGCATGGCATTGAATCTATAAATTACCTTGGGCAGTATGGCCATTTTCACGATATTGATTCTTCCTACCCATGAGTGTGGAATGTTCTTCCATTTGTTTGTATCCTCTTTTATTTCATTGAGCAGTGGTTTGTAGTTGTCCTTGAAGAGGTCCTTCACATCCCTTGTAAGTTGGATTCCTAGGTATTTTATTCTCTTTGAAGCAATTGTGAATGGGAGTTCACTTATGATTTGGCTCTCTGTTTGTCTGTTACTGGTGTATAAGAATGCTTGTGATTTTTGTACATTGATTTTGTATCCTGAGACTTTGCTGAAGTTGCTTATCAGCTTAAGGAGATTTTGGGCTGAGACAACGGGGTTTTCTGGATATACAGTCATGTCATCTGCAAGCAGGGACAATTTGACTTCCTCTTTTCCTAATTGAATACCCTTTATTTTCTTCTCCTGCCTAATTGCCCTGGCAAGAACTTCCAACACTATGTTGAATAGGAGTGGTGAGAGAGGGCATCCCTGTCTTGTGCCAGTTTTCAAAGGGAATGCTTCCAGTTTTTGCCCATTCAGTATGATATTGGCTGTGGGTTTGTCATAGATAGCTCTTATTATTTTGAGATACGTCCCATCAATACCTAATTTATTGAGAGTTTTTAGCATGAAGGTTGTTGAATTTTGTCAAAGGCCTTTTCTGCATCTATTGAGATAATCATATGGTTTTTGTCTTTGGTTCTGTTTATACGCTGGATTACATTTATTGATTTGCGTATATTGAACCAGCCTTGCATCCCAGGGATGAAGCCCACTTGATCATGGTGGATAAGCTTTTTGATGTGCTGCTGGATTCGGTTTGCCAGTATTTTATTGAGGATTTTTGCATCAATGTTCATCGAGGATATTGGTCTAAAATTCTCTTTTTTTGTTGTATCTCTGCCTATGTGTGTCTCTGCACGTGAGATGGGTTTCCTGAATACAGCACATTGATGGGTCTTGACTCTTTATCCAATTTACCAGTCTGTGTCTTTTAATTGGAGCATTTAGTCCATTTACATTTAAAGTTAATAGTGTTATGTGTGAATTTGATCCTGTCATTATGATGTTAGCTGGTTAGTTTGCTCGTTAGTTGATGCAGTTTCTTCCTAGCCTCAATGGTCTTTACAATTTGGCATGATTTTGCAGTGGCTGTTACTGGTTGTTCCTTTCCACGTTTAGTGCTTCTTTCAGGAGCTCTTTTAGGGCAGGCCTGGTGGTGACAAAATCTCTCAGCATTTGCTTGTCTGTAAAGTATTTTATTTCTCCTTCACTTATGATGCTTAGTTTGTCTGGATATGAAATTCTGGGTTGAAAATTCTTTTCTTTAAAAATGTTGAATATTGGCCCCCACTCTCTTCTGGCTTGTAGAGTTTCTGCCAAGAGATCCGCTGTTAGTCTGATGGGCTTCCCTTTGTGGATAACCCGACCTTTCTCTCTGGCTGCCCTTAACTTTTTTTCCTTCATTTCAAGTTTGGTGAATCTGACAATTATGTGTCTTGGAGTTGCTCTTCTCGAGGAGTATCTTAGTGGTGTTCTCTGTATTTCCGAATCTGAATTTTGGACTGCCTTGCTAGATTGGGGAAGTTCTCCTGGATAATATCCTGCAGAGTGTTTTTCAACTTGGTTCCATTCTCCCTGTCACTTTCAGGTACACCAATCAGACACAGATTTGGTCTTTTCACATAGTCCCATATTTCTTGGAGGCTTTGTTGGTTTCTTTTTATTCTTTTTTCTCTAAACTTCCCTTCTCGCTTCATTTCATTCATTTCATCTTCCATCACTGATACCCTTTCTTCCAGTTGATCGCATCGGCTCCTGAGGCTTCTGCATTCTTCACATAGTTCTCGAGCCTTGGCTTTCAGCTCCATCAGCTCCTTTAAGCACTTCTCTGTATTGGTTATTCTAGTTATACATTCGTCTAAATTTTTTTAAAAGTTTTTAACTTCTTTGCCTTTGGTTTGAATTTCCTCCTGTGGCTCGGAGTAGTTTGATCGTCTGAAGCCTTCTTCTCTCAACTCGTCAAAGTCATTCTCTGTCCAGCTTTGTTCCATTGCTGGTGAGGAACTGTGTTCCTTTGGAGGAGGAGAGGCGCTCTATTGTTTAGAGTTTCCAGTTTTTCTGCTCTGTTTTTTCCCCATCTTTGTGGTTTTATCTACTTTTGGTCTTTGATGTTGGTGATGTACAGATGGGTTTTTGGTGTGGATGTCCCTTCTGTTTGTTAGTTTTCCTTCTAACAGACAGGACCCTCAGCTGCAGGTCTGTTGGAGTTTGCTAGAGGTCCACTCCAGACCCTGTTTGCCTGGGTATCTGCAGCGGTGGCTGCAGAACAGCGAATTTTCGTGAACCACAAATGCTGCTGTCTGATCGTTCCTCTGGAAGTTTTGTCTCAGAGGAGTACCCGGCCATGTGAGGTGTCAGTCTGCCCCTACTGGGGGGTGCCTCCCAGTTAGGCTGCTTGGGGGTCAGGGGTCAGGGACCCACTTGAGGAGGCAGTCTGCCCGTTCTCAGATCTCCAGCTGCGTGCTGGGAGAACCACTGCTCTCTTCAAAGCTGTCAGACAGGGGCATTTAAGTCTGCAGAGGTTACTGCTGTCTTTTTGTTTGTCTGTGCCCTGCCCCCAGAGGTGGAGCCTACAGGGGCAGGCAGGCCTCCTTGAACTGTGGTGGGCTCCATCCAGTTGGAGCTTCCGGGCTGCTTTGTTTACCTAAGCAAGCCTGGGCAATGGCGGGCGCCCCTCCCCCAAACTCGCTGCCACCTTGCAGTTTGATCTCAGACTGCTGTGCTAGCAATCAGCGAGACTCCGTGGGCGTAGGACCCTCCGAGCCAGGTGCCGGATATAATCTCCTGGTGCGCTGTTTTTTAAGCCCGTCGGAAAAGCGCAGTATTAGGGTGGGAGTGACCTGATTTTCCAGGTGCCGTCTGTCACCACTTTCTTTGACTAGGAAAGGGAACTCCCTGATCCCTTGTGCTCCCCGAGTGAGGCAATGCCTCGCCCTGCTTCGGCTCGTGCACGGTGCGCTGCACCCACTGTCCTGTGCCCACTGTCTGGCACTCCCTAGTGAGATGAACCCGGTACCTCAGATGGAAATGCAGAAATCACCCGTCTTCTGCGTCGCTCACGCTGGGAGCTGTAGACCGGAGCTGTTCCTATTAGGCCATCTTGGCTGCCCTCCCCCCAGCTACAGTTATTAAGACTGTGTAGTACTGGCACAAGGATAGAGACATATAGCAATGGAAGAGATGTGAGAATCCAGAAACAGACCATGCATGTGTGGGCACTGATTTATGACAATGGTGACACTGTGGAGCAGTGGAGAGAGGTCTCATCAATAAATGATGCTGGGAAAATTGGTTATCCATATAAGAAAAATAAACTTTACCTTATCTCATCATGAAAATCAAATCCAGATGTGCTGTGTATCTAAATGAGAAATGTAAAACAATGAAACTTTACAAAGATAAGATAGGACAATAGCTTTATGACTTCGAGGGTAGTGACAGTTTTTTATATAGCCCACAAATCCTGCTAAACATAAAGGAGAAGACTACACTAAAATTTAGGACTTCAGTTCATCAAAAGATACCATAAAGAGAGAAGGAAAGGTGAAGTGACAAAATGGACGAAGATCCTTGACACATAAAGTCAATAAAAGACTCCTCCAGGTCAGTATGAAAAAGGCAAGCAACCCATAGAAAGCTGAGCAAAGGTCTTGAATGGACACTTCATAAATTATGACATCCAAATGTCTAATAAACATACTAAAACATATAAAAGGTGATCAGTCTCAGTAAGAGGAGTGATGAAATGTCACATCACAGGAAGATGTCATTAAATACCCATCAGAACAGCTGAAGTTAGAGAATCTGACACTATCAATTATTGGTGAAGATGTGGAACTATAAGAACTGCTCAACATTGCTGGTGGGAGTATGACATTCGTACAACCACTATGGAAAACAGTGAGGAATTACATAGTAGAGTTGAAGATACTCTTAGTTTATGATCCAGCAATTTATTTCTTAGATATATACCCCAAATAAATGTATAACTGTACTCAGGGATAGATAAAAGAATGCTTACTAACAGCGTATAATAAGTGTGGTTTATTCATATACTGGAATATTATACAACAATGGAAATGAAGTAATTATGTTATACGCAACAACCAGGATTAAAAAAAGAGTTTATCCTTAGCCTAGAAATTAATTTTTACTTAATTTTTTTTTTTAGTACTTAGTATGTGCCACACTTTGTTCTAAGTGTTGGGGATACAGTAGTGGACAAAAGAAAGTCCCTGCTTGAGTAGAATTTAGATTTTAGTGACATAATACAAACAGTGAATCAATAAATATATAACATGTCTGATGATAGAGAGGGAAATACAGGGTAAGAAAATAGAGATTGTCTAGTGCAACAGTAGGAGGATCTCTGGGGATTGATATTTTATATATATGGGAATATATATTTTATATATAGGGATATACTCTCTAATCAGTTCATTGACATTTAAGCAGAGACTTTAAGGAAGTGAGGGGGTAGGTCATGTAGCTATCTGTGGGAAGAGCATTCTGGGCTGAAGGAACATCAAATGCAAAGGCATTGAGGCAGAATGTGCCTGGTTTGTTGGAGAAAGAACAATAAGATTAGGGTTGCCGATGGGTTGTAAGCAAGGGGTGAGTGGTTGGAGATGAGCCTGGAGTCATTGTGTAGGGCTTTGCAGACCATTGTAAGACAATTTGGCTTTAAAAAATTGAGAGGAGATGCTATTAGAAGATTGTGAGCAGAGGAGTTAACAGGGTCTGTCTAGCTATGTTCACACAAAAACCTGTACATGAATGTTTATAGCTACTTTATTTGCAATAGTCAAGAACTAGGATCGTTCCAGATGTCCTTCAATAGGACATCTATAGTCTCAGCTGCTTAGGAGGCTGAGGGAGAATTGCTTGAGCCAAGGAGTTCAAGAACCTAGGCACATTGCAAGACAAAAATAAATGAACCAAACAAAAAAAATATGAAAGGTTAAATTGTGGTACACATGTGCCATGCAATCCAATAAAAAGCAACGAATTAATTTTTAAAATTTTCTGAGACAAGGTCTCACTTTGTTTCCTGGGCTAGAGTGCAGTGGTGTGATCATGGCTTACTACAGCCTTGGTCTCCCAGGTTCAAGTGATCCTCCCACCTTAGCCTCCCAAGTAGCTGTGACCACAGGCATGTATCACCTGGCCAGCTGATTTTTTTTTTTTTAATTTTTAGTAGGGACAAGATCTTGTTATGTTGCCCAGGCTGGTCTCAAACTGCTGAGCTCAAGCAATCCTACCTGCCTTGGCCTCCCAAAGTGCTAGGATCACAAACATGAGTTATTGTGCCCAGCCAAAGCAATGAATTGATACTCACAGAAACTTGGATGAATCTCTAGGATTTATGCTCAATAATAAAAGCCAAATCCCCAACTTTTTATTTGGGTGGAGACCACATATTCATTTTATAGTATTTTATTAAATCATACACTGATCTTTAAGTATTTTTTGAATGAGTTACATTTAACAATGAAATGTTTTTAAAAGTTCTAGCATTTTAGAACACAGTTATATGTTGCTTAATGATGAGGATACAGTCTGAGAAATGCATTGTTAGGTGATTTCACCATTGTATCAACATGATACAGTATACTTACACAAACCTAGATGCCATAGCCTATTGCAATAGCCATCATAAGAAAGAACCAAACTGATCTGATAGACCTGAGAAACATACTGTAAAAATTACATAATGCAATCACAACTATTAACAGCAGAACAGATCAAGCTGAGGAAGGAATCTCAGGTGTGATGACTGGCTCTCTGAAATAACTCAGTCTGACAAAAATGAAGAAAACAGAATGAACAAAACTTCAGATAAATATGGGAAAGAGATCAAATCTATGGCCCATTGGTGTTCCTGAAAGAGATGGGAGAATGCAAACAACTTGGAAAACATATTTCAGGATATTGTCCATGAAAACATCCCAAACCTCGCTAGAGAAGCCAACATTCAAATCCAGGATATGCAGAGAACCCCTGTGAGATATTATATAATACAAGAAGACCATCCTCAAGACATACAATCATCAGATTCTCCAAAGTGAAATGAAAGAAAAAATGTTAAAGGCAGCTAGAGAAAAAAGGCAGGTCACCTACAAAGGGAATTTCATCAGGCTAACAGTGGATCTTTCAGCAGAAATCCTACAACACAGGAGAGACTGAGGGCCTATATTCAGCATTCTTAAAGAAAAAAATTTTCAACCAATAATTTCATGTTTAGCCAAACTAAGCTTCATAAGTGAAGGAGAAATAAGATCCTTTTCAGACAAGCAAATATTGAGGGAATTTGTTACCACCACACCTGCTTTACAAGAGGTCCTGAAAGGAGCACTAAACATGGAAAGGAAAGACTGTTACCAGCCACTACAGAAAGACACTTAAGTACACAAACTAGTGACACTATAAAGCAATCACACAAATAAGTCTGCATAATAACCAGCCAACAACATGATGACAGAATCAAATCCGCACATACCAATACTACTCTTGGGTGTAAATGGGCAAAATGCCTCAATTAAATGGCATAGAGTGGCAAGCTGGATAAAGAAGCAAGGCCCAGTGGTATGCTATCTTCAAGAGACCCATCTCACATGCAATGACATCCATAGGCTCAAAATAAAGGGATGGAGAAAAATCTACCAAGCAAAGGAAAAATAGAAAAAACAGGGGTTGCAATCCTAATTTCAGACAAAATGGACTTTAAACCAACAAAGATGAAAAAAAGATAAAGAAGGGCATTATATAATGGTAAAGGGTTCGATTCAACAAGAAGATCTAACTATCCTAAATATATATGCACCCAACACAGGAGCACCCATATTCATAAAGCAAGTTCTTAGAGACCTATGAAGAGACTTAGATTCCCATACAATCCATAATAGATTCAACACTCCACTGACTGTATTAGACAGATCATCAAGGCAGAAAATTCACAAAAATATTCAGGACCTGAACACAACACTTGACCAAATGGACCTAAAAGACTTCTACTGAACTCCCCACCCCAAAACAAAAGAATATACATTCTTCTCATCGCCACATAGCACATACTCCAAAATCAACCACACAATCAGACATAAAACTATACTCAGCAAATTCAAAAAACCAAAATCATACCAACCACACTTTTGCACACGGTGCAGTAGAAATAGAAATCAATTACTAAGAAAATCACTCAAAACCATAAAATCACATGGAAATTAAACAGCCTACTCGTGAATGACTTTGGGCAAACAATGAAATTAAGGCAGAAATTAATTCTTTGAAACTAATGAGAGCAAATGTATAACATACCAGAATATCTGGGATACAGCTAAGGCAAAGTCAAGAGGCAAGTTTATAGCACTAAATGCTCACATCAAAAAATCAGAAAGATCTCAAATTAACACCTAACATCCCAACTAGAAAAACTAGAGAAGCAAGAGCAAACCAACTCCAAAGATAGTAGAAGACAAGAAATAACCAAAACCAGAGCTGAACTGAAGGAAACTGAGACATGAAAAACCATACAAGAGATCAACTAATTTATAAATTGGTTCTCTGAAAAAGTTAATAAGATAGATAGACTGCTAGCTAAGCTAATAAAGAAAAAAAGAGAGAAGATCCAAATAAGCACAAGTAGAAATGACAAAGGGGACATTACCACCGACCCCACTGAAATTAAAAAAAAAAAATCAGAGACTACTCTGAACACCTCTATGCACACAAAGTAGAAAACTTAGAAGAAATGGACACATTGCTGGATACACACAACCTTCCAAGACTGAATCAGGAAGAACTTGAATTCCTCAACTGACCAACAACAAGTTTCAAAGTTGAATCAATAAAAAGCCTACCAACCAAAAAAAGCTCAGGACCAGATGAATTCACAACTGAATTCTACCAGATGTCTAAAGAACAGCTCATGTCATTCCTACTGAAACTATTCCAAAAAATTGAGGAGGAGGGACTCCTCCCCAACTCATTCTATGAGGCCAGCATCATCCTGATACCAAACCTGGCAGAGACATAACAAAAAGCAAAACTTCAGGCCAGTGTTCTTGATGAACATAGATGCAAAAATCCTCAACAAATTACTAGCAACTCAAATCTAGCAGCATATCAAAAAGCTAATCTACTATGATTAGGCTTTATCCCTGGGATACAAGGTTGGTTCAACATATTCGAATCAATGAATGTGATTCATCACATAAGCAGAACCAAAAACAAAAACCACATGATTATCCTAATAGATGCAGAAAAGGCTTTTGATACAATTCAACATCCCTTCATGTTAAAAACTCAATAAACTAGGCATTGAAGAAACATACTTCAAAATAGTAAGAGCCATCTATGACAAAGCCACAGTCAACATCATATTGAATGGACAAAAGCTGGAAGCATTCCCCTCAAAAATTGGCACAAGACAAAGATGCCCTCTCTCACCACTCCTATTCAACATAGTATTGGAAGTTCTGGCCAGAGCAATCAGGGCAAGAGAAAAAAATAAAGGGCATCCAAATAGGAACAGAGGAAGTCAAACTATCCCTGTTTGCAGAAGACATGATTCTATATTCAGAAAACCCCATATTCTCTGCCTAAAAGCTCCTTGATCTGATAAACAACCTCAGCAAAGTTTCAGGATACAAAATTAACAAATAAAAATCAGTAGCATTCCTATCCACTAACAACATCCAAGCTGACAGCCAAATCAGGAATGCAATTCCATTCAAAATTGCCACAAAAAGAATAAAATACCTGGGAATACAGCTAACCAGGGAGGTGAAAGAGCTCTACAATGAGAATTACAAAACACCACTAAAAGAAATCAGAGATGACACAAACAATGGAAAAACATTCCAAGCTCGTGGATAGGAAGAATCGATATTGTTAAAACGGCCGTCCTGCTCAAAGCAATTTATAGATTCAATGTTATTCCTATCAAACTACCAATTAAATTATTCACATAATTAGAAAAAACTATTTTAAAATTCATATGGAACCAAAAAAGAGCCTGAATAGCCAAGGCAATCCTAAGCAAATAGAACAAAGTTGGAGGCATCATGTTACCTGACC
The DNA here is from genome assembly GCF_000001405.40 of Homo sapiens. Taxonomy (NCBI): domain Eukaryota; kingdom Metazoa; phylum Chordata; class Mammalia; order Primates; family Hominidae; genus Homo; species Homo sapiens. The sequence continues at coordinate 139,154,301 of NC_000003.12, forward strand.
TCAAACTATACTACAGGGCTACAGTAACCAAAACAGCATAATACTGGTAGAAAATTAGACACACAGATCAATGGAACAGAATACAGAGCCAGAAATAATGCTGCAAACCTACAACCATCTGATCTTCGACAAAGCTGACAAAAATAAGCAATGGGAAAAGCACTCTCCATTCAATAAATGGTGCTGGGATCACTGGCTAGCCATATGTAGAAGATTGAATCCAGACACCTACCTTACACCACATACAAAAATCAACTCAAGATGGACTAAAGACTTAAATCCAAAACCAAAAACTATAAAAACCCTGGAAGATAACCTATGCAATACCATTCTGGACACAGGAACTGGCAAAGATCTCATGAGGAAGACACTAAAAGCAATCACAACAAAAGCAAAAATTAACAAATGGGATCTAATTAAACTTAAGAGCTTCTACACAGCAAAAGGAACTATCAACAGAGTAAACACACAAGCTATAGAAAGGGAGAAAATATTTGGAAACTGTGCAAAGATCTAATAGCCAGTATCTATAAGGAACTTAAACACATTTACAAACAAAAAATAAACAACCCCATTAAAAAGTGTGCAAAGGACATGAGCTGACACTTCTCAAAAGAAGACTTTTATGTGGCCAACAATCATATAAAAAAATCTCAACATTACTGGTCATTAGAGAAATGCAATTCAAAACCACAGTGAGATACCATCTCACACCAGTCAGGATGGCTATTACTAGAAAGTCAAAAAATAACAGATGCTGATGAGGTTGCAGAGAAAACAGAACAGTTACACACTGCTGGATGGAGTGTAAATTAGTTCAGCTATTGTGGAAAGCAGTGTGGCAATTCCTTAAAGAACTTAAAACAGAATTACCATTCAACCCAACAATTCCATTTTTGGGTATATATCCCCCAAAATATAAATCATTCTACCATAAGGACACATGCACACATATGTTTATTGCAGCACTATTCACAATATGGAAGACATGGAATCAGCCTAAATGCCCATCAGTGGTGGACCTGATAAAGAAAATGTGGTAAATGTACACCACAGAATACTATGTAACCATAAAAAAGAATGAACTCATGTACTTTGCAGAAACAGGGATGGAGCTGGAAGCCATTATCCTTAGCAAACTAACACAGGAAAAGAAAAGCAAATACTGCATGTTCTTACTTATAAGTGGGTGCTAAACAATGAGAACATATGGATAGTAGGAGCGGAACAACAGACACTGGGGCCTACTTGAAGGTGGTGGGTGGGAGGAGGGAGAGGGTGAGAAAAATACCTATTCAGTACTGTGCTTATTACCCAGATGACAAAATTATCTGTACACCAAACCCCCGTGACACACAGTTTACCTATATAACAAACCTGCACATGTAACCCTGAACTCAAATAAAGGTTAAAAAAACGGCTGGGCACAGTGGCTCACGCCTGTAATCCCAGCACTTTGGGAGGCCGAGGCAGGCAGATCACCCGAGGTTGGGAGTTCCAGACCAGCCTGACCAACATGGGGAAACCCTGTCTCTACTAAAAATACAAAATTAGCCGGGCGTGGTGGCACATGCCTGTAGTCCCAGCTAGTTGAGAGGCTGAGGCAGGAGGATTGCTTGAACCCAGGAGGCAGAGGTTGCAATGAGCCGAGGTGCAAATCACACCATTGCACTCCAGCCTGGGCAACAAGAGCAAAACTCCATCTCAAAAAAAAAAAAAAAAGAAAAAAAAAAAGAATTTCTTTCTTCCATAGCAAATTAACCTTAGCTTACTATAACATTTTTGCTTTATAAAATTTTTAATTTTTTTTAACTTTTGGAGTCTTCTGTAATAACACTTAGCTTAAAACACAAATATATTGTATAACTGTACAAAATATTATCTTTATACCTTTATTCTATTAGCTTTTTCCATTTAAAAATTTTATTTTATTATTTAAAAAAATTTTTTTTAAAGACTAAAACACTAACACATGCATTAGGCTAGGCCTACACAGGGTCAGGATCATCAATATCACTGTCTTCCACCTTCACATCTTGTCCCACTAAAAGGCTTTCAGTGGAACACTTGGAGCTGTCGTCTCTGTGATAACAATGTCTTCTTTTGGAATTTTTCCTGAAGGAGTGTGAAGGAGTACACACTAAAATAAGGATATAAAGTATAGTATAGTAAATACATAAACCAACAGTTTATTATCATCAGTCATTTATTATCATTTTCAAGTATTATGTACTGTACATAATTGTATATGCTATATTTTTATACAACTGGCAGCACAGTAGGTTTGTTTATACCAGCCTCACCATAAACACATGAGTAATGTTTTGCACTGTGACATTATGATGGCTATGTCACTAGGCAATAAGAATTTTTCAGCTATTATCATCTTTTGGCGCCACCATTCTATATGCATTCCATCATTGACTGAAATGTCATTATGCAGCATATGACTATATTTGGTTGGCTGAGCCAGGTGGATTATAGGAAGTGAGAGGCTGAAGGGGGGACCAGGGGATTTTGAACACAATTGATCCCCACAACACCCCTTCAAGTTGGACATTGACATGCCTGTTTTATCGGTGAATTAACTGAGACTCCAAGAGGTTGTCACTTATCTGAGTTCACACAGTTAGTTTGTGGCTGAACCAGAATTAGAAACAAGATATAGGTCTGTCCTGCTAAATGATACAACCCCCGCTCCGACCCCCGAAGCCTTCATTCACAAACACTCTACTCTTTGCCAGTAGCACATTGATGATTGCCAGAAATGCTATGGCTTGAATGGACTCATCTCCTGCTGTTGGAGTCTGACAGTGAGGTAGTTGTCTGTAGTGTTTGGGCTCTGCAGAGGCTCTGCCAGCTCTCTTCTGCCAGGTCTGTGCTGGCTTCAGCTTCTGGTGTATGGCAGGGAGATCGCTCCACCTCCTTTCTCCTATTTCTGATGTTGAAGCATCTTCCAATGCCTGTAGAGCCCCCGATTTACAGCATCTCTTGTTTTGGAGATTCAACCCAGGCCACGTGTTTATAAATAGCTTCATGGCAGGTGGCGCCCTGCTGGCTGGTGGGGCCTGCCTGGAGAGGATTATACCTGTACTTTCAACAGTGGCTTCCTTGCCCAGCAAAGCCCTCCACACAAACCCCTGCCCCTTGGCCCTTCTGTTTGTTTTGCTTTGCACTGACCTGAAATGGATACCTTCACGGGTCCCTGCAGCGGGGCAGACAGTGGTTGGGACATGTAGGGACAATGGTTGTGCCCACCTGCAGGTCAAGGGTCAGGCTCAGCAGGGCAGCCCTGTCAGTTCTTCAAAAGCAGGGACCTCAGCCCTCCTGGGCTTTGCCCATGGATCAGTGACCAGCTGGCCTGCAGGTGCGCCCAGCTATTGATGTCTCCATGACCAGGATGGGGGTGGTGCTGGGCTATGTGTGGGTGGCTTACCTGGGGATTACAGTACAGCCACAGGTGTCTACTCAATGCCAAGGAAGAAAGGCTGGGCCGGGGCCTCACATGCGCAGAGTAGGGTGGGGGAGCAGGCAGGGGCACCCAAGAAAGAACATCCGCTCATCAGCTGTTCCTTGGCTAAATTTCATGGGACCACTTGCTAATTCTTGGCCATGTTTTGAAAAGAACTTCTCGAAGATTACAAATTTGAATATATTCTTTTTATATCCCAATACAAAATGAATTCTATTAGATTATAGTTAAATAAGTCAGTGCTCACCAAATGGTTCTTTTAGAAAAAGTGAAAGGAGGGCGTTGGAAGAGCTGTGTGTGTGTGTGTGTGTGTGTGTGTGTGTGTGTGTGTTTATGTGTATGTGTATTAGGTGGGGCTTGTGCTGAACAAAAATCCAACGTAGAAGGCCAATGGAGGGGCACTTTATCTATGAATTTACACAAGAAACATTCACTGCACCCCTACTACATGCCAGGATCACAGGAGTACAGAGAGCTTGCTATTTATTCATTCATTCTGCCAGTGGATCAACTAACCAACCAACCAACCAAACAACACTTCCTGAGTGACTATTATGTCCCATATTCTGAACTGGGCACTAAATAAGTAAAAAAAAAAAACCCACAAAAAAAACCCCCAAAACCAGACAGTTCCAGCCCTTCCTTCAAAGTCTCTCAGTCCTGTGGTTGAGACAGAAATATAAACGTAATTGTAAGTGGCTATAAAACAGCTTTATTAAGCCATAACAGGGTGCCTGGGGAGGGGTGCCATGGAGTAAATTGTAATTGAAGTAGGTCTTAATGGGTTGCAGAGGAGTTTTCTGGGGGCACAGGGGGAGAAGGGAGCTCTAGGCAGACGTGTAAAGACAAGGGCATTTGGGGAGCTGCATACTGGTGGACAAAGTGAGAAGGGTCTCAGAGCAATGATGCAGCTGGAGGGTGAGGTTGGGAACATGGTCTGGGGCTGACTGTGTAGGGTTTGGTAAGCAGCTGTGCTAAAGTGTTTGGACTTTATCTGGAGGACAAGTGACAGCAGGGCTGGGTTTTAAGCACAGAAGCGACCTAAGAAGATTTGAATGTGGAAGGCTTACTTGGGCAGAGGCAGGGAGGAGGGTCTGGAGGGGACCTGACTGCAAGGGACTGAGAATCATTGGGTGGTTTTAATACTAGAGGATGGAAAGCAGAAGTTCCCTAGAAATGGCCTGTTTCTAGACCCCTGGCTGAGGAGAGGTGGCAACACGACGGCCCATCAAGGTAATGAGAGGCAGACTTTGAAGGTGCAGGTTAAGGCTGTGTGGCTGTGTCCTGGGGTAGGCAGGCCCTGATGAGGGTAAGTGTGTCTGCAGCTGGCAAAGTCTGTGGAGCATGAGTGGGTGACTCTGGACCCTTGAGCAAGCCCCAGCTGAGCCTGCTTCCTAGCATCCAGGCAGGACAGGAGGTATTGCCTAACTTTGGGGTCTCCAGAGGCTTGAGAAGCCCATGCCTCAGGAGGACCAGCCCATCCAGTCTGCCATTTGTTTCATTCAGTGAACATTAATTGAACACCTACTATATGCCAGATCCTTTTCTAGACACTGGGATCATGGGACAAGCAAGATGAACAGGTTTTCCACCCTCATGGACGGGCACTCTAGGAGGAAATTCAGATAATTAAAAGAGTGATAGTGCTGATGCTAATGCTAACACTTCAGTGCTTACTATGAGCCAGGCACAGTTCTAAATACTTTATAAGAATTAACTTACTTAAGCCTCATATTTAACCCTTTGAGGTACGTACTATTATTATACCCATTTTACAGATGAAATAACTAAGGCACAGAGTAACTCTTCCATGTTCAAGCAGCTTTTAGGTTACAAGAGCTAAGATTTGAATGCAAACGTGTCCTGTGCCAGAGTTTGTGGTCTTAACTGTCATATAACATTACCATTTCCTTGGGAATGGCTCCAGTATGAACCTCTCCAGGGTGCTTCAATAGCTTTAAGCTAATGCAAATTCCTTAGCCTGCCCCCTAGGCCCTCTGTGATCCAGAGGGAAGCCTCAACCCCACTCTGCTCCTCTTCGCTGTCTGCCCACCACCATTCTCTTCATGGCTCCCTACGCCTGCCATGCTGTCCCACACTGCCCTGCCTTTGTCCATACTTTTCTCTTGGGAGGGAGTAAGAGGCAAGTGGGTTCACTTTTCCAGGCCCAGCTCAAATGTCCTATCCCTTGAGGAAGCCCAGCTGACCTCTGCAGGCAAAGTGATTCATTCCCTGAGCACCAGTGGTGTTGGTTCATCCCTTGATTAAAGCCCATTCTTACAGACATTATACAGACTTGCCTGTGCTTCTGTCTTCCCACTAAACTGTCAGTTTTTTGGAGGCGAGA